>NC_000002.12:102338102-102641133 GCF_000001405.40 Homo sapiens
ACTTATTTTTCAGTTGAGATATAGGCTACTCTTCCCAACTCAGTCTTGAAGAGTATCACCAACTGCCTCATGTGTGGTGACCTTCACTGTCGTATGCCAGTGACTCATCTGGAGTAATCTCAACAACGAGTTACCAATACTTGCTCTTGATTGATAAACAGAATGGGGTTTTGGATCTTAGCAATTCTCACAATTCTCATGTATTCCACAGCAGCAAAGTTTAGTAAGTATTGCCTTCTAAGTATAATTTAAATTTTTATAAATTAAATAATTTCAAGAACATTTACCTTGTTTTAAGCAGTTTGCTTCCAGTTGTTCCAGTTGAATTGTAAACTGAAAAATATATTGCTTTTGTACAATCATTTTTCATTACAAATCTATCAGAAGAAATTCTTTGTAATGAATATATCATCAGTTTGGCTTTGCATATTCAAATGCAGCAGAATTTAATGTGGTGCCTGCACATGGGAAGTGTTGTGGATGTTTATTGACTGACACACAGTTTGTTTAGATAGATAAGGCTGCTTTTCCATTGGATAACTGTGGGGGATTTAGCTCCAAATTAATTCATTAACATTTCATAAGAGATCTTAACAGTTACTTATTCTTTCCCAAGGTATCACAGTATATGACCGGCTTCTAAATTTAATCCTAGAAGAAAATATTGAGAGTATAAGAATTATGATCTTTTCATTTGATCATTTCAGGATTGTCTTTATATCTTTTATTTGCAGGTAAACAATCATGGGGCCTGGAAAATGAGGCTTTAATTGTAAGATGTCCTAGACAAGGAAAACCTAGTTACACCGTGGATTGGTATTACTCACAAACAAACAAAAGTATTCCCACTCAGGAAAGAAATCGTGTGTTTGCCTCAGGCCAACTTCTGAAGTTTCTACCAGCTGCAGTTGCTGATTCTGGTATTTATACCTGTATTGTCAGAAGGTATTATGCAGAAGGCTCCCATCTTCTTTCACCCTGCTCCCCTTTCTTCAGTGGTTGATTGCCTGAGCTGCCCTTGCTTTCATTCCTTCCCTAGTCCTTTCTGGAACAGTTAAATTTATAAAATGATTTGAATAAAAGTGATTTGGATAAACTTCTAGGAATACTATCAGGTTGAGGTCTAGCTCATTCTGAGCTATTTGGATTTACAGTTGCAGGGATTGATTTGTAGCTGACTTAGAGAAAAACCTAGCTTTCCTAGTGACCAAGATAACTGAGAGCAATTGCTTACTTTTGGCTGGAATTAAGAACAAACTAGCACAGAAAATAGTAATCTGGATGTTTTCCATCTCAGGGGGCCTCTAGTAGGTGAAAAGGGGCTTCTAACCTTCAAGTTAAGCCACAGAAGGCTGATGAGATTGTGTGCCTAAAAATTAATTACTTTTGTTCACAAATTGTTAAATGTTTTGATTTTGTGGCTGTATTTGGCACACACAAAATGTCAAATGAATTAAATCAAAAAGCAGGATGTATTAGTTAAGGGCCTAGGTCTGAGACTAGACAAGTGTCAAATTCATGCTCTGCCACTAGTTAACTGTGCGATGCCAGCAAGTTACTTCTCTGCCCTTCAGTTTCCTTCTCTGTAAAATGCATATAATGTAATAATATATTTCATCTCAAAGCATTATTGTGAAAATAAACTAAGGTAATGTGTGAAAAGTGCTCATCATCATCACTGGTACAGAGTAAACTCTGAATAAATAGTAATTATCTTTATTACACTGGGATTACAGCATTACAGCAGATGTAGTGTATGAATAAATGGTGAAGAAGTCATTGTTAGGGCTACTATGGGGGCTATGTTTTTAGCTCAAGTGTAACAAAAAAGTATTTAAACTCTAGATTTTAATGTTTATTTTTAAATAATAAAATAACCATTATGTATATTGATGGTTTTTAAGAAGAAAAGCAATATTAAGTAAAGGCTGAATTTAGATTAAGTTATTTCACAATGCTAAGTGACTCTTTTAATTGTCTGACTTATTTTAACAGTCCCACATTCAATAGGACTGGATATGCGAATGTCACCATATATAAAAAACAATCAGATTGCAATGTTCCAGATTATTTGATGTATTCAACAGTATCTGGATCAGAAAAAAATTCCAAAATTTATTGTCCTACCATTGACCTCTACAACTGGACAGCACCTCTTGAGTGGTTTAAGGTAAGAAGAAATTTGGAAGGAAATAGATGAAAATTACACAATTAAAATAGACACAAGTGGCCGGGCACAGTGGCTCATGCCTGTAATCCTAGCACTTTGGGAGGCCAAGGCAGGCAGATCACTTGAGGCCAGGAGTTTGAGACCAGCCTGGCCAACATGAGGAAACCCCATCTCTACTAAAAATATAAAAATCAGCTGGGTGTGGTGGCACACACCTGTAATCCCAGCAGCTTGGGAGGCTGAGGTATGAAAATCACTTGAACCTAGAAGGCAGAGGTTACAGCGAGCCCAGATTGCACCACTCACTCCAGCCTAGGCAACAAACATTCTGTCAACAGATAAATAAATAAAAGTGAAGAATTACTGAGAAGGAAATGGAATTTCTTATTTCAGAATTGTCAGGCTCTTCAAGGATCAAGGTACAGGGCGCACAAGTCATTTTTGGTCATTGATAATGTGATGACTGAGGACGCAGGTGATTACACCTGTAAATTTATACACAATGAAAATGGAGCCAATTATAGTGTGACGGCGACCAGGTCCTTCACGGTCAAGGGTAAGCTACTGACATTAATGAGATAGAATACTACGTGAAAGAAGTCGAAGTGGGAACAGCGGTGCCCTTCTGGTTGGGTTTCTTGCACTTCTCCCTCCTCCCTTTACTTCCTCCTGCTCCATCTTATCTTATACATTCTGAACTATGACGCAAAGAGGTTTTCTGAACACACTATCAAGATTTAAGAAATTTCAGGGGGAAATTACATTACTAATTCAAAGCCACATCTGTTCTTTATTCTTTTTTTGTGACTTAATTTTCCAAAGATAAAGCAATCTGAATGCTAACTTAACTTACTTTTTTTGAATGGCAATACAACTATTTGGAGAGCAAAACCAGCTTTTTTTTTTTTTTTCTAGTTTGGTGTCAGAGTTTCTGCAAATTAAAAAAGAGCTTAATCTTTAGTAATACTCATTGGATTCAAAGTCTAATGAGAGGCTTTGTGATGGTATACTATGGTGTACATAAATGTTGTCGAGTGGTTTTTAATCTTTGTTTGCAATACTTTCAACATCATCAATGGCCTTGAGTAAGTCACTTCATTCTAAAAATGTGTTTTCCAAGTTATTTTAAATTTTATAAAAGCTTATTTAAGGGAAAGATTTCACAATCATAGCTTATCAATCTACAAAGGATTGGGGTCTCCTTAGCACAAGTCGATCTACAGACGTAGATGTAATAGCCCCTTTACGTATGACAGTTTTTTCAGGGCAAAGCAATATTGGAGACAAATTTTTGGAGTTTTTCAATACTCCACCGCTGTAAAATAAGCATCACCAGACCACATTCCTATCAGTGCCTCTTTCTGTTTAATATCAACCCTTACAGTGGTCCTTAATCACACTGTCATTAAATAAATGAGCATGAAGGGATGGAGGATTGCAGCAGTGCTCCATAAGCACTGCCCGTCTTTCAGCCTTAGTGGTCACAGGAGTCAGAATTCCGTACGGGGAAGATTTCACTGAGGATGGGCCACCCTAGTGGAGAACTGCGAGCAAATCTGTGGACTCATCCATTTATTATTTTCATGGGTCTTTTGAAATCTTCTCTGTAGTCTTATTCTTATTCTGTAGAAGAGTAGTTTTCTAACAACTACTAGGTCATGTAATTAGTTTTATGGGTTGGATCTGCATTTGTTTAAGTGATATCAGAGAATAATGATATTAAAGAGCATCATAGGTAATAAAAGAAAGTTTTATTTAAGTGCCTTTCTGTTTCGTGTGTGTGTGTGTGTGTGTGTGTGTGTGTGTGTGTGTGTGTTTGTCATTATGGGTTATTGTCAGAAGAACTTGAAAAACATTGCTATGAAATAGAATAGAAACATGAAAATACAAGCTTTATATTGACTAGCATTCAATGCTCTCCTAATATTTATATTTCTTTTTGTCTTTAAGATGAGCAAGGCTTTTCTCTGTTTCCAGTAATCGGAGCCCCTGCACAAAATGAAATAAAGGAAGTGGAAATTGGTAAGAAAATTTATCAGAATGCTGTAAATATTGCCTGGAAAAATCCTTCCATATGACCCCTGTTCTGAATTCCCTTAGCAGGGGTCAGGCAATTAGCATAAGGAACCTTGAGGAGTAAGTGAGGTGACATCCCTGAAAGCACCTGCCCCAAGCATTTGCTAATATTGGGAACAGGGACACAGCAATTGCAGTGTTTACATTTGTTTATTGTACTTTGTAATTCATGATGCTTTCATGTATGCATCTAATTTCATCTTCATCTCTATCCCAGAGCTTGGGATGGAGACCTGCAGGGTGTTCATTCTGGGCAATGGTAGCCAGATCCGGTAAAACATGTTTATCTTCAAAGTAGCTTATGGAGAGATGAAGAGAGTTCTGTAGAAAGATGTGGAAGAGGGCAGTTGGAAAGAAACTCTAATTTCTAGTAGAGGGCAATCCTTTTACTAGAAATCCTTTGTAATGTGGGGTTGGTGAAGGCAGAATCATTGGCCTTGTTAGTTTCCCATGCAGATGAGAATATAGTGGGAGCTGAGCTTCAAACCCAGCTGGGTGAATGAAGGTAATGGAAGCAGGGAGGAGGCAAGAGAGGACATAGAAAGAGGAAGGTGCTAGAGATGAGGGAGGGAGGTCCTGGTGGGGTGCATACTAAGTGTTCAGTAAGGTTTTTTTTTTACATTAAATGGGATAAAATGCCAGTCGCAGAAGTTAATTTTATTGGTGAATGTCCTTACTCCCCTCTAGGAAAAAACGCAAACCTAACTTGCTCTGCTTGTTTTGGAAAAGGCACTCAGTTCTTGGCTGCCGTCCTGTGGCAGCTTAATGGAACAAAAATTACAGACTTTGGTGAACCAAGAATTCAACAAGAGGAAGGGCAAAATCAAAGGTATTTTTATATTGAAGAGAACCATCCTCTTCCCCTTGCACATGGTTTGCACCTGCAAAGTAGGCATTAAAAGTAACAGGTTGCTTTCTTAGTTTCAGCAATGGGCTGGCTTGTCTAGACATGGTTTTAAGAATAGCTGACGTGAAGGAAGAGGATTTATTGCTGCAGTACGACTGTCTGGCCCTGAATTTGCATGGCTTGAGAAGGCACACCGTAAGACTAAGTAGGAAAAATCCAAGTAAGGAGTGTTTCTGAGACTTTGATCACCTGAACTTTCTCTAGCAAGTGTAAGCAGAATGGAGTGTGGTTCCAAGAGATCCATCAAGACAATGGGAATGGCCTGTGCCATAAAATGTGCTTCTCTTCTTCGGGATGTTGTTTGCTGTCTGATCTTTGTAGACTGTTCCTGTTTGCTGGGAGCTTCTCTGCTGCTTAAATTGTTCGTCCTCCCCCACTCCCTCCTATCGTTGGTTTGTCTAGAACACTCAGCTGCTTCTTTGGTCATCCTTGTTTTCTAACTTTATGAACTCCCTCTGTGTCACTGTATGTGAAAGGAAATGCACCAACAACCGTAAACTGAACGTGTTCTTTTGTGCTCTTTTATAACTTGCATTACATGTTGTAAGCATGGTCCGTTCTATACCTTTTTCTGGTCATAATGAACACTCATTTTGTTAGCGAGGGTGGTAAAGTGAACAAAAAGGGGAAGTATCAAACTACTGCCATTTCAGTGAGAAAATCCTAGGTGCTACTTTATAATAAGACATTTGTTAGGCCATTCTTGCATTGATATAAAGAAATACCTGAGACTGGGTGATTTATATGAAAAGAGGTTTAATTGGCTCACAGTTCTGCAGGCTGTATGGGAAGCATGGCGGCATCTGCTTCTGGGGACACCTCAGGAGCTTTACTCATGGCAGAAGGCAAAGCAAAGGCAGGCACTTCACACAGTAAAAGCAGGAGCGAGAGAGAGGTGCCACACTGAAACAGCCAGATCTCATGAGAAGTCACTCACTATTGCAAGGACAGCATCAAAGAGATGGTGCTAAACCATTCATGATGAACTCACCCCCATGATCCAATCACCTCCCACCAGGCTCCACCTCGAATACTGGGGATTACCATTCAGCATGAGATTTGGGCAGGAACACAGACCCAAACCATACCACACACATTATCATTGTTAAACTTTGTAAAGTATTTAAGGTACATGGAACACACGGGAAGTCTGGTAGCTCAGCCCATTTCTTTATTGCATCTGTTATTCACCATGTAATTCAGGTACCACGTATTCCAGGGAGCCTTTCTTGGCCCTCAGTTTGCAGTATACACACTTTCCAAGTACTCTTGTAGCATCCTGTTTGTATCATAGCACTGGTCACATTGCCTTACCTAAATCTGTTTGACAGTCTGCTCAACACGACTGCAAGCTCCATGAGGGCAGGGACATCATCTCTTCCATCTTTGGGTCCTTAGTGCAATACCTGGCAGCTAGCCAGTGCTCAGCTAAATATTTGTTGACTGAATAAATGAATGCACAACCAAATTATTGATACCAAATGTTTTTTTTGTGTACATTTCTACTTCTCTAGCTATAAGTCTTAATTATACAACAAAATACTATTTTTATATTTATGTTTGGTAAATTCAATAACTTTCCTCATCATTTGGAAAGTCAAATTGTTTATTGCTTCCCTACAGTTTTTTCTGAATCTAGCAGGATTTTAATGATATCATTATAATTTGACACAATAAAAGGACAACATGAAACTGATGAATCTTTATTGGGTTAATTTCAGACACTATATAATCTTTTAAAAATGTAACATTCTTTTTTATATATAAATAATTGGTGGCATCACAAATAGCCAAAGCAGGGTGGAGAGAGTGATCCTTCCTGGGTGCAGGCAAGAAGGGGATATGTTTTCTACAGAGTTTTCAAAACAGTGATAAAGCTGTCTACAAGTCATTGTGCTTTTTATCATCACTATGCCCAGACAATGTGAAACATCAGAGATGAAGTGCTCTTCCCACAGAGGTGGACTGATCCTTCTCCCCACTCCCTTGGTGTGTCTCTGAATGCAATGTTGTCTTGGAAAACAGCTTTCCAAGCATTTCACTCCTGAGCACTTGCCAGTTTCCTCACTTGTTCTTCACATATCCAGGCAAAGACATCCTGTTTGCTATATGAAGCATTGTATCCCGTATAAAAGGAAGGAAAGAGAGAAATATATTTTTACACTCATCACTCCTCAGGGGCTGTACAATCATGTAGAAATTGTTTAATGTGCCTGTCAAATAGCCAAAGAGTGTTAAACCCTGAGTTCCCACCCATGTGTGTGGTATGGTTAGGATTCATCCAGATACACAGAGAGAGGCACAACAGGAGGAGAAAGGATAGGGGTGTGGGGACAGCGGGCCCCCAATATGGTGTAATCGTGGCAGGTCTCTGCCTGAAGTGCTATGTGGGGTTTTTCTTGTTTTAATTTTGACTTTAACCCCTGATTTGTAAGTTTTTCATAAAATAAACAGAATCATAACTCATGTAGATGGCTATAAGTGCCGTAGTGTTCTGTGGGTCTCTGGTGTCTGCCAGTGATAAGTGTGGCACCCCAGGAAGGCTGTGGACCCCATCAAGGTGCTATGTGAGGGCCATGCTTGGGGTGGTGGTGGGCCCAGTAGACCCTGCAGCCATCCATCCAGCCTGCCCACTCACACTGCCCTTGTGTACTCCTGCTTTGCTACGTTATCATTGATCAATGTCCCTGGTTACCTATGTGTTTGAATTATCTTCGTGTTACAGGTGTTTAATGATTTTGCTCCTTCTAGCTTATTTGTATTTCACCTGTTTTTCTTTAAATCAACATGGTTACACTCTGTTTCAGCAACTGTATAAATTAAACACAAATTATTACTACTGCTATTGAGTTGTCATGATGAATTCTTTTTTATTTCTGAAATTATAGCATTTCTTGAATTTAAGAGAACAAAAACTTGAAAGGCCTATGTCTCCATTTTATTAACTATTACTAAATACATATTTGATGCTCATAATAATAATACACATTTATTCATTATTTCCTATGTACAAGGACTCATCTGCTTATTTTACATTTAACTTTCTCATTTATTTTCTCAATACTTCAAAGTAAAAGACAAAGAAAGTTGAATAACTTGCGAAATACTACAGTTATGGAGCAAGGATTCAAACACAGCCAGCATTTTCCTAGCTATATGTGTATACAGAAAGTAATGTTTTGTCATCACATACCTGAATTACTTATACTTTTATAAAATAATTCACACTTACGAAGACTTCCTCTGATGTCTTGGATCAACTTCTTTCCTCTACTTGGAAGCGTCCAGCCAATGGCATGGTTACTTCCCAGCAATCCCCACAGGAAGTACACATTCCTCTGTGCATCCAGCTGGGGATTTTAGAGAGAGAGTGACCTGGAAAGGAATCCTGTTGAAATGATTTACTTACGGAGTTTTCATTATTTAACCTGATGACAGTAAGCTCTTTGTCAATTTTCACTTTTTCCCCCCAATTTTGTGTCACATCACCTTGATAATTCTTGATTCCATACTGCTGGTCATTGAGAGAACTGATAAACTATTAGAGGTTGTGGAGGAATTCGTGAATATGGGCCAGTGATTTTTCTACCTTAAAACTGGGAGCCCATGCATGGAGACTTAAGACGGAAAAGAACCGTATCAGCAAATCTCATTTGAGATTCTTCTCACATTCATCAGTGCATATGCATGTTGCATCTACATTTTGTGAAGCAAGGAGTACTAGGAAAAATTTCTGGGTTGGTTGAGTAATGTTCACCATGAGAGAAGTATGGGCTATGAGTAGGACCTAGAACTTAGTAATTTGACTTTTGAATTCTTTATCAAAGACGCTTTAGCCACTTAGGTGACTCTTGCTTCTTCTCCTACCTCCCACACTGCTAAGCCCTTAGAGGCAACAAGTGTCTCAGACCCGTTGATGCCTTCTCCTTAATGCCCTGACAGCACCTTGTCCGTTCCTTTCTCATTATTGCATGAGTTACAACCCTCTGCATCTTGCAACCCAAGTACCACACTCCATTCTTCTCTGAGTGCCCATAGTTTCTTTCCACAGAAACAAACTTTCTGCTACCATCAGATTAATCTCTTGGGAAAACCACTCAAGTCTCCAGTGCTCCTGTGACCTTCAGAATAAGGCAATCTGCCTTAGTTGGGGTTTCAAGTCTGGACAGAACCTGGCCCTGACCAAACTTTCTAATCATATCTTCCACCAATTCCCCAAACTGGGTTATTCCATTTCCTCAGAAAACACACTTCCTCTCTGCACTTAGGCTTATGGTATTCTCTCTGCCCAGGTGGGCATTTCCTTTTTTGCATCTCCCTGAATCCTACTCATCTTTCAGAGGCCTCCTCCTCCTCCAGGAAGGCTCCCTTTCCCAGTCCTGCATGGAGCAAGCTCTCCTTCTAAACTCCTCTGCCAGCAAAAATCATGCTTTTGCCTCCCATCTTAGTTAAGTTGACAAGTGTCTCTCTGCCTCTTTTGCCTTTGAGAATGCCCTATAATGCTTAGCCTGATGTGTTGTAGAGGCTCAATAAATGTGACTGTCCTGGTACTTAAAGCAGCCATGAAAATTCCCAGTGGGTATATCTTATGTGAAATTCTTGTACTCCCAAGGGAAGCCAACATCCATGTATCAGTTTATTATATCTTGTTTCAGTAGTAATAATAATCTTTTTCTTTCTTTTGAATAGTTGATCATCATAGCATCTACTGCATAATTGCAGTATGTAGTGTATTTTTAATGCTAATCAATGTCCTGGTTATCATCCTAAAAATGTTCTGGATTGAGGCCACTCTGCTCTGGAGAGACATAGCTAAACCTTACAAGACTAGGAATGGTAAGTGGCAAATACCAAGTTTTTCTCCCAAAGAAAAAGTCCCATAATAACTGTTGGTTACCTGTCTATTAATCTTTCAGTAGCTAGGCTGCTAAGCCCAGATTCCATTTTGCTTGCTAATCTGTTATCAGTGAGTTGTGTTTTTGGATTTTCTTAAAGGCCATTTTCCATCCTGCTATGTAAATCCTCACGGTCCTGAGATCCATCTCAACAGCTCACTTTTCTTCCCCGATAGGATTGCTATTCCTACTGAGTTCCCAATAACAGAATCTGCCCCAAGCCCAGAAAGGTGTAAATTTCATAATGTATCGGTAAGACATTATGAAGTTAAACACAGTAGCAAAATTGTTCCTGTTTTCCAGATGTGAGCAGGTTAGAAAGGTCCATCGGAATGCATGTGTGTTCTACCTGAAACCCTGATCTGTAAAGTCTAACCCAGGCACACAAGCATGTGCATGAAAGGAGTCAGTTCTGCCTGCTAGATGCAAACTTCATGCTTACATTTGGAGGCAGATACATGTTGCATTTTTCAAACAGTTGACTGAAGTAGGAGCTCATTGTTTGATCTGTGGAAAATTCAGATCCCTTAAAAAATTCTATGCCCTTGCTACTATTAGCTTTAAATTTTTTCACTTCCCCAGGGGAGTATGGGGAAACCAAAGATGAAACCAAAGTCTATTCAGCACAGAAGGCCCCCTTAGTCATAGATTATTAATCAAAATTGATGAGATGGACAGGTTCTTGTCCACTTTTTTGTTATTTAGTCTGTGACAGTAAAAAGGAGAAACACTTTGGGATGAAGACTGTTATTTCCTGATAGTGTTTTGTGGCAGTGGTTTGACGTCAACATCTCTTGAGTCTAGAATATTTTGGAGGATGACATACATTCACCAACAGCCATAAAACTTGGAGAGGAATGTCTTCAAAGAGTCCAGTGAGAATTTTTAGAATCAAGTAAGAAGTTGTACTTCTTGTTTTCATTTTCAGATGGAAAGCTCTATGATGCTTATGTTGTCTACCCACGGAACTACAAATCCAGTACAGATGGGGCCAGTCGTGTAGAGCACTTTGTTCACCAGATTCTGCCTGATGTTCTTGAAAATAAATGTGGCTATACCTTATGCATTTATGGGAGAGATATGCTACCTGGAGAAGGTAAAGCTATTGACATACATTAGGGACAGAAATTCATGCTTATTAAAGGCTGTGAACTAGGTGGCCTTATCCCTGCATTGGATAATGAATTGCATTTACTACCACAGGCCTTAAGACCAGAACTTTAAATATTTATCCAGAAGCAGACACTTATCCTTCAATCGCCCCTCTCCCATCATTGTCCTGGTGATGAGATCTTCACAGTAATGTTGGTGGTGTGAATTCAGAGTTAGAAGTCCTTTGCTTCAAGGACTTAGCAAACCATCATCCCTACTTTATTCCCTTGGTCCCCCACCAGGATAACTCTGCCACTTCTTAATTCTGTCCATAAGATTTGAAAGAGGACTTAAAAATTGATGAGTTTTGTTCTGGTAGCCATAGGCACTAGCTGAAATACCTTAAAAGTACTCAGAGAGTCTTCATGACTTTCTTTATGTTGGTGAAACATTTGCAAATTTATATTCTCACCAGAACAAAAAGAACTATAGCTTCTGTTCCTTAATATTCCTACCCAATTTTATATACTTTTGACAGTTTTATCACAACTCCTGTGTTTGCAGTAGTTATTTTTCCCTTCCCTTCATACATTTATGTCCAGTACCTGTGGACCCTCCTTGTGAACTCTTCTCTAATTTCTCACAGACCAGGAAGGGTTTGGAATATAACTGGGGCTCAGCTATCAAGGGCCTAAGCATAATAAAGTAAATGTTCAGTTTTACATTTTAAACTCATTTTACTAAGAAGAGGAATTCACATGCCTATAGATGTAAAGGTATGAACAACAGGTGACTTTGGTTTACCCTGGAATATCTGGGAATGCTAATAGCCTCAATAACGGCTCAAGAGACTTGTGAAAGATACAATTTAGGAGAATCTAATGCATTTCTTCTCTCAAGGCTCTCTTCTTCCCCCATTTTCCCACTGGCCACCCATGCAGGTAGAAGTAATGAGTAATGCTCTCAAACACTCTTTTCATATTACAAATGTACTCAAGAACCTGCAGGGACTCCTGTTGTTTGTGAGCTCAACAATGTGCCACATCTGGCCACAAGCTCTTCACCTCTTCTTTTTCAGTCTATCCACCTAAGTTCTAGTTACACTTCTCCTCAGCCAAACCCAGATGCTAGCTCTCTCACACTCAAGCTTGTGCTGCCTTCAATGTGTGACAACATACTAATCTGGAATGGTTTTCTACTTCCCTCTGTCAATGCATGTCCTCTGACCTTTCCTCAACCAAAATAAATGAAACCCAACAACACCAAACTTCACTCTTCACTTAGGAAAGTTCATGACTGACTAAGGTACTGTCTATAGTCTCATGCAACTTACCTTGCATTTGCCCCATCAAAATCCTCTCTGCACCACCATTCCATCCAGTGGCCCTGGGTGGCTGATCATCATGGAATCCATTGCACCCTTGTCCTCTGCTCCAGGCTGGGTTTGGCCAATGGGAGGCACTGGCAGGAGGTCAGAGGGTGGTCATGTACCTGCCTCTCCACGTGGGGCTTCTGGAGCAGCTGTGCTTCTCCTTCTGGGAGCACCTCTTCTCAGCTGGCCTGCCTCATGCATCTGCAATCCCTCAGACACCCGTCTGTGAGAATATCTTGGATTGTTTTATTCACGGTTGTGCTTTCTCCTGTTGCAGTGAGGACTGGGTATTTCATGTTCTTTCTGAGTCCACCCAGAGCTAATTGGAATCACCATGGTGTCTACGCTGTATAAATGCCAAATGGGAAAGGGGATCTATTGTCCCTTGAGATTTTTCTAGTTTGGATCAAATCAGTTTCTACAACAGAGATTAATGGGGGTGAAGTAAAGTCAGGACTTACTTTCCTAGAGACTTTGGACAATTTTGAGGGGCAAAGCTTCCTGAGTTTGTGATTTTTAATATGTGAGTTAAAATTTTAAGCCATTGAAAAACATATAAGCAAATATTCTAAGAAGATAATATGTATTCTAAGAAGAATGAACCAGAATTCTAAGTCTCTAATGCAACAATAGACTAAATATCTTTACATTCCCATTTACTTGGAAGGACTCTGTTTTAGTTAAGACTAAGCTACCTGGGAAATAAAAAGAGGACATTGGGGCTGATATTCTCACAAATGAAAGGAACACAAAGAACAAAACGGGTTCTCTATCCACACATACTTCCACTTCTCTGAGTAAGTGACTTGATGTCAGAGAATCTCACACCAGATTATAACAATAAGACTTTTAAATGTTCAGGATGTTTATGTTTAAAGCATTAGACTGATAAGAAATCTGATCTATTTCTTGTATGACTAGATGTAGTCACTGCAGTGGAAACCAACATACGAAAGAGCAGGCGGCACATTTTCATCCTGACCCCTCAGATCACTCACAATAAGGAGTTTGCCTACGAGCAGGAGGTTGCCCTGCACTGTGCCCTCATCCAGAACGACGCCAAGGTGATACTTATTGAGATGGAGGCTCTGAGCGAGCTGGACATGCTGCAGGCTGAGGCGCTTCAGGACTCCCTCCAGCATCTTATGAAAGTACAGGGGACCATCAAGTGGAGGGAGGACCACATTGCCAATAAAAGGTCCCTGAATTCTAAATTCTGGAAGCACGTGAGGTACCAAATGCCTGTGCCAAGCAAAATTCCCAGAAAGGCCTCTAGTTTGACTCCCTTGGCTGCCCAGAAGCAATAGTGCCTGCTGTGATGTGCAAAGGCATCTGAGTTTGAAGCTTTCCTGACTTCTCCTAGCTGGCTTATGCCCCTGCACTGAAGTGTGAGGAGCAGGAATATTAAAGGGATTCAGGCCTCAGGTTTCATCTGGTAACTTTCCTTCCATTTCCCTGCTTCTGGGTGGATGCAAAATGGCCAGAAATTTTTCTCCTCAATCCTCCACCATCCTCCAGCCACCATTTTCTTCCCTTTTCCCTTTTGCTTGCCTGTCTTCACTGTGGTGTGGGATGTTTTCACTACTCTTTTTTCCTCTCTCTCTGTCTTGCTTTGTTTCTCCTCATTCTTGTCAATAATCTGAATAGCAAACTAATCATTCGAGAGTAGATTTTCACGTCACTTGAAGAACATTCTGATTCCCTCAGGCAGAATGTCAGTTGTAAATCTTGTTCCCAACATGCCAGATTTTCTTTATTTTCTATATATATATATAATATTTTATATATAATATTATATATAATATTTTATATATAATTTTATATATAAAATATTATATATAATATTATATATAATATTTTCTATATAAAATGTGTATATAATTATATATAATTATATAAAATATAATATAGAATATCTAATAATGTATAATATATAACATATAAAAATAATATTATTTAATATATAATATTTTATATATAATATTTTTATATATAATATAATATATATTTTATATATAATTATTAATTATATAATTAATATATAATATATATTTTATACATAATTATTAATTATATATAATTAATATATAATATATCTTATACATAATTATCAATTATATATAATTAATATATAATATATATTTTATACATAATTATTAATTATATATAATTAATATATAATATATCTTATACATAATATATATAAATATATTATATATAATATATATTATATATAATATTATATATAATATATATTATATATATAAAATTTATATATAATATTATATATAATATTATATATTTTATATACAATATGATATATAATATAATTTATATATTATATATATTTATATATAATTATTATATAAATTATATAAATATAAATTATATATTTATATATAATTATTATATAAATCATTATATAATTATTATAATTATAATATATAATATAATATAATATTATATATAATATATAGTATTCTATATAAATAATATAACATATATTTTATATAGAATATTATATATAATATAATATATATTTTATATAGAATATTATATATAATATAATATATATTTTATATAGAATATTTTATATATATAATATTATATATATGTATTTGAGACAGAGTCTCCTATGAACATACTTGTGGACTTATGATTTTATTTTGACACTTAAGAGTGGTCATAGGGTAGGTGCATATTTAACTTTCAGAGAAACTTATACATTGTTTCGCAAACTAATTGTACTACTTTACATTCCCACCAGTTGTGTATGAGAGCTCTGCTGCTTCATTGCCTCACCAATAATTGGTGTTGTCAAGTTTCTTTATATTTTAACAATTTTCACAGGTGTTAGATGAAGATCACCATGGTCTTAACTTGAAGTTCCCCGACTCATGATGATGAGCCCTTTTCATGTTTTCATTGGCCATTCGTATATATTTTTTAGTGAAGGCAAAATATTTTGCCTTATTTAAATTGTATTTCTTTTTATATTGTTGATGTGTAGGAATTATTTATGTATTGTGGATGCAAGTTCTTTGCCAGATAGATGTAAAGTGAGAATATTTCCAGGGTTATCTATTCATTTTTAAGTGATGTCTTTGTTTAGTAGACATTTTTAATTTTGGTGATGTCCAATTAATCAATGTGTCCCAAATGGCTATTTTTTTTTGTGTCCTAGCTAAGAATTTTTTTTTTTTGCCTGTCCAAGAGCATGATTTATTTATTTATTTTTTGCCTGTTCAAGGGTCTTCTCTGTATTTTTATGAAATATTTACGGTTCTAGCTTTTATGTTTAGGTCCATGGTCTATTGTGAATTGATACTTGTATATAGAACAAGGCAAGGACAAAGTTCTTTTTTCTGCTGCTGCTTCTTCTGTAGAGGTACCCAGCTGTTCCAGCAATGTTTGTGAAAGACTGTTTTTTCCCCACTGAATTGACATGGTGCTTTGTTAAAAAAATCAATTGACTAGATATGTGTGGATCTATTAGTCTACTTTCTATTTTGTATGTTTGTATGTTTCTGTGAATATCACATTGCCATAATTACTATTGCCTTATTATAAATCCTCAAGTCAGTATAAGTCTCTCAACTTTGTTCATCTTTGTCAAGATTGCCCAGACAGGCCGGGCAGGTGGCTCACCCCTGTAATTTCAACACTTTGGGAGGCTGAAATGGGTGGATCACCTGAGGTCGAGAGTTCAAAACCAGCCTGACCAACACGGAGAAACCCTGTCTCTACTAAAAATACAAAAGTAGCCAGGCGTGATAGTGCATGCCTGTAATCCCAGCTACTCGGGCGGCTGAGGCAGGAGAATCGCTTGAACCCGGGAGGCGGAGGTTGCAGTGAGCCGAGATCGCGTCATTGCACTCACTCCAGCCTGGGCAAGAAGAGCAAAACTCCGTCTCTGTCCGGACAATCCTAGATTATTTGCATTTTCATATGAATTTTAGAAACAGCTTCTTAATTTCTTTGAAAAATTTTCCTGGGATTTGGATTGAATTGTATTAAATATATAGATTCTGTAATATATAGAGTCTAAAAATATACAGTGTGGAGAATAGATGTCTTAAGTCTTCCAATCCGTAAACGTGGTATATCCCTTTATTACTTAGATGTTTCATCTCTGTTAGCAATATTTTGTAGTTTTCACAGGAGATATCTCATATATTATCCAATGAATTTATACTTTGGTATTTTGATTTTTAAATGCTATGGTAAATGGCATTTTTAACAAACTTCACTTTTCAAGTTTCCATCTCTAATATATAGAATTGCTATTGATTTTTATATTCCATGATCTTGATAAACTTAATATTTCCAGTAGTTTTTTTTTTTGTAGATTTCAAAAGTTGGTCTACATATAATTATGCTCTCTGTTAAAACCAGTAGTTTTAATTCTTTCTTCTCAATCTTTATGCTTTCTAATTTTATTTTTATTTCTTCACTTGTTGCAAAGCAGTTGTCCCAGGTGGGAGCCAAAATCCTTATCTCATTACTAATCTTAGGAAAAAGTAAAATGTTTCACTATTATGAGGTCACCTGTAGGTTTCTTATAGATGTTCTTTATCAGATTAAGAAAGATCATTTCTACTCTCGGTTTTCTGATCGTTATTAATTCAGAAAGGGTGTTGAATTTTGCCAGATGCTTTTATTTGCATTTATTGAGATAATTACATATTTTTATTTATTATGTGGTGAATTATCTAAATTGGGTAAAAAGAATTAAAATCATTGTCCAATTGAACATTTTGCCTGTCGGCTATGGGTTTCCCTTTTCCTTTGGTTAAATAACAGTTCTGCCACAAAATAAAAATCTAGAAACACACATTCCCCTTTGGCCTCCTTAAAAAAAATTAAAACTTCAACAATTGCACCCCTCTCTATTACTTCCCTATAGTGAACTCCCATCCTTCTGGGAAAGCAAAAAGCCTGGGGCGCATTTGTGTACTTGAGACGCGGAGCCCCTCTCACCTTCGGCATCCCCCGGGGACCCCTCTTCCACCCTCAGCCCTCCCCTCCTCTTCCTCTGAAGAGCCGGGCGGCCGCTGCGGCCAGCGGTCCTCCCTCCTGGCATCCTCTGCTGTGAACCGCGGCCTGCAGGGTGCTTGCGAGCGGCCCGGGCGCGCCCCCTTCCGGCCCCGCAGGTCACCCGGCTACAGCCCGGGTTTTCCCGGGACCCGCGCCGCGCGGCTGGGCAGGAAGCGCCAGACGCCTGGGGCCCACGCCGTCCGCGGGAAAAGGGCAAGGCGCTGGGTTTTCCAGCAGCAACCTTTGGACCCCGCGATCCAGTAGCTCCGGTAACTCCACGCGGGGCGTCTGGGTGGAGGAGCCGGTCCTGGAGCACGGCTGCGAGGAGCACCCGGACCGGAGGGTCCCCAGACCGGGACCTCCGAGTCAGGGAGGATTCTACGCCAGGGAGCGCCCCAGACTGAGAGCGCCCCAGACCGCTACACTCCCGGACCCGGAGCTTCGCCCGACCGCGGGCAGTGCCCACCTGCAGCCTCCACCGGCCGGGGTTAGCAGCCAGGAGCTGCCAGACGCCTGACATTCTTCTTTCTGTTCCTACTTTTTTTCCTTCTTCTTCTTTTTTTTTTTTTTTGTAGCCCTCTCTGGGTGCCTTATCTCTTTAATCACACCTCTCTTTCACTTTCCACGGTAGTCAGGAGGCGGAGATCGCTGCTTCTCACCTACTTTCTGAACTTGGCCTCCGCAGTCGCGACCTGGCGTGAAGGAGGAGCTGCCGCCCCCGCCCCAGCCTCGGGGACGCCTCTCTGAAGGTAAGGGTGGGCTCCGCTGCCACCCGCATCCCCTCCCCACCCCCCAGAGGAAGGGAAGACCACCATCCGGGGAGGGATTCTCAAAACAAGATCAATTAAGAGAGAGAGAGAGATAGTGTGTGTGTGAATACGTGTGAATAATTGATGAGACAGCATCCTGTCTTTCTCTGAAAGTATAGTTTTAGAAATTAAGACATCCCCAATTATTTTCTGGAGAGGTGAGAACGACTGAAATAAATGATAACAATAGTTGTCATTTTTTAAGTGCTTACTGTGTGCCTGACACTGTAGAAAATTTTTAGATATCTTATTTTCACTTAATCCTCCTAAGGGCCACATGAAATAGGAACTATTATTATGCTTTAATAAAAGGGAGGAGGAATTCCGTCATTTACCCAAGAGTATCCAGCTACTAAGTAGTAGATCCCAGATCCACACCTACAGTTTTTCTGATTCCAGAGCCTTTGTCTTTTTTCTGCCCAGCCTTGGGAAGTTAAAATGCCCAGCACCTTGCATCGCAGTTATCAGACAAATTAATGAGGTGTCAATTGCAGCCAGATACAGAGATCCAAGATTATTGTATTCATTTCACTGACTTCCCTTGCTTCATTCTCAAGACCCTTTGCAAATACTGATTTTGTGTCATACACAGTGCTGCTATTGGGAGCACACCTCTCAACCTCAGGGCCTTGGATGGGCTAGGAGGGGTAAATTTGGGGAATTGGGTTTGTGCAGGTTCTGGGGACAGTGTTTTCCCTCTCCCTGCACAAATATACATCCAAAGGCTGAGAACTAAGGCTAAGGCCTAGGAATGTGGATTGAAAAGGCAGGGTCTAAATCCCAGCACTTGGGAGGCTGAGGTGGGCGGATCATGAGGTCAGGAGATCGAGACCATCCTGGCTAACATGGTGAAACCCCGTCTCTACTAAAAATACAGAAAATTAGCCAGGCATGGTGGCATGCATCTGTAATCCCAGCTACTCGGGAGGCTGAGGCAGGAGAATCCCTTGAACCTGGGAGGCAGAGGTTGCAGTGAGCAGAGATTGTGCCACTGCACTCCAGCCTGGGCGACAGAGTGAGACTCTATCTCAAAAAAAAAAAAGAAAAAAAAGAAAAGGCAGGGTCCCTGCCTTCAGGGACCTCACCAGAGAGTGGGAGCTAGTCCAGGAGTGATGGAAACACCTGCAGAGTGATGGAGACGGGCTTGGACATAGGCATGTGCCATTTGGGGCTGTTGCAGTTGGAGAGCTTCCTTGAGAAGGCAAATACTGAGCCAAGTTGAAAGGACTCTAGGGACCTGGCATCTGGGATAAGTGGGGAGGGTGGCCCAGGTAGCACAGGCATAGGCAGATTTGGGGGGAAGCATAAGGCTAACAACAGACACTTGTGTGACAAGGACTATGAGGTGGCATTGATTTTCTTGGCCTTACAGATGAGAAGCCAGATTCCACACAAATTATTTTGTTTGTTAGAGTTTAAGCGTGTGTGTGTGTGTGTATGTTATGCCCCAAGATCATTTTCTCCTCTTTGCATTTGGTTGTTTTATCATCTCACAGGCTGAGTAAAACGACTATGCATGGAACACTGTAGAAGAAAAATTATATTAAAAAAAAACTGGTGTTATGATTTTCATCCAGGCATTTTGTCTCAGGAGTTGCTCGATTGTATGTGTTGCTAATGAGTGATTTATATTGAGGCATCTACATTGATTCATGTGTGTCCTTGTGAATAGCTGTAATCTGAGGCTGGCCATTTCACTTCCTCAAATCTCAGGTTCCTCATTAGAAAGAGCTTTGAAATGGCTCTTTCCCTGTACATTATGTGTTTCTGTGAATTACTTTTAGAGAAAGGTCAGTTTCTCAGGGTGGGACCCATAAACAAGGGCAACTGGGCAGAGCCAGGGGTTCAGGTGACTGTTTGGACCCTCTGGAAGGGCTTTTTACTGTGCTGCCTTGGGAGACAGAGTGGTCAGCTTGGAACTGACCTTAAGCCTAGGTCACCCAATTTTTGAAGGAAACTTTTTTTTTTCATTTAGAGAAAACTTCATGCCTTTGGGTGATTAGGTAAGTTTGTGACTATTCGTTATGTGTGTGTACACACACGTACGTACATATGTACATGCACAAATATTTAATATGTCTTAGACACACCAAATATATGCATTTAAGATGTATTAAATGTACTTTCCTGAGAATACAAATAAGTGCCCTACGTCGGCGGCTCTCTTCCTGACTGTATGTTAGAGTCACCTGCGGAGTTCTGAGGACTCAAGATGCCCAGTCTGTCCTCCAGACCACTGGGTGGAGCCCGGGCATCATTATTTTTTTCCAAACTTGGGTGAGAGCTGGTGGCCTAGACTTCACATTAGTTGCTAAAACATACTTTCCAAGATATCATGCGTTAAAAAGCATTTCAAAAGTAGATTGTGCAGATGTGCCAATGGATCAGATGATCACCTAGATTCAAAATTATGTATATTTTATGGATGTAATTCATTCAATAATTCAGCAAATAACAAAGAAACAAGCAGACATAAAGTGAAAATATGACAGTTAGTGATAAGTGCTATGAATAGAAAAACTAAACATGGGAGGGTAGAGGAACATTGGTGTGTGTGAGCATGTGTGTGTGTGTGCGTGTGTGTGCATGTGCATGTTTGCATTTGGAAAAGCATGCTGTGCTAGACTTGCAGTAGAGTGCTCAGGGAGGACCTGTACATTATAAGCTAGTGTCAGCAAACCGTAGGGGAAATACAGGATTATTTAATTAACAATAGAGAAGTAATTAGTAGGTATTTGAGGAAAGTAAGTTTAGTTACTCCCTATCTTCATGTCAATCAAGAAAATTAATTGTTGGTGGATGAAAAAAGTTAAATATAAAAACAAAACAAAACAATACTGAGCCATAAAAATGAAGAAACTATGTAAGCATCTATTTGACCACCAACAGGAAAGGATATTCTACACTTAAAAGCAATGAAAACATCTCAAAGCAAAAGAATGATCGGTTTGACTACATCAATATAAAATTTGTCATATATTAGCATAACAAAAGAGAGAAAGTAAACAACAAGTTAGACAAACATCTGAGAACTGGACAAAAGACATAAAGAGATGGTTCATAAACATGAAAATAAAATGGCTGATAATAAGTGATTAATATTTGCCTCATTTATACCCAAAGAAATGCAAATTCAGAAAACAATGAGATACCATTTTTCCATTTTGGCTGTCTAATTACATTTTAAAAGTAAAGCTGCTCAGTGTGCTTCTGGGTGTGGTCGATAGATGCTGTCTTGTGCTATTGAGTGAGAGAATATGAATATTGCAACACTTCTGGAATGCAGTTTGTCAGCATGCATCTGTCAGGTTTCAATGTAGTCTTCAACTCAATCACTGTACTGCCATCGAGTAACATCCAGGAAATAATAAGAAATGTAGACAAATAATAATAGCTAACATTTAAGCGGTATTACCATTCACCAGACACTTGCAATAGTAACTCATTTAACTTTCACATCAGTTCCAGGAGATGGTATTATTATCCCCTTCTATAGATAAGAAAATTGAGGCACAGAACAGGCAAGTCAGTTGCCCACAGTCGGTTAGCTGGTTGAAGGTAGAATGGAGATTCAAATCCACCCAGGCTGCCACCTGAGCCCATCCTGCAAAAAAACTGAGCCATCCTGGCTTACCTGTGAAGATGGTCATGTGATTATCTCATAATACATCTGGTAAATGATAATATATCCACATGAAGTAATATTAGGTGGCAATTAGAATGGTTTTAACAAAGAGTTTTGTGACACAGGAAAAATGCTCATTATGTAATATTAGGTGGAAATGCAGGATATGCAATCTTTTAAACATCTTTTATTTTTTGAGAAGGAGTCTTGCTCTGTCACCTAGGCTGGAGTGCAGTGATGAGATCTCGGCTCACTGCAAGCTCCGCCTCCCGGATTCACACCATTCTCCTGCCTCATCCTCCTTAGTAGCTGGGACTACAGGTGCCTGCCAACGTGCCTGGCTAATTTTTTGTATTTTTAGTAGAGACGGGGTTTCACCATGTTAGTCAGGATGGTCTCAGTCTCCTGACCTCATGATCCGCCCATCTCGGCCTCCCAAAGTGCTGGGATTACAGGCATGAGCCACTGTGCCCGGCCAAACATCTTAATTATGTGACAACATTTATAAAAAGTACAAGAAAACATGTTAAAATATTATACATGTTGAGATTATTTTCTTCTTTCAGTCTTCATTTTGTAAATCTCCTACATTGAGTGTAAATTGCTTTGGAAATCAGAAAAACTTTAAAAAGAAAGAAACTTAAGAGTTACGGAAAAGCAAAAATATTGATGTTAAACATAACAATTAAAAACCCTTAAAATTCTTACATGTGAGACATTTAATATTTATATTCTTCTATGCCTATTTTATTAATACTTGCTAGAGTATCTGTTACATTTATCAGAATATCTCTTTTTCTGGAAATGAATTCATTATTTAATATAACCTTAATCTGTTAAATTCACACATAAAACTTAAGTACATTAAAAATTTTACATACACACATCCACATTTGCAGAATGGTGTGCAAATACCAGCTAATTTTTGTATACTGAGATCTTAATATGTTTCATATTGAAACTCAGAGTTAACTTGTCAGTTTGCTGAGCCATCTCCTGATAACTTTGTCTCTTGGTAGATATTGAATATTTTTTTTAAAGTGGTGCTTTTTATAAGGTTACATCAGTCTTAATCAGAGTGACATAAAGGAAATAACATTTTTTATTCTATCCAAGATAAAAGAATAGGCAGAGTTAATAATAAAATGTGTGTGGAGGTAGTGGGGGAGGTTTCAAACCATAGACCCAGTCTAATTTGATTATGCACAGTTGGTACTTTCCATTCATACTTGTTTCTTTGGCCTTTACATTATTGATTATTATCTCTTGGAAATTCCACCAAATATTTGGTGATTTTTCCATAAGGATGTATGTGAATGGTTTGGCAGCTTAGCCATTAAGCTTTATCCTGGATTCAGGCATTGACAACTCTGTTTTTAGGATGGAAGATGAGTAGTTGTTGGTGAGAGGGGCATTATTCTGAGCTGAGAAGCTGCCATGCACTCAGGAAGTCTCCATAAGCCTTAGATGGTTTAATCACTCAATAATTCCAGAAACAGGCCTTCTTATCATCTCCATTTTGGTAATGACCAAATAGGCTCTAAGACTTGCTCAAGTTTTGCACAGCTTGTCAGGACTCAAACTGGAGTGGCAGCCCAGGTTTGTGTGTTTCTGAAACCAGACTCTGCCATCAGGCTGTGCTCCCTGCACTCAGGATGGTAAACAAGGGATATGGTGTTGTTTATGCAGTATTTAGACTCTGAATGGTCTCCACTGTGGGGGATCCTTCCTCCACTGGGCTCAAAGTTGTAATCAGAACTCCGAATGCTAGGTTGCAGTAGGATCAAAGTTCAATGCAGATCTTAGTTCCACTGGGACACAGTCAATGTAAAGGAGGGGTCTGGAGTGTAGGAGACTGTCACTTCATCTCTCCATTTCCCTAAAGTAAACTCATATGGGCAGCCACAGACACACGCGAACACATGCATACACACCTATGCCTCAGTGACACATGTTAGTGAGTGCTGGCCATGTGCTAGGCATCGTGCTGGATTTTAGTGATACAGTGAAGAGCAAAATAGACTTAGTGCCTAGAATTATGAAAGAATTATGAAACCTACGTTCTGAAGGAGGAAGATGGAGTTTTAAAAATTCAACCCTAAATGAAGATCTCATTACAATTCAGGAATGTTTTGATGTGAAAACACACACACACACTCTGTTACATGGGCAGAACTGCCATACATAGCTCAGCATGTCACAGATTGTTTATTCATAGAATGGTAATATTTGTAGCAGTACTATTGTTCTGAACTTTGGCCTTGGAAGCAGGATTTAGTAGACCAGGCCTGAAATTCTTCAGACTCTGTTGTATCAGAGAAATAAATTATTAGGGATTTCTTCCAGAAGAAAAACTTCATTGCCTTGAAATTTTATTAATTTTATATGGCTGAAAGTTCTGAGAATTGGTTACTATATTAAGGATTATAAAAATCTTCTAGGTTGTTTTTTTAAAAATCTGTGTGCCAGAAGATTTTTAAACCTTCATAAGATAGGCACACTTTTGTTTGAAAGCTTTGGCTGAATCTGTTTTATTCTGTTTTCCAGAGAAGCCATTTGAAGCAGAATCCAAACCATGAATTGTAGAGAATTACCCTTGACCCTTTGGGTGCTTATATCTGTAAGCACTGCAGGTAAGTGATTATACATACTCTCAAACATATTTCATGAGTAATTGAGGAAGAATGTCAAAGTTTTTTTTTTTATGTGGTGGCTACTGAAGATGCTGAATTTATTCAGAAAAGAAAAGATTCTGCAGTCTGAGTTCATGTAGTGAGAGCAGAGTGAAAAACTTGCATCTTGAAATAAATTACATTTGTCTGAGGTGAAAATTTATTTCATGTTATTTGAAACTGAGGAGGTGGCAGCCATCTTTATTATTGGGTTTTAGGAAGTTTGAAACACACTTTCTCCTTCCTGAGAGGGAGGCAAAGATTCATCTCATTATTTAGGTAATAATGAGAAAAGTAAACGACAAATATATTAGACAGCTTAAAAAAATTAGAGTGAGACAGAATATACAAAAAAGAGACTGGCTAGACCAAGGAGCTCAAGTAGGCTTCATAGTAGATGTCAAATGCCAATTTTAATTTATTAGCAGTGATTGCCTAGAGTTTTTTTTTTTTATTTGAGAAGGATTCTGAGACTTCATTCTTTAGCGTTCCATGATTGAATAGCAAGGCATTCCTTAGGCTTTGGGGGAGAAAGTGGGAGCACAAATATTAATTTGCCTTGATCTATTATCTAGGAGAGGGAAACACATGGGCTCATTTCCCTACTTTGATAATTACTGCTGAAGAGATAGCTGAATTAAGCTTTTGGTACTTTCAAATAACACAGGTCCAATCTCAGGGTATATTTACTTACGTGAATCCATTTATTATTGAGATCCCTGCAATGGAACCCTACCCAGATGATAAAAGAATGAGGTAGATCTTCATTTTTTTATATGTAATGATCTGTCAAACAAGTGAGTGGAAAAGCAAGGTACAGGAAAATGTGTCATGAGTTCCATGTCCTGTGGACATACACTAATAGCCTTACTCCTCATTATAATGAGAGCATGTTTCAGGCACAGAAACAGCCATGCAGCCAGTTGTGCAAAGTTGCCAAGCTCCCAGCTGCCTGCCCTGAAGAGCACTTTTCATGAATGTTTCACTCTAGGGAGACATGACAATGTTCTACATGTAGGATTCACTGAACCTAGTTGAGTTTAAATGACAAAATGCTATGATTGTCCAAACTCAAGACAGTTTCAAACACAGACTTTATTCCAAAGGGCATTGGTTGTTGGCACTGCTGGGTTCTTATACTGTGTTTATGGAACAATAGGAGTGCCTATTTTGGCACTTGGAACTCCACAAACCTTGAATTCCACTTATTTATCCCATCAAGGACCATTTCCAACAAGCATTATGGTAATCAACAAAGCCTCTAATGGTAAACCATGATTAGATATCCAAAGCTTCTAGCTGCCTGAGGAGGGGGGTGGTGTGGACTTTCAATTATCAACCTCCCACCTCTGGAGAGTGTGTAATTCACATTAAGTTTCTTCAAATGGTAATACTTCCAGAGAGCACATGTCCATCCAAACACAGTCATATGTGTTTATAGAAGCTTTTTAAGACAAGCGAAAACCTGAAAACCTAGAAATAAGCCAATATCCAACAGACATTTGTTTAATAAACCAAATCCCCAACATGCATCCTTTTATAAAATGGATAAATTGCGAAATGGTAACACGATTAGATACTACATTACAATGAGAAAAGAACACATCACTGCTACAGCATGAATGCATTTATAACAATCATGTCAAAATAACCCAGACATAAAGGAGCACATATTGTATAGCCTATGCATTTTATTATATTAACTCTAAAACAGGAAAATAAATGAACTGTTAATGACTCACCAGGGTTTTGCATGTCAATTGAAGCTGACACCCACATATACACATGTATCACACCTTCTATGTTGAAGTATTAGTATAAAATAGAGATTGTATTGCAACCAGAAAACATGAAGTTGGTGCTCCTTAACTCTTGTGTTTTGTGGTAGATTCGACATCCATGTTTTCAAAGAATGTGTATTAGTCCATTCTCATGCTGCTAATAAAGGCATACTTGAGACTGGGTAATTTATAAAGGAAAGAGACTTTATTGATTCACAGTTCTGTATGGCTGGGGAGGCCTCAGGAAGCTTACAATCATAGTGGAAGGGGAAGAAAACATATCCTTCTTCACATGGTGGCATCAAGGAGAAGGCTGAGCAAAAAGGGGAAAAGCCCCTTATAAAAACATCAGATCTTATGAGAACTCACTCACTATCAGGAGCACAGCATGAGGGTAATCACCCCCATGATTAAATTACCTTCCACCAGGTCCCTCCTATGACACATGGGGCTTATGGGAACTACAATTCAAGATGATTTGGGTTGGGGTATAGCCAAATCATATCATTCCACCCCTGGCCTCTCCCAAATCTCATGCTCTCACATTTCAAAACACAATCATGCCCTTCTAACAGTCCCCCAAAGTCTTCACTCATTCCAGCATTAACTCTAAAATCCAAGTCCAAAGTCTCATCTGAGACAAGGAAGGTCCCTTCCTATGAGTCAGTAAATTCAAGAGCAATTTAGTTACTTCCTAGATACAATGGGAGTACAGGCATTGAGTAAATACACCCCTTCCAAATGGGAGAAATTGACTAAAACAAAGGGGCTACTGGCCCCATGCAAGTTCTAAATTTAATAGGGCAGTCATTAAACCTTAAAGTTCCAAAATAGTCTCCTTCAACTCCATGTCTCATATCCAGGTCACGCTGCTGCAAGAGGTAGGATCCCATGGCCTTGGGCAGCTATGCTCCTGTGGCTTTGCAGGGTACATCTTTCTTCCTGGTTTCTTTCATGGGCTGGTGTTGAGTTTCTGGGCTTTTTCAAGTGCATGGTGCAAGCTGTCAGTGAATCTATCATCCTGGGGCCTGGAGGATGGTGGCTTTCTTCTCTTAACTCCACTAGCTGTACTCCAGTGGGGACTCTGTATGGGAGCCCCAACACCACATTTCCCTTCCACACTACCCTAGCAAAGATTCTACATGAGGGTTCCACCCCTGCAGCAAACTTTTGCCTGGACATCCAGCATTTCCATACATCCTCTGAAACCTAGGCGTAGGTTCCCAAACCTCAATTCTTGACTTTTGTGCACCTGCAGCCTCAACACCATGTGGAAGCTGCCAAGGTTTGGGGCTTGCACCCTCTGAAGCCACAGCCTGACCTGGTATCTTGGCCTGTTTTAGCAATGGCTGGAGGGGTAGGATGCAGGGCACCAAATCCCTAGGCTGCACACAGAAAGGGACCCTGGGCCCATCCCAGGAAATCATTTTTTCCTCTTAGGCCTCTGGGCCTGTGATGGGAGGGTCTCTCATGAAGATCTCTGACATACCCTAGAGGCATTTTTCCCCTTGTCTTGGCAATTAACATTTGAGTCCTCATTTCTTATGCAAATTTCTGCAACCAGCTTTAATTCCATGCCCCCCATTCCCACGAACATGGATTTTTCTCTCCTACCACATTCTCAAGCTGTGAATTTTCCAAACTCTTATGCTCTGTCACCTCTTGAATGATTTGCTCTTTAGAAATTTCTTCTTCCAGATAATCGTCTCTCAAGTTCAAAGTTCCATAGATCTCTAGGACAAGGGCAAAATGCAACTAATCTCTTTGCTAAACATAACAAGATTCACTTTTGCTCCAGCTCCCCAAAAGTTCCTCATCTCCATCTGAGACCACCTCAGCCTGGACTTTATTGTCCATAACATTATCAGCATTTTGGTTAAAGCCATTTAACAAGTCTTTAGGAAGTTCCAAACTTTTCCATATTTTCTTATCTTCTTCAAACTGTTCCAACTGTTCCAAACTGCCCTCCAAACTGTTCCAACCTCTGCCTGTATGCAGTTCCAAAGTCACTTCCACATTTTGTGTATCTTTACAGTAGCACCCCACTTCTGGTACCAATTTACTTTATTAGTCCATTCTCACACTGCTAATAAAGGCATACCTGAGACCAGGTAATATATAAAGGAGAAAGATTTAATGGACTCAGTTCTGCAGGGCTGGGGAGGCCTCAGGAAACTTACAAAAGGGGGAAAAGCCCCTTACAAAACCATCAGATCTCATGAGAACTCACTCACTATCATGAGAACAGCATGAGGGTGACTGCCCCCATGATTAAATTCAAGATGAGGTTTGGATGGGGACACAGCCAAACCATATCAGAATACTTCTATCACATCACTTCCTCTTTATGTTGTGGTTAACAATTTTGAGTTAAAACCAGACTGCTGCTTTGAGAAACAAACCCTGACTATAGAGAAGGCATTCTGTCCATGTCCTAAGGGAAATGTTTCGTTCAGTTTAAATACTCTCATTCTCAAAATGTGGTAAAAGTGCACCCGAGAGTCACTGGAGGGTAGATTATGAGAAAGACCCATTAATGCTGAACTTGAAGTACCACAAGTGCCGAAAGAGGGGAACGAGCACCTATCCTGGGTAGATGATGGTCAGATATATTTCCAAAGCCAGAGAATCTGGGTCAATTGAGAAAGAGGGAAAGTGACAGATATGCAAATTTGGATTGATATTATATTAATGAATTCTTGATTATCCACATGGTGACCTACAGTAATAATAAATGTACACACACTGTAAGTTACATAGGCACACTTTTAACCATCCCCACACTTACCAGGGAATGTTAGATAGGCAGGGTGAATGCAAGGTGAGTGAGATTTCTGATGGTGCAGAGGAAGAACGCCAAGGTTGCTAGATTTCTTGTTTTCTTTTCTACTGAGACTCCTCAGCAGGGTATATTTTGAGGTAGGTATGGCAGCACCGTGACTTCTGTGGCTTTCCCTATGAAGAAGTTGTAATGTGTAATATTTTCTTCTAAGAGGTGACACAATTATCAGTCTTCTAGCTATGGTTGGTTAAGTTCTGATACCTTCCTGTTGGGGAGAAACTGTCAGAAGTTGTGTTTTCATCTATGTTCTGAAAGTGCCTTATCCTTTCTAGTGTTGGAAAGATTGACGCAAAAATAAAGAACCCACAGGAAATTGACACCGAGATTTCTCAGGACTTTCTTGCTAACCTTGCTTCTTCACCTAATGCATTAGGAGACCAAAAAAAGTTACCTTGTCATTTTGGTTTTTGTTTTTATTTATTTTACTTTACTAATCTTTTGAAGAATCTTGTACTTCACGTCCCCACATTACTGTGGTTGAAGGGGAACCTTTCTATCTGAAACATTGCTCGTGTTCACTTGCACATGAGATTGAAACAACCACCAAAAGCTGGTACAAAAGCAGTGGATCACAGGAACATGTGGAGCTGAACCCAAGGAGTTCCTCGAGAATTGCTTTGCATGATTGTGTTTTGGAGTTTTGGCCAGTTGAGTTGAATGACACAGGATCTTACTTTTTCCAAATGAAGTGAGTAACCCTTTCTTTTCAAAATGTATTTCACAGCCCTCTTGTCCTTTGTTCAGCAACTCAAATATGCAGTAATCTGAAAGGTCAGATAATCACCACATCCTTTTCTTTCCTACTCTTCCTATGACATGAAATACATTCTTTGTTATGGAACAGAATAAGTTTATCTCTCTCTGCTTATTTTCTTAGTGACCTTAATGAAAGGAGATTACTTTGATAGGATTTCCTTTTAGGGGATCCTTACCAATGACAAGTGACGATTGCATGAAAGTCAGTTTTAAAATTCAGCTGCTCCTGTTGTCTACATGCCCCCAGTCAAATGAAATCAGCAGCTCGGACTTCACGATAATATTAATGTGTTGCGAATGGGGCAGTGTCAGCTTCCTGGGTGGCATCCCTGGTGGGGAGCAGGGATGGGGTTGATGCAGAAACACCCTAGTCCAGTCTGCAGGGGCTCACTGGGAGCCAGGTGGCAGTGCTAGTGGAGGAAGTGTGTGTCTGGCAGCCAATCGCAACCCACAGCTGGCGGCAGTGAGAGAGGGCAACACGGAAGGGCTTTGCATTTTACTCATGAGGTGGCCCTAGATTGTGCCAGAATACTCGAAATTGGGTTGCATAACTTCCATGAAATGAGCACAGCCAACTGAAAGCATCACCCACACTTACCGAACATGTTTCTTTTTAGATGTACCTACCTACATATGTAGGTAGTTTTATAGAGACTTGAGACTGACCTGTAAGAAATAGCTCAGGGCCAGCTGAAGGTGATGGTGTGTAGATTTCATATGTAGCAGATTTCTTTTAGAAGCACTTCTAGAGTGAGTCCTGATCATTATCAACCATGCTGTTGAGAGCAGAGTGAGCTACCACTGTGAAACCTTGGTAGCACTTCTGTAGTTTTGCACCAAATCAGGTCATTTTTGTTTGTTTTTATACATAGGAACTCCCAGGCATCAGAAAAAAATTAAATAACTCTTTTGATAAAAATCAGTACATCTTTAGATGACCTTTTAAGAGTGATAATTACAGAAATGGGTCACAACTGGGATTTTTCATAACAAGCTAAGGAAGAATGAATACTCACAAATGGGGTAAAGGAAAAAGAACAACAAACACCGCCCCCCCCACCACAAACTTCCAACTCCTGATTGAATGAAGGCACAATTTAAAGGAATAAAGTATTCTGGACAGGCCTGAGAGAGCACGTTGAGAGGAACAGCCAGGCATCTATGATCATCACTTGGAGATAACAGAAGCAAATGGCATTGGCCATCTTTCTGATACGGGTAGTAGAGAATACAGCCTGGCTTAGGAAGCAACAATGGAAGCAAGAGATTGAGGCAGGATGTCAGAGAGAGGTGTGGAGAGACAGGGTAGCAGATAGGAGATGCTAAGAAAAATGAGGTGTCCCAGAGTGGATATTGGAGACTGATCACTATGAGAGTAAAGTGTTGAGGAGAGAAGCAGCTTTGACAATGGCCTTGAAAATAAATGGGATTCTACATGGAAGCAGGTTGTTTTAGACACCCAGGAGCATAGAAGATACAGACATATTCAAATATAGCATAATTAGTAAGCAGTATTTACTGCAGATGTGTGTGTATACACATATGTGTTCTAACTTAGGTGTGTAACCCTTTGCAGTTTGATGTGGGATCTATCAGTGAACAGACTTTACACCTGAAAATTTCCCGTTAGAACAGTAATTCTTTAATTTTTAGGAGTACATTGCTAATAATCAAATGCCACTGAGGACTGATAATTTAATCCTGCAGTGAAAATCACTTTATCCCACCAAATTTTAAGAACGAAATCAACTAAGAAGGAAGGGGATACAAAAGGGATAGTTTTCAATGATAGAGATGAAGAAATGAAGGTAGAGGGAAATGTACACACAGAAATCTAATAAACCAATCCTAGGCTGACAGGCAGCAAGTTCAGCTTGGTGAGCAGCCTCAGAAGTGGGGGCTGGTGTTTATCCCCTGGTGTCTGTGGACAAAAATGAGTGGTTTTCATAACCAGGATGGGCTGGGCCTGCAGCAGGAAAGTGTGGTCACAGCTTTGGGTCAGTTGGCCTCAGTGTTAACCCTAGCCTTGGAGCTCCTGGATGGCAGGTGCAGTGTGTTGTTGATTGTTTCAGTGTTCCCAGAGCAGTGTCCTGCACATGGAGTGTCATCAGTCCTCTAGCATTTGTTGAGTGTTAGGAATTGAGGATTACAGAGGTAGAGAACAATGTAGTCTGAAAAAATGGGGATATTCATGTACCCTATTCCTTTTAAGCAACAAGTCATAGAGATCCAGAAATCTCTATCTCTCCAATTCATTGAGGTCAAAGTTGGGGAGACATTACGAAAACACACTTGAGAAGAAGGTGCTGCCAATGGGATCCTGAATCCATTTCAAGAGCCAGGTAGCTCTATCATGTCCCATGGCCATGGACCCACTGCCTATAACTGTGACAACAGCCTGCCACATTCTCCAGTCACGGCCAATCTTTTATAAATTCATGCCCAAGGTGAAGGGGCCAGATTCATTGGATTGTGAAAGTGTAGAATTGTGCAGAGCACTTCTGGCCTCTGGGGCCAAATAGATGTGCATTTGTATCCTGGCCCCATCTTGTAGCAAGTGTGTGGCCTGAGTGAGTTGTTTAACCTGTCTGAGATTTAGCATTCTCATCTGAGCCTAAGGAAAATAGTCATCTCCCTTGCATGTACATAGTCTAATACCTGGAACTCAGTAAGTGTTAGTCTTTTCTTCCTTCTATCCTATTGTAGACCTAAAGGGGAACTGGAAGAGCCTAAGGTGGGCACAAATGTGTCAGGCATAGAGGATAACTTAAAAACACGCATCTGCTGTATTTAGCAAATAAATCTATACATCACAGGTGCAGTGGAAGCAAACATGAAATTTGAAACATTTTCTCTTTAAAATCTTCATTTAAAAAATACTGTATTGTTTTCCAATTCCAGATCACCTTTTTTTGTTGTTGTTGTTGTTGTTTTTTTGAGATGGAATTTCGCTCTTGTTACCCAGGCTGGAGTGCAATGGCGCGATCTCCACTCACTGCAACCTCCGCCTCCTGCCTCAGCTTCCCGAGTAGCTGGGATTACCGTACCCAGCTAATTTTTGTAGTTTTAGTAGAGACGGAGTTTCACCACATTGGCCAGGCTGGTCTCAAACTCCTGACCTCAGGTGATCCACCTGCCTTGGCCTCCCAAAGTGCTGGGATTACAGGTGTGAGCCACTGCACCTGGCCTAGTGATAGTCCTGATCACTAATTTCTGATCAGGAGTAACAACAACTATAAAATCTATTCACACTCACTTTTGGTCAGTAAGGCATTTAAAGAGCTAATTCAATTACACTGAGGGCAGCAACTCCAGACTTTGGTTTATTCAACAGTAAAAGAAGGGGATTGGAAGAAGTTGCCTTGAGAAACAAAACCTAATATATATATACACACATTTAGAAAACAACATCAGGAGTTTATAGACCTTTTGAAACCAAAGCCACCCTCCCATCCTGGGCCAAGACTCTCTGAACTTATCCATCAGTGAAGATCACTGACATTGTAAAGATTTGCTTTTCTGACATCCATAATATATTGTCTGCAGTAGGATATGTGCGTGTGTGCGTGTGCATGTGTGTGTCTCTGTGTGTAGACTGCTTAGGTTTTCATTTATTACCCCCTGCTCCCATGACAGTTTTTAAAGTTCTTGCTCTTCTGAATCAAGCGGAGGCAGAGCAGGGTTTGCACATCAATGAATCAATCTCTTTAATAAAAATAAAGGAAAAATATTGTAACTGGTTACTAAAGGGAAGATGGGTGATATTTGCAAAGTTTCTGTAGCATTATAAAATACCTTTACACTTTTATTCCATAGAAATTATACTCAGAAATGGAAATTAAATGTCATCAGAAGAAATAAACACAGCTGTTTCACTGAAAGACAAGTAACTAGTAAAATTGTGGAAGTTAAAAAATTTTTTCAGATAACCTGTGAAAACAGTTACTATCAAACACTGGTCAACAGCACATCATTGTATAAGGTAATGCTTTTATAATATTTTAACTTTAAGACTTGATGGAAAAGATAAAATTCCCAAATGAGGGGCTGAGAGCTACCATTCTGGTCTCATAACAAATAAGCTGCCTGATCCCACATGGCTCACTTGCCCTGTTTGAGCCAAGTATCCTCACTGGCTTGTTGTCAAGAGCTGATACATAGTATTAAAATATGTTCCACAGTAGTTTCCCTGGATTTGGTGTTCAATAAATGATCACAGTTTCTTCTCCCACACTCTTCCTTCATTTTCCTTCTCTTTCGATAAGTTAGTTTTTAGGAATGCTAGTTTAAGGATTTCCATTTTCTCCTGTCACATGTACTTAACATGTAAAACTCAATTGTATATGTTTTTCTGAATATATTAGTTCATTTTATAAAATTGGAAATGGTAATGCTTTTATAATATTTTAACTTTAAAACTGAAAAATGAAGAAAGCAAAAATCACTCATAAATCCATCACAGACTTTTTTTTTCTGTGAAGCATCTGCTTTTTAAAAGTGGTATATTTTATTTTTTTATGTTTTTTCCTCTAAGAATTACGTTGTGACTATCCCTTCACATCTTTAAATGATCTTCTAAACATGGGCTTTCAGTTTTTATGTGCCTGGTTTCATCTAACTAACCCCCTTGTTTCGTCTAACTAATCCCATTGTTATTGGACATTTGTGAATTGCCTATTTTTCACTATTATTTAAAGGCTAAAATGAATACCATTTCCACAAATCCTTGGGTGTTTATATGATTTGTCCTTCAACCAAATCCCTAAATGTAGAATTACTGGATCAGAGGCTGTGAGCATGTTTTTATGTCTTTTTCCTCACACTATCAAACTTGTCTCCAGGGAGCTCTGCCAATTTTACCCCACACTTGAAAAAAGAATCCCAATTTTTTGTCACCTCCACAACACAGGGAAATAATGGTCCCAGAATGTTTAAAATTTGATATGAAAAATTTCTAAAACTCCTAGTGGTTTTTTCACTTTTCTTAGTAATAAATTAAACTTTTGTATATATTTATTGCATCTTACTGCAATCAGGCAATTTTGTGGGTTGCCTGTTTATTTTTTTCTGTTTTCTTCAGTTGGTATACCTTTTACCTGTTGAATTTTAAAAGCTCTTATACACCATGGAATACTATACAGCCATAAAAAAGCATGAGTTCATGTCTTTTGTAGGGACATGGATGAAGCTGGAAACCATCATTCTCAGAAAACTAACACAGGAATAGAAAACCAAACACTGCATGTTCTCACTCATAAGTGGGAGGTGAACAATGAGAACACATGGACACAGGGAGGGGAACATCACACACCGGGGCCTGTTGTGTGGGGTGGGAGGGTAGGGGATGTATAGCATTAGGAGAAATACCTAATGTAGATGACAAATTGATGGGTTCAGCAAACCACCATGGCACGTGTATACCTATGTAACAAACCTGCACATTCTCCACATATACCCCAGAACTTAAAGTATAATAAAAAAAAAAGCTCTTTTAGACCACGCTATAGGAATTATATATACACATACATAGCGTGTGTGAGTGTAGTGTGTGTATGCATAAAAAACATACGCACTCCCATCCACACACATACGCAACACAAATTGTGTAGTTCAGGGGTCCCCAATCCCCATGCCACTCCCCCTCACTAACATTACCACCTCCTGTGAGATCCGCAGCTGCATTAGACTCTCACAGGAGTAAGAACCCTATTGTGAACTGTGCATGCGAGGAATCTATGTTGCATGCTCCTTATGAGAATCTAATGCCTGATGATCTGTCACTGTCTCCCATCACCCCCAGATAGGACCACCTATTTGCAGGAAAACAAGCTCAGGGCTCCACTGATTCTACATTATGGTGAGTTGTATAATTATCTCATTATATATTACAGTGTAATAACAATAGAAATAAAGTGCACAATAAATGTAATGCGCCTGAATCATCCCCAAACCAACCATTCCCCGCTCAACCCCTGCCCACCCTGGTCCATGGAAAAGTTGTCATTCATGAAATCAGTCTCTGTGTCAAAACGGTTGGGGACAGCTGATGTAGTTTATATGGAATAACAAATCTGAATAATATGACTCTGTCGTGGAAACTTTAAAGACCTATAAGAGAGTGGTCTGAACAGAACTTGGGAAATCTGAAGCGAGTGATGATAATATCCTTGAAATTTTTGTTTGTGCCTTATGCTTGAACACTGTTTACTTGTGATTTCCAAAGACAGCTCTTATCTGAAATGTTTTCTAAACACTCGAATCAGTCCTGAGTTGACTTTATTCTATTTCCCATCAATGTACAAATGTGTTACAGTATATGTAAATTAGTGAGGCTTGGTGTGCTGAGTTTTAAGAAATTCCGTTCGGGTGCAGTGGCTCACACCTGTAATCCCAGCACTTTGTGAGGCTGAGGTGGGCGGATTATTAGGTCAGGTGATCGAGACCATGCTGGCTAATATGATGAAACCCCGTCTCTACTAAAAATACAAAAAATTAGCTGGGTGTGGTGGCACATGCCTGTAGTCCCAACTGCTCGGGAGGCTGAGGAAGGAGAATCACTTGAACCCGGGAGGCAGAGGTTGCAGCGAGCCGAGACTGGGCCACTGCACTCCAGCCTAGGGGAGAGAGCGATACTCCGTCTCAAAAAAAAAAAAATGAAATTCCAAAGTGCAGCTATTTAAATTATGAGCATTGGTGCACCAAGGATATTTAGCTAAACAATTGACCACAGGGCTAAGTATTCTAAGCCTGTTGACTGATCATGACTTCACCCGAGAGCAAGGAGGCTAATTCAGTAGATAATTGATTGGAAAGGAAAATGAAGAGTCTCTGATCTTTTCTATAGCTTGAAAAAATTAGTTTGGCTTTATAAAATTTTGACTTATACATAAATAATTTACTGACGTGAGGTACACATGTGGGTGCTTCACGGGCACATTCTATGCACAATGGGTCTAGCCCCAGTGGCTGCCAGCTCTGAGGGAGAAGTCTGTGGGCAGTAGGTTCTCCTTGCTTGGTGTTTGCAGAAACAGTGTCCAATGGTCAAGGATGGCCATTCAGCCCCCAGACATCCCATGTGGTCCCTGCATGGCTCTGGGACCTACCTCTGGGTGTCAGATGTGCTGGATTGAAGAAAGTGGCTTTATTACAATTAGTATTAATTCCTGTGACATGTATGGAAATGTGTGTGAGAGAGAGAGAGATGTTTGAGTGTACCTATGGATTTGAATATTGCTGATGCATTTCTAATCAGCTCGCTGGCTTCTGATGGAGGGTGTCAAAGGTGTGGGTGGTCTGCTAGCTACTCATTCTCTGAGTAATTCTCCACCCATCCCACTATCCACCCCTTGGATGCATAGTCCAGAATACACAAAATTGGACTGAACATGTATGAAATAGAGTTGTGACTCAAGCAAGGGTTTTTGAAGTAGTGTTCTCTCTCTCTCTCTGTCTCTCGCTGTTTCTCTCTCTCTGCATGTGTGTAAAAGAGAGAGATGAAAGAATATTGATGAAAGCAGCTACAGTGCTCATATTGCCCCATGCTCTACTTCCCAGCATATATTAATAATGATAATCATGCCAACAGCAATGGGATCGCATTTAATTGTTTCAGTAAAAGTAGTACCAAGTAACTGGGACATATGTCCAGGAATTGCTACTTTCCATTCTTTTTTCCTTTTTCTCTAAAGATCTTTAACTCAAAAATTTGGATCACTGTAATATCAATTTGGCTTTTACTTAAAGTATTTTAACTTGTTTTATTAAAAACAGAACTGTAAAAAGCTACTACTGGAGAACAATAAAAACCCAACGATAAAGAAGAACGCCGAGTTTGAAGATCAGGGGTATTACTCCTGCGTGCATTTCCTTCATCATAATGGAAAACTATTTAATATCACCAAAACCTTCAATATAACAATAGTGGAAGGTAAGGGAAATCTTAGAATTGGGAAGAAACAGACGTATTTTAGTAAAATGGAATTTTTTCATTCTTCAAAACTGTGTAGGAATTGAGAGTCCACTTAGTTGGGGTTGTGACCACACCACTAGTTCAAATATGATGGTCAAAATCTTCATTCTGGTGCTCCTCTACTTGGCTAAATAAACCTTTCTTTTTGGCAGGAAATGAAAATCTGTATGAATAAACCTCACATGAGTCAGCTCTCTCTTATATATGAAATTTGAGTAAATTGTGGAATCTTTTGTTGTTGAATTTACATTTTCACTTTACAAGTATTTAGTGAAGATATCTATACTCAATAAACTGTACTTAGCACAAGGAGGCAGGGAAGCAAGGAAGTATGAGATGAAGTGAGCACTGTACTATTCTCAAGGGATTTGATTCTAATCAGGAGAGGCAATAAGCTACATAAAGGTGTATGAAACAGCATCATCTGTGAGGCTGCAAGAGTGCAGGGGGAGGTTGGAGGAAGGACAGATGCAGGAGGCTCCATTTGACCTGGGTCTTGGAGGGGGAGCCTCATGAAACAGTGACCTGCTGGGGGAAGGGATCTCCACTGGGAGAGTGTAAGGAACACTGATGTGCTGGTGGGAGGGGAGGGATGATGGACCCAGGCTGTGTGTGATGGAGGAACAGAATCCTGGGACATTAAAGGTATTTAATTAAACCTCACCCAGTGAAGATATTCATCATAAGGCACAGCCAATGATTGATCATCCAGTCCCTTCTTGGGAACTATCAAGGAAATGACCAAATCACACAGCAGTGTAGTCCAGATTTTAATATCTGATTGTTGAAGTCTTTTTTTTCCATTGAGTCCAAATATCCCTTCTCGTAGCTTCCAACCACTGATTTTGATTTGCCTTCAAGAATTTCACAGATTAAATCTGGCTCCTTCTTAAAATGACAGCTCCTTTCGTGATTTGAAGACAGGTTGCTTATCCAGTCTGGATTTTTTTCCCCATCATCCTGAGAAACTGGAAACTGTAACACTTGTGTGGGTGGCTTGTTCAACAAAATCTGTGGGCTCACATTTGCTACAGCCTTTGCTTTAGCAACATCTTTCTTCTTCACTACAACCATATAGCTATATACACCCACATGTTGCCACAGTAACAAATTATCCCAAGTTTAGTGTCTTCGGTAAAATCAAGGTTTTGCCAGAATTGCTTTACTTCTGGAGGCTGTAGGGGAAAATGCGTTTCTTTTATTTTTTTATTTATTTTATATTTTTGAGATGGAGTCTTGCTCTGTTGCCTAGGCTGCAGTGCAGTGGCGCAGCCTTGGGGCTCACTGCAAGCTCCGCCTCCTGGGTTCACACCATTCTCCTGCCTCAGCCTCCCGAGTAGCTGGGACTACAGGCACCCGCCACCACTCCCGGCTAATTTTTATATTTTTTTTAGTAGAGACGGGGTTTCACCGTGTTAGCCAGGATGGTCTCGATCTCCTGACCTCGTGATCCCCCTGCCTTGGTCTCCCAAAGTACTGGGATTACAGGCATAAGCCACTGCACCAGGCTGGAAAATGTGTTTCTTTGCCTTTGCTTTCTCCAGCTTCTAGAGACCACTTGCATTTCTTGGCTTGTGCCACTTCATTTCAGAGCCAAACACATTTGCTTCCCTCACCTCATCTCCTTTTTGACTCTGACCTTTCTGTCTCCCTCTGATGAGGACCTTGAGACAGCATTGTGCCCACCTAGATAATCCAGGGTGATCCCCCTATCTCAAGATCCTTAATTTAATCACACCTAGAGGTTCCTTTTGCCATGTAACATATCGTATTCACAGGAACTCAGGAGTAGGATGTGGGAAACTTCAGGGTCTATTATTCTGCCTGCCACAGCCCAGAACCTGGGAAACCCATAACTGAATTTTAAACTCAAAAACTTAAATTCTGTGTATAATCATCTACCCTAAACTCTCCAACTTTACTTTCCTACATCTATTTTTAATCTCATATAAATCTCTGTTACTTTGATACTTTCAGAACCTACACCCTCTTTCCCACCATCTTTGCTTTCTGCCCATCAGCAGCTCTTTCCTTCCTTCTTTGATGAAGCTGTAGGAATATCCATTATTAAAAGGGTGCTTGTTATGGGCCAGGGATAGTGCCAAGTACTGGAGTTGAATCATGTCATATAATCCTCACAACAGCTCTGTGAGACTGTGGCCTTGGGTGAGTTAATTTCCTTAGTTCCTCTCTGCCTCAGATTCCTCATCATGAAATGGGACAGTAATGGTTCATCCCTCGTAGGGTTGGCTGACAATGACTGAGTGAGTGTGTGTACAGCTCTAGGATGGCTCTAGGGACAGTAAGAGTTCTGCTGTAATGACCATCTCCCACTGCTAGGTTCCCAAACCTCACCTGCAGCACAAGCTATTCTTCTCCCATAATTGTCCATCTTATTTTTCTTGTCTTCTTGGAGAATGTCAACTGAGTCTCTCAGGACTCCACTCAAATGTCGCTCCTCCTTCATGCCCCCATGGCCTCTTGTTTGTATTTCTGATTGCTGTCAGAATTGCAATACATGTGTGTCTCTGTCAATAACTTGAAAGGTTTCTGGAAAGGTTTGCACTGACTTCTGTTCCTCATCTTTGCATCTTGGATACCTACAATTGGCACTTGGCACATAAAGGTGCTCATTACATGCCTGTTGTGTGCATCACTGAGACAGAAACAACTCCTTTGATGCCACATACAACAAGAAGTCTAGACACTTCACCATCCTGGCTATTTTTCTTTGGATTTGGCAAAGTTTGCCACGAGTCTACAGAAATTAGAGCTTGGAGTTGGGGAAGACAGCCAGGAGGTGTTCTGACCTGTGTTGAGGACAGAGAGGTTCTGAGCTCGTGCCTTCTCCATGTTGTGTCTTTATTACAGTCCCCTTGCCTTCACAGATGGAGATCTCTCAGCTGCTACATAGTGACTGCTGTAGTGGTGGAAAGGTGTGATACCTCTCCTCCCCATCCTAAGGGTCATGGCAATGTTCCCATAACAAAAGACAGATTAACAAGGGGCAAGCAAGTTTTATGTGACATGGGAGCCTTCAGAAATGAAGACCCTGGGGCCGGGTGTGGTGGCTCATGCTGGTAATCCTAGCACTTTGGGAGGCCGAGGCGGATGGATCACCTGAGGCCAGGAGTTCGGGACAGGCCTGGCCAACATGGCAAAACCCCATCTCTACTAAAAACAGAAAAATTAGCTGGGCTTGGTGGTGGGCACCTGTAATCCCAGCTACTTGGGAGACTGAGGCAGGGAGAATTGCTTGAACCCAGGAGATGGAGGTTGCAGTGAGCCGAGGTTGTGCCATTGCACTCCAGCCCAGGTGACAGAGCAAGACTCGGTCTCAAAAAAAAAAAAAAAAAAAAAAGGAAAGAAATGAATACCCTAAGACTCAGGGAAACCCGTTTTTTTCTTTTTAAATGCTTAGGTTCTAGAAGCATGGACAGCCATGTAGAAATGTGACTGGACAAAAGGGTATGACCTAATGCTAATGGACTGAGTGGGGAAACCCAGCAAGACCTGTCCAGATTCTTCTTGGCCTCTCTGTTATATTTCCTTTTCCTGGGTAGAGGGCAGAGGGTCTTAAGACTTACTGTCAGACCAAAGAAGGCCAAAGAATTTATAGCCAACTCCTAGACAGAAAGGCAGGAGAAGGTTAGAGTCATGCTTCTAGGTTCTATGGCTTACTTTGGGGAAAAGGATTCTAGTTTTTATGATCTGCCTTTGGGAAGAGGGAGTCTGGTTTCTGTGACTTGCTTTGGGGAGAATGGAGGCATGAAGCAGGAGGGTCAGAGAGATCTTGCTTTTTGAGGCTGCTTTGAGGCCTTCCAATGTCGTTGAGTTTAAAGTACTCAGCCTGCCAAAACACCATACTTTGGGACTGTTTTTGGAGCCCAGGAGTTCCATTGCCTTCAGCTTGTGCTCGTGAATCACAGTCACCTGAATTCCTACTGGGCATCTGCCACTTTCCTGGTCTTATGCTCTGGCTGATCGGGTGGCGTCTCCTCCTACTGCTGACAACCTCTATGCCATTTTGACTCTGATAGCCTCCTAGGTAGGCTGGCCATGTCAAGGGCATGCACTAAGATGTTGTCTTCCTTCCATGACCTACATGGGACTGCACCCTTCACTTTACACCAGTTGTGCAAACTCAGGGCTGATCTGGATTTCCAATGATATAATTTGAGTGTTAGTAGACAGCATCCTTTGCTGAAGATGTACTTCACACTGCCCCTTCTCAAGTCTCCCATGTAAGTTTCTGGGGGAAAAAATGGATCCAGAGAAAGGTAGTCAGTAGCAGTTTTCCCCCTCACACCGAAATTGCCTCCTGCCCTTTGTCTTTGAATTCAAGCCGGTGTTGCTTCTTACTGTCAGACCTGAGAGTTAGTTCTTTCCCTGGATACATCTCAGCTCCTCCTGCCTGTTTGCCAACATTCCAGGCTTGCCCAGAGACTCCAAATCCCAGGATAACCCAGACCTGACTCTGAACTCCGGAGTCCACTGTGCTGGTTTCATTCTCCTGTTCTTGCTCACATATCTGCCCACTGCATTCTCAACTGCTCACTCTGGCACTGCACTTTCTGAGAGGGCTCAGGGAGGTGTGGGAGCTGCAGGAGCACTCCTGAGTCTCACTGTACTCCACTCAACCAGGCATTCTGCTTGCTGAGCACCTGCAAGTCCCAGAAGGGATGTTCTGGACATTGCTTGGGAATGCCTCCAAAGCAGTGGGGCTACTAGCAGGGAACAGTCCTGGTCATGAGGAAAGTTACCAATGAGGATATCAGGGCTAACAATAACTTGACTATGCACCAGTTCAAATCTATGACCGCAGCTGCTCTTAGGGTTTGCAGTTGCCAGCTGCCTTAAGCAAGAGCCTGTTGGGTGATGACTTACTTCCCAAGCATCACCAGATGGGGACTGAGGGGGCAGAATTTATGTGCAGTACTTCCAGTCGGGGTCAGAAGCCACTCAGGAGCAGAAGTAGAACTTGGCCTACAGGCATGAACTTAACAGCAGGGCCAGGGCCAAGGTGAGGTTCCTGGGGCACAATATTGAAGGGACACTGCTCTCAGCATCCTGCAAGGGAACGGTGGGCACATAGAGTGAGGGATTTGCTTTTCTCAACCTGTCTTGGCCCTGCAACCTGTAAATCCATCACTGGCCAGCTGAGGAGGACAGATGGAGAGAATCGAGACAGGGCAGAAAGGCTCTTCCCAGTGATTTTGCATGGTTTGACTCTTGCACGTTTGATCATCTGAGAGTCAGGCTGCAGTGGATGGGCATCTTCCTCTGCCTTTTAGTTGAATTGAGCAGAAGCTGCAGATCTGAGTGAGAGAAAACCAGATACAAGGTGCTTTCAACATCTGTGACCTTTAGTTAATGCAAATAGGACTCAAGTGAACGTAAACCAGTAACTATTGGAATCTTTGTTACATGAAATGAGCATATTATCATAGATGCTTGTCATAAAGAAGCTCAAGGCAACACTAATACATTTGTCTTTTCTTTTGTCACTTCTAGATCGCAGTAATATAGTTCCGGTTCTTCTTGGACCAAAGCTTAACCATGTTGCAGTGGAATTAGGTATATTTCAATATACATATATTCTGCATTTATAAGTAGGGGACATAATAGAGCCTTCCAAGCGTAAATATGATTCATTATTGAATGACACTGGATACACATTTCATATTTACTGAATAACATTACAAAACTAAGAAAAGAGTGCCATTTTTTGAATGTTGCCACTTTTAACCTGACTTAAAAGTGGCAACATTTTAAAGTTCAAGAGACAGTGGAACTGCCTGTGGTCTGTAGACTAAGGTTTTTGTTGTGCTGTGTGTGGCTTGTCTTTAACTCTCTCTATGGTCATTTCTAAATATGAAAATTTAGGCCGGGCATGGTGGCTCACGCCTGTAATCCCAGCACTTTGGGAGGCCGAGGCAGGTGAATCACTTGAGGTCAGGAGTTTGAGACCAACCTGACCAGCACGGTGAAACCCCATCTCTACTAAAAATACAAAAATTAGCCAGGCATGGTGGCATGCACCTGTAGTCCCAGCTACTCAGGAGACTGAGGCAGGAGAATCTCTTGAACCCAGGAGGCAAGGTTGTAATGAGCTGAAATCACACCACTGCACTCCAGCCTGGGCAACGGAGCAAGACTCTATCTCAAAAATAATAATAATAATAACAATAATAAATTTAAAAATTCCGTGAGAGCACTCTGGAGAGATGAGTCAAACTAATTTTGTGGTGTGAATGTTTGATTAATTGATTCACTTTGAATCAATTGACTGAATTGATTGTATATTTGGAGTTTGTCTAGATAAGTCTTATGAATCAACATGTCCAATTGAGTAATTTCTTTCAAAAGAGAAAGGAAAGAAAGAAAGGAAGAAATTCACATATGCTAAATATGCTAAGCCAGGTATCATGCTAGGTCATTGAAATATATTGTTGAATTAAATCCTCCAAGCAACACTGAGGCATGTATTCTCATTTTATGAATTAAATAATTGAAGTGCAAAAAGGCTAAGTAACTTGTCTAAAGTTAAATCACTAAAAAGTGGCAAGTCTCTGTTTGGGGACTTTGCTTCCAAAGTCCCCACCTTATAACCACAGTTGGGGTCACAGTGGTTTATATGACCACATGGGCCCAGTGCAGCTGGGTCCTATGCCATTTGTACATGAGGTTTACCTGCTTTATATTTTTATTTATTTCTGTCTTTGTCTTTCTTATTTTTTTCTTCTACTCAGTGGGGCTTAACTTGTATCTTTTGTTCTAGTTTGTTGACCTGAAGAGTTAGATAATTAATTTTAATTATCCTCTGGTAGTATATACCTTCAAACTCCAAGTTTCCCTGTAAACACTACTTTAGCTGTTTCTCATATTTTCATTCTATTCAGTTTAAACCATTACTTAAAATTTCCCTTATGATTTCTTTTTCCAACAAAAAAAATTGGTATTTCTTAATTTCCAAATATTTGGTGAACTTTCTAGTTCTTGTCTCTTATTCATGTCCAGTTTAGATTCATTATAGTCCAAGATTATACACAGTGTCATTTCAACCTTTTGGAATTTGTAGTGACTTACTTAAGGCCCACAGTATGGTATATCTTGCTGAATGTTCCAAGTGCATTTGAAACAAAGGTATATTCTATAGGTTTTTGTTTTATTATTCTTTAAATGTCTATTTGGTTAAGTTCATTAATGGTGTTGTTCAAAAAATTTATATCCTGACTAATCTTTTATCTGCTTGTTCCATGTGTTGCTGAAAGAGATGTGAATATCTCCAGCTATTATGGTCAATGTGTCTCTATCTCCTTTAGTTCTGTCAATTTTTGTCTTACATAGTTTGGAGCTATCTTATATGCATACACGGATTTATGCTCGTTGAATTAACACTTTTATCATTATGAAATATCTCTCTTTATCTATCATAACACTTCCTCTCTCAATGTGTAGCTCTGTCATATGAAATAATCACACAAGTTTTCTTTTGCTTGGAATTGGCATATTTGTCTTTTTTTAAACATCCCTTTACTACTAACATTTTTTTTTGTTCTATACATAAGTGTCTCTCATAAACTGCATGTATTTGGGTCTTTTTTGAAATATGGTCAGTATGGTGTTTAGTCCATCTGTATATTTAAAATTACTGTTACAGTTGCTATATCATATATGCATGATATACAAATATTCAATTTATTCTTTTTAAAATAAATTACACTTTGTTGAAAATGACCATATTTCCATCCACTTGTTTATCTTTTCCTCTATTTTCTTTCAAACAGTTACAGTTTTTAATCTGCTAAATTCAGCATCTGTAGGTCTGCTTCTATTAGCTGTCTTTTCTATTGATTATGGTGCACATTTTCTGTGTCTTTGTATGTCTCTTAACTTTTTATTGTTGTTGATCTTTATGTATCAAACAATTAAAGTGAATACAGTTTGTGTTATTTTTTCTTACAAGTAGGTAGCCTGAGAGTTGAGTATCTCAGTTGACTCAGAATTGAGTTGGGGTGGCTGGGATGTAGGTATGTTCACTCCAATCTGTCTTCATCTCTGATAGCTGGTGAGGGAGGGGGTGCTGCAGTCATGTGTTTGATGCAGGCCTCTTCTCTAATGAGACTTGCTCTCCTGATTACCATGAGACTGCAAGTGATATCATACAGCCTTTACATCCTTTTACGCTGTCCGAGCGCTTAGCAGTAATTCTGCAAGCCTGTGCAGCTGCCGAGAGCTTCACTGGATTTTCTTGTTTCTATGAGACTCTTTCTGTTAATTACAAACCAAAGCAAATTCTTCCATGGAATGAAATGGCCACCTATCTTAGCTCACCCTAGAAAGGATCCTTCTTAAGTACGCTTGTAGTTCAAAAATTTCTCTTTATTTTCTCTGTACTTTGATGTCTTTAATGTTTGCTTAATTTAATTTTTTTGTGATTTATCCATTTGGTTTATCTAGAAGTCTCAGTGAGAGTATTGTCCTGATGCTACGAAAAGAAAGTACACTGATCACTCTAAGTTTTAATAGTTGATTAAAAAATAAATGTTTAAAAAGAAGCCAAATCATGTTTTGATGATGACTTGTAATTGCTACCTATTTCTTCTGCTTTATATATTTTGTTTTATTTAAAGCAAGGCATATTTATTCTCTTTCTGGGATGGAGCACCACGTTTTGCTTTAGGTTAACATACATTGATTATATTGTTTTGAAACTTTTAAGAAACCTGAGTTTCAAAAATCAGAACTTTAGTTGCCAACTTTTACCAGGAAAAAACGTAAGGCTCAACTGCTCTGCTTTGCTGAATGAAGAGGATGTAATTTATTGGATGTTCGGGGAAGAAAATGGATCGGATCCTAATATACATGAAGAGAAAGAAATGAGAATTATGTATGTATGTGTAATATATATGTCATGATATATACCATATAACAATCATATATATTATATATAACATCATATTAAAAACACTGGGTGGCTGATGTGTATTTTGGGCTAGTTTAAATTATAATTATAATGGACATATTTTATAATTATAGTGGCCATACCCTAGGTGGACGCATTATGCAGAAATGTATTGCCAAGATCTAAGCTGGAAAAGAAGGTCCATGAGAAGGCCATTGAGGGTATTTAGCATCACCTTATAAAGTAGCACTTGGTCAGTCAGGATCCGATGGGGATGGGGATTTTACTTAGCTTCTTAGAAAAGGGCAGTTGCCTAGGCCAAGCTTTTTTTTATTTTGAAAAATTTGTTAAGTTGTTTATTTTTCTAATGGGCCAAAAAGGCTCCAAATGGCATGCATATTGATAGTTAAATAAGCCTATATTCTTCCATTAAGGAATGGTCAAACTTATAAAAAGAATCAGTCTAAACATATAGTCACCTAAGCTTTTCTGAATGACTTTGGGTCATACTGTAAGTATTCATTATTATACTGATACACTACTCAGGGTCTAGTGAGTGCTGAGCCTAAGTTGTCTACCACCTTTGCTGCACTTGTTGAGTTTTTTCTTCTGCTTTTTACACATTTTTTGGTACCTTCTTTGTTACCATGCTTGCAGCTCTACATTCTTGCTGACACTTGTCTACAAGCTCTTTACACCACAAAGTCTGGCTTCTTGCCCGGGAGCAGGCATGTGGTTCATGCCCACTACATGTTGAATTCATTTGAAATTTGTGGATCTCCTGCCATCATATCTCATCCTCAGCCACTGGCCTCCATTTGAGTTTTGTATTTCTCCCTTTGGATAATCTCTTTCTAATTTTTAGAGGGGTAGAAAACCACAGTGAATTTCTTAGAAATGCAGCTTAAGCTACAAAAGCAGAGAGGTCTTTCTTTATAGTTGGGTGCACACACCTTTGATATCATCTGTTTTGTCCTCTCAATGGCCTCCTGTGTTTTACTTCTGGATTTCATTGGTTTTAGATGGTTGTTATTTCTGGATGGGTGACTTAGGAAAAGAATTACATTCCAAAATGTACTTGAGGCAGTTGGAGGCTACAGTGGGGCTCTGTGTCCCGGGTCCTAGATATCCCTGTTGCTAGGAATGTGGGCACATGGGGCCCATGTCTGGCTGTGTTGACTGGTGTAGCTATCAGAGCCTGTCATTGGTGGGGGAAGTGGATGTCATAAGTGTTTACCTGGCATCAACCACAGGACAACTTGAATCCTTTAAGGAAGAGAAAAAGAACGTGCTGCCAGTGGCTTTCTCAAGTCATTTTCTGACACTCATGGAACAACTTAACTGGCACTTCTCATGTGCCTCGGGGTGCTTGAGAACAGTGTTATGTTTTTTAATGCTGAACACATTAAACCAGTTTGTTGGATTCCATGGACAAATGTAATACGAATCTGCATCTATGCTAAACAACTTACAGCCTTGTCATAATTAGTGGGAACCACTCTGTGGAAAGAACCCCAAGTTGTTAGGAAGAGAGAAGTAGAGAAAAATAATTGAGAGAGAATATTTTCTTATATTTTCAACTTAGCATCATGATCTTCCAGCCATTTAAACTTCAGGTAATTGACAGCACCATTCCCAAATGGCCTCAGGAGGGCTGTTTCTGTCAGTTCTGATGCTCCACGGAGGAGGGGACGTTTATTGTAGTCCATGCTTTAAGAGTACTGGCCAGAAAGGGAAGAAATAATGCAGGCAACATCACAGCTGCCTTCAAGCATTTTAAACATGTGAATTCCCCTCTCAAGGGTAACGAACAGAGCCTACTGCTAAATTATTTTGCCCTCTTACAGGACTCCAGAAGGCAAATGGCATGCTTCAAAAGTATTGAGAATTGAAAATATTGGTGAAAGCAATCTAAATGTTTTATATAATTGCACTGTGGCCAGCACGGGAGGCACAGACACCAAAAGCTTCATCTTGGTGAGAAAAGGTGAGAAAGATTTATTTTTGGAAGTTTTGAAACTTAGCTCATTGCTACTGAGAGACATTTCAAAGATGGCCACTTTCTCATTTTCCACACCAGAACCCAGCTCCTGAGAGGGGAAATCAGTCACCTCATGTCACAGGCATTCAGTGGGGCCCCTCTGTCTCATGATGCCAAGCAGAGAATGAAAACAGAACTCATTCACCTGCTCTCACAGTCATATTCCATCCCATGTGGAAATCGGGGGGCCTGAGGCTTGGAGATACAGATGCTGAGAGTGAGGCTCATGGGGAGGCCATCAGGACAACCCCTGCACCCAGCACTGCACCCAGAGCAGCCAGAGGGGAGTTTGCAGATCTGCGTGGGGTGAGGCCAGTGCAAACTTGGTGTGACTGCTGCTCCAGCCTGCCTCAGCAGGGTACCAGGCTCAGGGTCCTTGTGTGTGCTCATTCATTCATTGCCTCCTGAACTTGGCAAGCAGGCCATTGATAGCCCTGATCTGTGGGCTCTTAAAGTTTTTCAGTGCTCACCTGATGGAGGGCCCCAGGGTCGCCATCCCTTTCCTCCACCAAAGTAGCACAGCCCAGGGCCTTCAGCCCAGTAGCTGCTCAGAAATGGCTGTGACTGGAGCCAGAAAGCTGTGATTTCCAGTTGTCACTACTCATTCACTGTTCATTCCCAGGCTCCACCATCAACTCCCTGGATATGTAGAGAAAGGTCAAGATCTGCAAGAGAGAGAGAAAGGGAGAGAGACAGAGACTAACACACCCAGAGACAGATGGAGACGGAGAGAGACAGACACAGAGAGAGGAGAAAGAGAGATACATGAGATGGAGGGACAGAGACAAACAGACAACTCTAGAGAGATGAAGACAGAAAGAGAAAGAGAAAGAGAGACAGAGACACAGAGAGACAGAGAAATGAGAGAGACAGGGAGAGACACAGAGACAGAGGAACAGAGAAAGAGGGAGATAGAGAGGCAGAGACATGAAGGGATGCAAATACAGAGAGATGAGAGTGAAACAGACAGAGAGACAGAGTAAGGGAGAGATACACACAGACACACACAAACATGCAGAGACAGCCACACACACAGACTGGGCCTTGGCTTTGTGAGAAACGGAAGGAGTGGGACAGGAAGAGCACAAAGGCTGGAAACCCCCTCCAGCTGGGCTATCCTGGTGCCCAGGGGCAGCTCCCCCAGCACACATGTTTTAGAGCCGCCTCTCTACCATATGCACTCATAACAACAGCTCACATCCCATACATGTTAATTACATGACAGGATCTGGGTGAAGTTCCTGCCATGATCTCATCCAGTCTTAACGACAAGCTTTATAGAGGTGAAGAAACTTGCCCAGGGTCACACGGCAGGTGAAGGTATTGAAACTCAGACCCGATTAAATCTGGAATCTGTGTTCTTACCTTCTGCAGGGCTTGTCGCCTGTGGTCTTCCACCCCTGTGTGATTGCCTGTGCTGTGGTCCACTCACTTGTGAGGGAGTGGGGCTCAAATCTTTGTTGGACCATCACCTGGCCAGGCTTTCCTGGGGCCTGCTCACCACCGGATCACCTCTCCTTTCTTAGAACAGGGCAGGACTGTCCTATTCCTGCCCTAGACGCTTCTGGCCAGTCAATTCTCCTGCTGCTGCTCTCACAAATGTAGGTTTAGAAATTGGGGCTCACAACCCACCATCACCCCGTGCCAATGTGTGCGTGCGTGTTTTTGCAAATGTGTGACACAGTTATGACTATGCAGTCCTTTCCAAGGTACAGGAGCCCCAGACCCTGAGTCTGCTCAGAGTTCACTATTAAACAACATTAGCTGCTTGCCTGAATCCTAAAGATAGTAGAAAGATATGGAAAGATAATTTTTAAAAATTGCACCAAGATGGCAAAAGTTTTAAGCACGTTTATGCTCATTGACCTAGAGATGCCCCCACCATTACAATCTATTTTAAGAAAGAATTAGAAATATGGATAAATGTATATGCCTTTTTGTATATGTATATACATATATGCATGTATATATACACATATTTGCAAATGTATATGCATATACATACAAGGTTACACATTTATATAAATATTATACATGTATACACTTATACATATAAAATGTACTGCAACTTTATGTCTACTTACTAAAAATTGCAATCAATCTAAATATTAGGATATTATGAATTATAATTTTAATGACCTACTGAAATGCTCATAATATAATATTCAGAAATAATGAGTGATTACCATATAATCTCAGTTAACTAAAAAGTTTAAGAGACAAAAAGAAAACCCAGAAGGAAATATTCTATCATGTTAACACAGCCTTCACCACATTGTGATTTGTTGTTAAAAATTACTTTATTCTTTTTATTCCTCTGTATTATCTCAGATTGTCCATAATAAACATAAACGGAATCAATCTAGAAAATGTATTTTTTTCCAAATGATACTTTTATACAAAGAATTTGCTAAAATTCCAAGAGCTGTGTGCTGTATTAACTACTTTTTGTGTAATATTTCATTTAATCTTCCCCAAAGGAGCAGCCTTGTAAGTGAAGCAGTTAGTATCTTCATTTTACAGATGAAGGTACCAAGGTTTAAGGGCATTCACGATTTTTCCTACAATACAAAATAATTGATGGAGCCCAGCTGCAAACCCAGACAAATGTCAATCCAGTGCTCTCTCTCTTCTCTCAAAACTATGCACCTCAACCCACTTGCTAATATTTCTGTGAGTCCCTATGTGTTTCAGCCTAGTATCTCTTCACCCCAGAAATCTGATTTCCACGGGTACGGATAGAATACATTACTGTGTAATGTTTTCACTTCAGTTCTCTAAATATCCGTGTACACATTTTTATTCTTTAAAAATCTGAGTAGAAATATCACTACTCCAGACTAAAGGCAGGAATGTGGAGTCACTCAGTGGAATGTGTCAGCACGTGGGTTGGCAACTACTGCATTAGTGTTAGCAGTAAAAATGGACAAGCACGTGATGATGGACAACACTGGTAAGATTTCTTGATTATTTTCTTTTCCTTTTTCCCTTTCTTTTCTAGCAGACATGGCTGATATCCCAGGCCACGTCTTCACAAGAGGAATGATCATAGCTGTTTTGATCTTGGTGGCAGTAGTGTGCCTAGTGACTGTGTGTGTCATTTATAGAGTTGACTTGGTTCTATTTTATAGACATTTAACGAGAAGAGATGAAACATTAACAGGTAACACATATAATGCTGGAATTTCTTACCTTATGTTCTCATTAAGAAATCAGATAAATAGGCATTAATCTTCATCTTATTGTGATGATATTGTAGAATTAATCTGTGGGAGAGGTTTTCTATGGGAAATATTGTTCTGCCTGTACCATCCATTATGAATGTTGTCTATGTCTTCTTTTCTTGTGCTTACTTATGTGTTGCCCAAAATTGTTCTGATTGTCTCGTGTATGTATGTCATAGCTTCCTAAATGCCCTGGGAGATGCTCGGGCCCAGGAACTGTATATCTGGGTGTCTTTGTGCATGCATCACTTAGGTATCTTTATAGTACATACACTCAATAAAGTTGCTTTAAGTTAGATTGAATTGTCCTATCGCTCATTATTTCAACCTGGCAAAGGAGGCTTACATAATGGACGTGTAAGAACCCCCAGCTGGCCGGGCGCGGTGGCTCACGCCTGTAATCCCAGCACTTTGAGAGTCCGAGACGGGCAGATCACGAGGTCAGGAGATCGAGACCATCCTGGCTAACAGAGTGAAACCCTGTCTCTACTAAAAATACAAAAAATTAGCCGGGCGTGGTGGTAGGCGCCTGTAGTCCCAGCTACTCGGGAGGCTGAGGCAGGAGAATGGCGTGTGAACTCGGGAGGCGGAGCTTGCAGTGAGTCGGGATCGCGCCGCTGCGCTCCAGCCTGGGCGACAAAGCAAGACTCCGTCTCAAAAAAAAAAAAAAAAGAGAGAGAAAAAGAACCCCGAGCTGGAAGCCAAATGATCTGGAATCATGTCTCCTAGACCTGCCAGTTTTTATCTGCTACTATGTCGACCCGCTGGCTCTATGCCTCAGTTTCCTTATACTTAAAGGTGACCAGAAGTCCTCAAGTTTCCAGATAATTACTAATTTAAAGGAAGTCAGTCTAATTCATTGCACTTGATTTTGTTTTGCATGTATGTGTTTGCAGGAAAAAAACCTTCACAGAGTTCAAAACCCAAAATGTCTATGAAATTATACTTCAGTAGCCCCCCTTCCAGCCTGGTCCTGGATCTATGATTCCCACCCCTCATTGATAGCACATCTGACCAAATATCAATACAGATTCTTATTACACACCTCCTTTTAAAAAGAACAAATCCTGGCTTAATATGCGCACTCTTTTCAACTTTGCTCTCTTATACCTTAGACACACTTGCATGTTACTTTATAAAGCAGTCCATCATTTTTTAGGGCCGCACAGTATTTTATTTGTGCAGAGCTACCACTGTTTATTTAGTCTCCTTTTGATGGACATTTGGCTTGTTTCCAATCTTTTGTTATTATAAAAATGCTGCAATGGACAGCTTTATACATTCATCGTTTCATATGTATGCAGTAGGTCTGAAAGAAAAATTCTCCAAAATGGAGTTTCTAGAATACAAGAAGGAGACACAGCCATTATTTTGCTAGATACTGTCAATTCACCCTCCCTACTGCCTTCAAAAGATGACAGCAAATTTTTTCCCATAACCTTACCCACAACCATTTGGAGTTGTGCCAATCTGATAGGTGAAAAGTTGTATTTAAGTGACATTTTAATTTGCATTTCCCTTACTATGCAAGAGAACCAGCAACTTTTCATTTGCATAAGGCTCAGCTGTATTTCCTTTCTCAACACACCCATTCATATCTTTTGCCTATTGTTCCATGGGGCAATGGCTTTATTTTGCGTATTTATTTCTAGGAGCTATTTATATTTTAGGGAGGTTAGCTTATTATCTATAATATGAAATGCAAATATTCCCAGGCTGTAATTTGTCTTTTGACTTTGCTTGTAGTGGTGTGCTATATAAAAGATTTTTTGAAAAACATACTCAAATGTATCTTTTATGGTTTCTGGATTTGGGATCATAAGCAAAACAGCCTTCTTAACCTCAAGTTATACAAAAATTATATTAGTTCCTCTGAGATTTTTATAGGTTTAGTTTTCACATTTAGAACTTTAAATTGAACAACATAAAATTAGCAAGGTTAGTGAATTTAGCTTTGAGCCTGCATGTGCATGTGCGAGTTTGCTATGGGGAGAGATGATGCTGTAACAAACGGGGAAATCTGTATTTGATATTTTCTGAATGGTCTCTGTTTGCATAGGCCAGTGTTTGTCTTCAAATAAACATTGACTAGCTCCTCTCTTTCTGACTTTCTGGAGCTAAGATTTCTTTTTTCCTTCTCCAGTTGTGTTTGACATGATTTGCGGTAATTTTTTCAATTCACACTTCTTAACTGTCAATATGGCAGTGCAGAGACATTTAGAGACATGCTCTAAATCACTTCCATTAAATTATGGTCCATGAACAAATGCAGTCCACGAAAAGGACAGAAATGGAGATATAAGTATGAAGATAAAAACTTTTATCACAATTTAATACTGCTGCAATATCTAAGAAAGTGTTCAGTATTGGTTTCTGAAGGATTGGAAATGAAACTAATCAATAAACAACAACAAAAAAAGGCAAATTTAAATTAAAACATGGTCATTCACCAAGCATAGTTTGAGGAACATTTGTTTAACTTACTCCTTGAAGTCCCAAATATCCACTTGAATTATAATTTCCTTTATAATTTTCCTTTATGTTTGAATATAGAGAATAAAAACATTACCATTAGTTTTCAAATTCCTTTTTTTGAATACTTTACTCTGTCAATTCTCAAGTCCCCTAAACCTTTTAAAACCTGAATTTAAAATATATTGTAATAAAATTAGCATATTTATATTAAAAGAATTGCTTAAAATAAGGAATTTGAAAGCAATTAATAGTTGAAAAGCTAATTTTTCATAGGTAAGAGCAAAGCTATATTGTATGTAATATAAACCCATATTTGATGAAATCGTCTTCCCAGTTTGTTGCAATCCATTACATCATAAGAAAATTATGCCCTTTAAAAAAGTGTGCTCATTTAATTGTCTTACATGTTGATGCCTGTTTTGTCACTGACACAGTGACAACCCTAGTGGAAGCACTAGCTCTTACTTAACTAGTAGATAGTTATATTTGATAGCAGTTTAAGAAAAGTTTGAGGGGGAACCTACTTACTGATTGATAACTGGTTTTATTTTTACCAACATTTCATACCTTTGATATTTATGTAAGCCTGAAATTTTTACCAACATTTTTCATCTTTCAATGCATGCAATTCTGCAAAGCAATTGCTTTAAATCAACAATAGGTTCTAACCCAAATTGCTGAACAGAATGCTGTAAGTAGAACTGAAGAAGATTTTGCCAGAAGCAGAAAGTGTTGTTTGGTGACCATGAGTGCTATGGAGGATGCCAGGCTGGGCTGTTAAGCATAAATGATGTGGCACCATAAGAGACATAGATCTAGAATGGTTTTATCCTATTAGATTTTAATAGGGGTTGCAGTTATATGTAGCCTCAAACTCAGTAGCAAATTCATTAATCCCAACAATATGCCATGCATAAATCTTACCCATCTGCCATCATCTGCCATCAAAACAATTGTCATGGGATAAAGGTAGACCATTCCCCACTACTTTCCTTCTTTCTCTACAGATCCCAATTAGCATCCATTGCATTTTTTAGGACCTGACTCAAAATTTCCTCCTTTCAGAAAGCATGTCCATCGGGATCACTCTTTATTCTCTGGCCAGGTTATTTTGTCTGTGAGTTTTGTTATTCTTTTTTTGTTATGCTATTTTTCTTCTGCTAATGTGTTGTCTGTAACTTTTTCCAAGTTGTTGCATGCATCTGCTTTGCTTTTAAAAATAGATTGGATGAAGCTAGAAGAGAGAGTGGTATCATGTTTTAATTACCCAATTAGGAGCATGGTCTTTGTTATTTAGGAGACATTTTCACCTTCTTGGGGGTCTTTCTGAGCATAGAAATTGTGATGGTGGTAGAATTAAATGATATGAGTAAACCAGGGTGAGATTTTCTTTCCACTCCTGGAATGAGGACACCTTTGGGCTCTTGGCCTTCTAAGGAACTTAAAGACTTAAGTTCCTTTAGTGCCCAGATCTATGGCTCATATATCTCTGTATTCTTCTGTGGTGTCAAGCAGTGGGATCTTAAAGTAGATGCTTAAAAACACATTGGCTAATTGGTTGCTTGGTTAGCATGGGAGGTTTAAATATAAACAACTTTATATATAATTTGTTTTTTCAATGATTCTATACTCATTACTTACGACATTCACTTAAGTTTGTACTTAAATAAAATTTTATTTACACATGAATTAAAAGAGCCAATCTTACCTCCTAGATGGAAAAACATATGATGCTTTTGTGTCTTACCTAAAAGAATGCCGACCTGAAAATGGAGAGGAGCACACCTTTGCTGTGGAGATTTTGCCCAGGGTGTTGGAGAAACATTTTGGGTATAAGTTATGCATATTTGAAAGGGATGTAGTGCCTGGAGGAGGTAAGAGGGAATGCCAGATAGAAAAATATTCAAGATAGTTTCTTTTTAAAAAATGAATGAGCTAGCCCCCAGAGAGCTATCCCATTTTCCTTAAAAACAAATGAATAAGGTCCTTTAAGCAAGAAATAACCACGTAAGTCAACAATCGATAGTGAGAAAACAAACTAATGAGCTTCCAATAGTCTCTTCTCTTGGGCTCTGTTCTTTGTGCTTCACGGTTCTCTGAAACTTTGGGGAAAGGGAGAGGGCATTTCCTTTTCAGAACCGGGCCCAGAGCTGGCGTTATCATGAAGCCTTTATTTAGAAATGACCCACGGTGAGAATATCTGTACCACAGCAGCAGTTCCTAATTTAACATGTGATGTGTGGACTAGTTAATCCTCACTAGTAACTCTTACTAGAAATAAACACGGGTTAATTATTACTAGAAAATGCATGGGTTTTTATTGTGTTGATATTGGTGACGAAATTTAAGTAGAAAATAGGAAAATTGAAAAGGGAAAAATAACAGGAAAGCGGTGATCCCCATCAGATCATAGCTATGAAATTCAATGTTTTTTTTATTAATATAGGAATACAAATGGCCATAGTGCCTATATTAAAGCAAATTACTGTTAAATTTTTCTTTTTAATGAGTAACATTTTTAGATTTTCTCTGAAGTCTTTAGAACAAACATTTAAAATCTGGTGTCAAATTATTCTGGATACTGATGCTTAAAAAAAAAAAACAAATGTTTGATTATTACCATCATTCATGTATTAATCTAATATTTATTGGATACTATTCCTGTGCCAAGTTGTGAACTGGGCATCAAAGATATAACAGTGAGAAAGAAATAGTTACATTCCCCCCCATATTACAAAGTAGAAAGGAAAATATTGCTAACTTACACTACTGTTTAGTAATAAACAACTTGTCAAAAAAATATGCCAGATTATCAGATGCATACATTGTAGTATTTTTGGATAGCAGTTCTTTGCATCTAAGAAGGCATATTGTTACTTAGGAAGCATTTATTCTGGGCCATACATCAATTTTACTATATTTCCGTTATTTTCTAGGGGCCTTTCTTGAAAACAGATTTATTCTTAATTCATAAATAAAAATAATGTTTGAATATTCAGCTGTAATTAGGTTTGGTTAAACCTCTATTTGAGAACAGTGAGAGGTCTAGAACAGGGGTTGGCAGTTTACCAGCCACGGGTTCCATCACACCTGCAACCCTTATTGAAACACAGCCACGCACATTGGTTTACCTGTCGCCTGCGTCTGCATCTGAGCTACAACAACAGAACTGAGTAGTTGTGACAAAGACAGTGTGACCTGCAAAGCCTAACATATTTACTATCTGGCCCTTTGCAGAAAAAGTTTGCCAACCCCTGGTCTAAAATAATGGATGGTTTTGTTTTGTTGTGCCTTTTTGTCTTTTAATCTTTAAATTCTGATTTTAGCATGCTCTTTTCTGCTTGAGGAGAAGCAGGATAGTATAATAGTTAGAAAAATGTATTCCACTTGGGTTTAGATTCTGATTCTGCCATTTACTAGCTGTGTGACTCTGGGCAGGTTACTTAACCACTCTGTGCTCCGGCTTCCTTGTTTGTTAAATGGAGGTGATAACAGTATCTTCTCTGTAGCGTATTATGATGATTAAATGAGTTAATATACAAAAAACATTTAAAATAAGGTATGGTACATAATAAGTGCTAAGTAGGTGTTCATTATTATTGTTACCTAGAGATTTTTTAATAAGCATATAAAATTAAGAACAAATGGTTTGTCTTAAAGAAAAACTTATTAGTGAGGTTAGGAGTTAATATAAAATAAGACTGTGCAAAATGACTTTTATCTCATGTTCCCCCTTTCAGTTATCTTAAATTAATAGGGGTTATCTTGCATTTTCAGCTGTTGTTGATGAAATCCACTCACTGATAGAGAAAAGCCGAAGACTAATCATTGTCCTAAGTAAAAGTTATATGTCTAATGAGGTCAGGTATGAACTTGAAAGTGGACTCCATGAAGCATTGGTGGAAAGAAAAATTAAAATAATCTTAATTGAATTTACACCTGTTACTGACTTCACATTCTTGCCCCAATCACTAAAGCTTTTGAAATCTCACAGAGTTCTGAAGTGGAAGGCCGATAAATCTCTTTCTTATAACTCAAGGTTCTGGAAGAACCTTCTTTACTTAATGCCTGCAAAAACAGTCAAGCCAGGTAGAGACGAACCGGAAGTCTTGCCTGTTCTTTCCGAGTCTTAATCTTCAGAAACAGTGAACGCCAAAAAGAACTCAAGATATTCTGGGGACTGAGCATATGAACCTGTTCATAACAAAGGCTGTGACTCGAAATAATTAACTTTGTCAAAATCCTGCTCACAATTTGAAGATGAAACTTGTCATTAGGTTGGCGGGAATGAGACTAAAGATTGCGCTGTGGGCTGTGGTCACGTGCTCCCAGAAGACCTGGAATTCAAAAGAAATGGAGCTATTCTTTTTCTCCCTCTTTCATAACTGGATGCAGCTGCTCATACTCAATCCCATATTCAGCAAGTGTGAAGCTGGACGTGATGCAAAATAACCGATGCCCTACAAAAAGGGCGCATCTTTAAGAGTTTTAATGCCAGTGCTTAATTCGAATGAGGGGATTTTAAGTGTCTGAAGAGGCATTTTCTAGGGACCAGTGGGTGACTGAGTAACTGAAATGCTGCTTTCACTCCCTAACACCATGGATCTGGTTGTGCATAGGATGTGGGAGGAGGGGCTGGCAGGGCCGCCTTCAGAGGCTGCAGGGCCTCAGCCTCAGGATGCATTTAATGTATCCTGGCCACAGTTGCAGCCAACGGTTCTTGAAAGCTCGGTAAGGCCCTGCAACGCAGAGCCTGCTTATGTGGATCTATTTATGGGAACTTCTTAAAAGGACCCCAGAATAGCTCTTTATCTTTCACAAGAGACACAAATTCTAATTGAGTTAATTATCTGGGCCTTTCACTTTGGATGCTCTGAAACATTTGTTGATTTTGTGTGAATGTTTATATCAAAATGTTTGCCAGGTTGTATTAGCCATTGAATAGCAAAAAACTGATAGTTACTTGCTTGTTTTTTAAAAATTACATATTAAAAATGCCCTTGGCATAAGGCAGCATGGTGTGGCAGTTAAGAGATGGGCTGTGCAGCCCATCCTGAGCTCCAGTCCTGAGTTTGCTACTTACTTCTGTGGCCTCTGGAACCTTATCCAACCTCTTGGTGCTTCAGTTTCCTCATCTGTGAAATTAGAATTTATAATAATTGCACCTACCTCCCAGGGGTAACTAAATGAATAAATATAATAAAGTACTTACAGTGGTTCCTGACACAGACTCAGCACTCCGTCAGTGTTGCCATGACTATTTTTATTATCATTATTAATGATTACTTAGATCAATTATTTAGCAGTGGACTAATGGAAGCTACAGAGCAGGGAAGGGAAGCAGATCTAGGGAGGAAGGCAGTTTTGATTTGAGGAGGTTTGCACATGTAGAGAAGCATACTGGAGAAGCATATCCAGAGGGCGAAAGATATCTCTCCATTGTGCATCTGCCTCTTTTGACGTTGGAAGACACATGTCTTACCCCCCAAAGGGAGCCCAGCACTGGGAGCCTTCTTGATGATCTCAAAAATAATAGCTATTCAAGAAAATCACCAAGTGACTGTGAAACCGTCAGTTCGGAAGGCTGGTTAGAACATGTGGGAGCAACATGAATGTTCTACAAAAGTTTAAAGCAGAGATTGTTTCAAATGGGTGTAGTAGATATTACTGAAAACCAAAAAAGAGTGAGATTGTCAGTGTAAGAATGTGATTTAATGTTTGTAGTGCTTACAATTTTGTGTACCAACTGGATGACTAAAAAGAGTAAAATAATTTAATTAATAGCTCATATTTTATGTGTGAAAACATGTTAGTGAACATATATAATCAAAATAGATTTCATTGCTATTGCATAGTCTCTAATACATAGAATGATTTTGCTTTTCTCTTTTATTATACTTGCTTTAAAATACTTGAAATATATTTTGCATTAAATGCATTTCAAGTTAAATGTCTTAAATGTATACATTAGATGTGTGTTTTAAAATGCATAAAACACGTTGAAATACATTAATGAACCATTAGTCTAATGCCTTTATTTTTGAAATATCATGACGTCTTTTTCACTTACTTTAAGATTCCAATTCCTCGTTCTTAACATAGACTCCTACCTGTTTTAATAGAATATGGGCCATTCAAAATGAATTCATGCACCTCTCTCTTTTTAAATGTCAAATTGCCTTGCACCTACCTTCTTGTTTCACACCTTCCATCCAGGAGCAAACTAATTCTCTTCTGTTTCTCACAAGCCACTCAATACTAAACACAGGGACTTATACATGGTAAGTCTTCATATGTCAGTTAATTAATGGGCATATTTTAAAATTCTGGTTTAAACATTCCCCAACCAGGACCAACAAATAACTTTTCAGGTATAAAACAGCTTTCTTTTCCATGGTTCAGATGCCCTTAAACTGTGAAGTCTATTTTAGAGAATCAGCACAACTACCTTTCTAGGGCACGTGAAGAAACACCTCTTACATGTCTGTCATGTCCTAGAAGCATTTACTCATTAGAGCTATATCTTCTCAAAGCAGTGAGAAGCCTTAGGCCCCACGTATTCCAAACCCAGGAACTTGAGGCATGGTAAGTCCAGGGACTTGGTCACAGTTGCACACGAGCGGTCTGACCAGGTTGGCACAGGATGGCGTACGGCCTCCTCTTGGAGATGAGCATCTTGGAGGCTGCAGGCACTTTTCTGGGGCCGACAATTTAGGCTAAGAGGGCCTAGGGCAGGGGCCTGCGGAGGGGAAGCGGGCTGTCTAGGACTGGCTCTGAGGAGGAAAAGAGAGTGAGAGGGATGCTCAGGATTCCTTATAAGCCATTAAAAACAAATAGGCATTCAAGTTCAGTGCAGGGTGAAAGAGCACAATTGATGGAGCACATCCGCCCACTGTGGCCTCTGCTGAGATACAGAGAGTTAGAACCTCCGGCATCTGCTAGGAGCCCCCGGCCTGTGTTGAGGCAAATGACTCGCCAGTTGGGTTTGCTGGGGCTCTCAGCGAGGAGCAGAAAGGAGACAGTTGTCCAAAGAGAGGACATTAGCAAAATCAGTGCCCCAAACCAAGTTGAATCATAGCTGTAAATACTCAGAGGAATTAACCTGTCACCTTGGTCTGAAGTTCAGCTGTGAGGGAGGGGACCCAGGGTTAGCAGAAGCCATCTGAGCAGAAGCTGCTCTGAGCAGTGTGACCTTAAGCAATGCAAGGATCTTCAAAGAGTGACCAAGCCACAGACCTAACAGGAAACTCATGGGCAGGACACAGGGCCCTCCAGCCCCACCTGCGTGCCATGCTGATAGTGATCACAGTCCAGGCTGGGAGCTTAAGACCAACACCCAGATTTCTGTGTGAGACTTTTGAAAATTTTTATCTCCTTCTGGCATATAACTCGCGGGTGCACAGACACACCGGGAGAACACCATACCTCATTTACGTGATTGCTACAATTTGATGTGTGTGTTTAATAATTAATAGTGAACATGTTAACTGACTTTCAAATAGTGGCTTGGGAGTCTTGGGGTTCCTCAGAGGTGACTCAGGGACCATCCTGGATGGTGGAATGGAAAATTGGAGAACATGGGAGCTGGGCTCCTGGATCTTCCCTTTCACCTCACTGCTCCCACCCCCTCCACATACCACAACTAGAGCCACACTGCTTTTATCCATATTGTATGTTGAGGACTCACATAACATTTTATTTAACAGAACAGAATACTTCCGAGGAGGTCATGGTTTAGATACAATGAATATAATTCTTTCTAGCCAGTTTAAACAGAAATCATTACAGAATTATTTGGAGAGATGAAGAAACGGACTCTAGGCTCCTCTTCCAGGGATGTCTTCCAAAGTCATATGAAAAACCTAGGCTGCCAAATAGAGCTGTTGATCTTGCCACAACCAGAAAGAAATCTGTGCAACCAGGAAGCTCTTGCTGCAGCTGCCAGCTCCAGAAACAGATAGGCTGAAGTCTAAGTTGACTGAGAGCCATCTAATATGGAATTGTTGATTGAGAAGGCCAATTGTGCACCTAACTGAGACTGCCAGGAGCAGCAGCTTTGAGTGGCAGTCTTAACAGGAGGTGAGGCGGGGCACTGCCATTCAAACATTGGTAGAAATGGCACTGCAGGCGCCACCTTCTGATCTAAGCCTTTTGCTTTAGATGTTCTCCAAGTGAACACTATTAAGATGAGAGATGAGACAATAGCAGAGCACAGAGGTCAGTAAGTCAATGCCTTAGGCCTAGAGTTTTTTCTCCAGAAGAACATTTGGCTCTGGTTACTTGCACGTGGGCCTGACGAGAAACCATCTTGGTCATAGGGTGACCTTGGAAAGAAACAGACTAAGGCCACTTATATTGGGTTTTATACCACTTATAACCAGACTTAATATGGACAAATATAAACTCCAAAACATGCCTTAGAAACAATGCCCTCTATAACGAAACTGACTTTAGAATAATTATCTCAAACGGCCTGTGAAAATGAATGAATGAATGAATGGCTTTTTAGAAATATGTGTAGTAAAAGAATTAGCTTTAAAACTTTCAAGATTCTGTTACATTGTTTATTTCTACTCAGTGATCATGTGCACTGTGTACAGAATGAAATTAAAAGATGAATGAAGGTGTTACTAAGATATGATCCATAACTGGCTTGCATTTTTTAACAAATATACATGAAATTAAGCATTTATATGAGAGCTGTCCTCTTGGAAGTAAGCATGTAAGCAGATCACACACTTTCTATAATGATTTTCTTGAATCAAACCACTTTTAAAATTCATCTTTAGAAACTCACAAACCAAGGCACAAAATAGCCAATACCCTTACATTTTCATTCTTTAGTCATGTGTTTTTGAAATTACCAAAGTCACTTGAGCTAAGGCTGATGAGTAATGGTGATAACCAAGTTGATTTTTTTAAAAATCAAAAGGAAGTTGTGATGTTAAAGTTACATTTGTTTTCTGCAGTGAGTTGCAAACCAGTTACTGACTTTTCAAGTTGTTTCTCTTGATTTTCAGTGTTATCATATTATTACATTCAAATTGTGAAACTTAGAAAAAGTATGGCCAAGAGGGAATTCAAGTTCATATTAAGCAAAGAGAGAAAAAGAGAGCACTTGGCTGCTTTAACTTTACATTTTAAAATGTTTATTATGAAACATTTGAAACATATGGAGAAGTAGAAGGAAATATGCAACAAATATTCATATATCTACAATCCAGACTCAAAGATTGTTAACATTTTCCCATATTTAATTTATTCCTGTCTTTTTTTCATACTGGATGTTTTTGTTGTAGGTTTGTTGCATCATGATGACATTACTCTTGAATACTTCCGCATGCATCTCCAGTAAATAGATGCTTATCTTCAAAATCACGATTGCCAACATTTAACAAAATTAACAATCATTTTCTAACACTAAAATTGTCTATTTTGGGCCATCTTCAGGTGGATTCCTAAGTTCTTTTGACTCCACTGTAGTATTTTTGATCATTTCCTAATTTTGTTGTTGTGATTTTCTGATATGGGAAGGTGTTCCAGGCTTGTTCTTTTCTTAGTCCCGGACAAAGCCATTTCTCTAAGGAGCCATGGTTCCTTTCAGTGAGAAATTGTTTTCGGAGACCACAATTTGGGTCTAACAGTTGCACACTCTTAACTGAGTTCATCAATGTTTCTAGGCTTTCTGAGTAGATATAATAAGGAAATACATATACATCCATAAAATGAATTATAAATTAATACTGAAAATCCAATTTAAATTTAGGACCGCAGGTTTTACTTAGCCTCATCAACTTTACATTGGAATCACTGCCACGCAGAAAATTCCAGTTCCCAGTGGCATCAACATAATTGTTAATTTGCTTTATCCCTCAATGTACATATATCCAAAAGGCATATATTGCAGAAGAATTATAATACCAACACATCCTTTAATATTTTGTTTCCTAAAAATAGTTGAAAACATTTTTGTACTATTTTATCCCTTGAGAATATTTCACTAGAATATAGAGTCATCATTGTATTCTAAAGTTATTTGAAATTATTCCTCTTATTGTGGTTTTGTCAGTTAAACATATTTATTTGTTTTGTTCTGATTTTTAGGAATTGATTTTTAAAATTTTATTTTGTTTTATAATAGGGCAAAACATTTTTCAAAATGATGTTGGTTTATCCTTCTATATTTTTATATAAGTAAATATTCATGCATATTTATTTCTTGTCACCTCTCACAGATAAATAGTAGAGATAAATAGTAGATATTATATACAATTTCTCCCCTTGATTTTACCACTTGATAATATATTCTAGAGATCACTCCATAATTGTACATGGAACTATTTCTGATAAATACTTTTTTTATACAGATACATGGTATACCATTGTGTGGCTGTACTATAGTTTATTCAATCAGTCCCAAATATTTCCAGTCTTCTGCTCTTAGAATTTATGTTACAAAGAAGTCTTATGCATGCATATTTCATGCTTTTTCCTTAGAATATTTTTGGGATATTAGACATAGGATTGCTGGGTCAGAGGGTAATACATATGTAATTTTGCTCCATATTGCCTAATTCATCTTCATAGGGGTTGTAACATTTTGTATTCTTATCATCAATGTCTTGGAGTGCTTGTGCCTTAGCTTTGGCCCATTTCTCTACAGAGATTTTGATCTCTTTCATTATCATTGTGGGAAGGTTTTTACATGGTAGACATATTAAGACTTTGTGATGTAAATTGCAATTGTTTTCCAGTTTTTTTTCTTTGCTTTTAGATTTTAAAAGAATTAATCCATTCTTTCAATACAGATATGGACTCATTTTTCACTTTAAATCTTCAATCCATTTGGAATTTACTATGGTGTTTAGTCTGAGAAATGGATCCATTGCATTGTTTTCATATGTCTGTGTATTTATCACAACACCACTTCTTAAAAAGTTCATTTTTTTACCCACTAACATAAGATGCCCATTTAATGTCTATTCAATTTCCATATCCTATTAGACCTAGTTCTGGACCATCTATTCTGTTCCATTGGTCAATGTGTTTTAAATTGACACATAATGATTGTACATATTTGTGGGGTACACTGTATGTTTTGATACATGTGTACATTATTAAAACTGAAATCAGGGTATTTAGCATATCCATCACTTCATACATTTATTGTCTTTGTGATCAGGACATTTAAAACCCTCTGTTCTAGCTATTTTTAAATCTATAATACCATCTTGTTAACCATAGGCACCCTATGTGCAATGAAACACCAAAATTTACCCCTCCTAACTGTACTTTTGTACCTATAGGCCAATTTCTCCCTATCCTTCTGCTTCCTAGCCTCTGGTAACCACTATCCTAACTCTCTACTTCTATGTGTTCAACTTCTTTAGATTCCATGTATGAGTGAGATAATGCAGTATTTATCTTTCGGTGCCTGGCTTATTTCACTTAACATAATGTCCTCCAGGTTTATACATGTGGCAAATGACAGGATTTCTTTTTGTTAATTGGATAAATAGTATTTTATTGTGTATACATACTCCATTTCCTTTATGCATTCATTCACTGATAGACACTTAGGTTGATTCCATATCTTGGCTATTGCAAATAGTGTTGCAATAAACATGAGAGTGCAGATATCTCTTTAACATACTGATTTCATTTTGTTGGGGGGATATATACTCAGCAGTGGGATTTCTGAATTATATGGTAGTTCTGTTTTTTAATTATTTAAGGAATCTTAATACTATTTTCCATAATGGCTGTACTAATTTACATTCCTACCAACAGTATATAAGAGTTTCCCTTTCTCCCTGTTTGTACCAGCATTTGTTATTTTTTTATCTTTTTGATAATTGCCATTTTAATTGAGGTGAGTTTTTATCTCTTTGTAGTTTTGACCTGCATTTTCCTAATAATTAGTGATATTGAACATTTTTTTCATATACCTGTTGACCATTTGTATGTTATCTTTTGAGACATAGCTATCCAGATATTTTCTCCACTTTAACAGTATTAATTCTAATCCATGAACATGGAATACCTTTGCAATAATTTGTGTGGTCTTCAATTTTTTAAATCAATGTTTTATAGTTTTAAGTGTGGAGATTTTTTGCCTCCTTGGTTAAATCATTACTAAGTATTTTATTTCTTTCGTAGCTATTGTAAATGGGATCGTTTTCTTGATTCCTTTATCAGACAGTTTGCTATTGGGGTATAAAAATGTTATGGATTTTTGTATGTTGATTTCATATCCTGCAACTCTACTGAATTTATTAGTTCTCACCATTTTTTAGTGAATTCTTTGGCGTTTTCTATACATATTATCATGCTGTCTAATAAACAGGGATAATTTCATTTCTTTCTTTCCAATTTTGATGCCTTTTACTTATTTCTCTTGCTTGTTTACACTGGCTAGGACTTACAGTACTATATTGAATAGAAGTGGTGAAAGTGGGCATCCTTATCTTATTCCAGATCTTAGAGAAAAATTTTTCAATTTTTTCCCATCCAGTATGATATTAGTTGTGGGTTTTTATATATGGCTTTTATTGCATTGATGTGGGTTTTATATATGGCTTTTATTGTATTGTCACACCTACACCTTCTGTTCCCAATTTGTTGAGAGCTTTACCATGAAGGAATGTTGAATTTTGTCAAATGCTTTTTTGGCATCTATTGGAATGATCATACAGTTTTTGTCCTTCATTCTGTTAATGTGATACATCATGTTTATTGATTTCCATATGTTGAAACATCCTCACATTCCTGGATTAAATCCCACTTGATAATGGTGAAAAAACTTTTTAATGTGCTGTTGAACTCAGATTGCTAGTATTTTGTTGAGGGATTTTGCATTTATATATATCAGGAATATTGGCCTGTAGTTTTCTTTTTTCATTGTGTCCTTGTCTGATTTTGGTATCATCGTAATGCTTGCCTTGTAGAATGCGTTTGAATGTATTCCCTTCTCTTCAATTTTTAAATAATAGTTTTAGTAGAATTGGTGTTAGTTATTCTTTAAATGTTTCATAGAATTTAGTAATGAAGCTATCAGCTCCTGGGCTTTTCTTTGATGGGAGACTTTTTACTGATTTAATATTATTACTTGTTATTGATTCTTCAGGTTTTCTGTTTCTTCATGGTAGGTTATATGTGTCCAGAAATGTATCCATTTTTTCTAGTTTATCCAATTTGTTGGCATATAATTGTTCACAATAGCCTCTTACAATCCTTTGTATTTCTATGGTATCGGTTATAGCATTTCCTTTTTTGTCTCTGATTTTATTTATTCTAGTTTTCTCTACTTTTTTTCTTAGTTAATCTGACTAAATAGATGTAACAGACATTTCCAGAACATTCCATTCAACAGCTGCATAATATAGATTCTTCTCAACATGGGACATTCTCTAGGATAGAACATATATTTATATTAGGCCACAAAACAAGTCTTAAAAAATTTAAGAAGATTAAAATCATATCAAATATCTTTTCTGAGCACAATGGTATACAATTAGAAATCAATACAAGAGAATTTTCAAAAACTTTACAAACACATGGAAACTAAACAACATGTTTAGTGTTTTTTTTAAACATAAGTGTGTGTTTATTTTTGTTCAAAACCTTTTCTGCAACTTTGGAGGTGACCATATAGTTTTAGACCATATAGACCATTCATATTCCATAGAGAATGTTAATGTTTTCATAATATCAAACCAACTTTGCAGTTATGCAATCCTAATGAATTTTAAAAATATGTATTTTATGTGCTAATATTTTATTTAGAACTTTGTATATATACTTCTAAGTAAGATTTGTCTGTAGTTGTGTGTATGTGTGCAAAACCTTTGCCATAGCATCCCATTATTAAATATTAGTAGACAGTGAAAAATCCTTACATATTTAAGAAAATCCTTTACTATGAAAGGCCATGATTAACAAATAACAAAATGGAACTTGGAGATAACAGAGATAAGCCAAAGGAAAAACATATTTAAAGAACAAACTTTAATATTTTCAGAGAGACAAGAAAAGATATTACATCAGAGCATAATAAAGATGAGTTGGAAATTAGAAATGAATTAGCTAAAGTGGAAAAGACAATATCAGGGTTGGAGGATAATGAAGTGTTACCCAGAATGTAAAACAAGGAGCTAAATAAATGAAAATAGAGAAAAAATAGAAGAATTTGCAAATTAGTCTAATAACATTTTTGGAAATAAGAAAGCATCTCAAAATAGAATGATATGAAGCTCCAGATTGAAAGAGCCCACCAATTAATTACTCAGCAAAATGGAGACAGAACTGCCTTAACATTTTGGAAGAAAATATTATGTATTGCCTAAATTTCTCTACTGAGTCAAACAATTATTCAAATATGAGGGTAAAATAGATATTTTCAGACAAGTAAGGCCTCAAGATATTTCCTGCCATGTCCCTTTGTCTGAGATCTCCTGGAAGAAGCGGTCCTCCATAAAGGGAACATATAGTACTTTGGGCTTCAGGGAAATGGAATCCAGCTAAGGAAAATGGTGGAAGGCATCTCCAGATCTCCAGACTGATGATAAATGGAAATCCAATGCTGGAAATTGTGCATTTGCCATATTTAAGCAGAAGAGCAAGTTCTAGGTAGATGGTCTTTAGGAAGGAGATTTCCTAATGTGTTGAATGCATTGAAAATGCATTAATGTGAGAATGCATTAATTTTCCACTAGAAATACATTTCTAGTGGAGAATTTAAAAAAATATTAATGAAAGATATAAAGAAATTTAACTAAATGAATACAAATAATTTTTTGTACTATTCAAGGACTGATAATGAATAATAATAGAATTTAATTTGGAAAATGCAAGAAGGGGATCATTGAAAATTTGATAGGATCAGTGTAAATTTCTTTTGTTACTAAATGAGTGCTGGAATTTGAATATTTTGGAAAGTAAGTTGGGTGACAGGAGGTAATTGCCAAGGGAGTGGGTTGCTTTCAATTGGGAATATAGAGGCATAGCAATTATTAGCAATGACAAGTCTAGGTTATGATTACAGGAATAAATAGTGAAGTAAGGATGGAATACAAGAGCTTTAGAGGAGAGGAAGTCAAAGAACTGAGAGACGGGGACGTTAAACGGATCATCTATATCAATGCTAATACCAAGAATCAAAGCAGGAAGAGTTCTGAAGAGTAAGAGTAAGCCCAGAACTAAACTCTTCAGGGAATAAAGCAGAGTGTCCCAGGGCTTTGTGGATGACTGCAACAAGTAGGGATACTGGGTGGGATAGCCCAAGGACATGATATTTGAAGCTGGGGGTTCTTAGGGAGGAGGGAGGTACAGTGGCTGGAAACCAATGGTACCTGGAGTCTGGGAGGGAAAACAACCACCATGTAAGTGAGCTGCTAGAGAAACTATGTCCTGAGGGGAGACTCAAGCAGCAGGTTGTGGGGGACAGATGATTGAAAGTCTAGAGAAGAGCGTGAAAATATTAGAGCTCATCGCCTTCACCATCTACACGTAAGGTTTAAAAAAAATTAATGAAAATTCAGTGAATTATCTCGAGAAGCCATCCTTCAGTCCTCAGGTTGGCTAAGAGCTCCTCTCCTGTGTTCTGCTGTGTATCTTTGTCTAGCATTACAGTATAAGAAGTGACCTTTAGAGATTCTGCTCCCTCAACTCAACTGTTAACCCTTGAAGGACAAAAATCATCTCATATTCATCTGTAAGATGACAGTTCCCAGTGAGAAAAGAAAAAGAGTTCAGAGCAGCATGAGCCATGTGAGGTATGCAAAGTTTATCAGGCCCAGAGAGACATAAGTATGAGACTAAAGTCATGGCCTCTCTCCACCCATGCCTGGTGGCATCTTCCTGCCCCCAAGCATGACTAATTCAAGCCAATTAGGCCTTCCCGCTTTATGGTTGGAGGTCAGGCTCGCATCCATGGCATAGACAAGATCTAGGGAACTCAAAGGTTACCGACAGCAGGGGAAAGGCAGCGCGTAGGTAAATGCGGACAGTTCCCACTCCCAGGCCCCCTGTTAACATGGGTGAAAAGCTGCATTGGCACCCACGGGTTGCACCCTGCTGAGGTCACTAGGACTTGGGAATATAAGGATGGAAGAAAGAAAAGGGGATGCTTCTTTCTCTCCCTCACATACCCCAGGTATTTGCTGGGAAGATAAAGAAACTAAGGATGCCTTTTTCCCTTCTTTCTAGATGGGTAACCAATCATCTTCAGCGTGTGTTTCTCTCAAATGCCTCCTGAATCACTGGGATTCCTTTGAGGAAAAAAGAAAAAGCCTTCTTTCCCCTTTTGCCTCCTCTGTCCTCTCTTCACAGATGGGTAATTGTGTCCCCATACCACAGGACACTCCCCTTGGGTGCACCCCCCAAACAGGGAAAACTTAATTACCCCAAACCTTAAGCTGCTTGGCTTAAAACCGAGCTCAGGGGAAGGGAACCCAGAAGTCTGACATGCCGGCAAAAGGATAAAAGTTTTTACCAGTCGGATTTCTGGCTTCCCTCTCCCTGTACAAATGATTGAATGGATGATAAAATCACTGTTTATATCCTCTGTGAAGTTTGGATTAATGGAAAAAAGAATTTATGAGGCCAGTCTTAAGCTGTAACCAATCTGGTGTGCTTGGCGTGACTTTCTATATGGTTCTGCATGAAGAGGAGTACCTTAGGATAGAATATGGGCCTAGGACCCCATAAGCCTACTGTTCAAGCCAGCCAGGCAAATGGTCAGCAACCAGCTTCGGGTCTCCATCTTGTTTTATGTTCTTGGGAGTTTGACATTGTAACCATGTGGCAATACTTTGTTTTGGTCTCTGCCATTTTATAACGGCAGCCTGGGTTCAATTCTGGCTTAGGGAATGAGTACTTTCTGGTTAATATCGTGTGACTTTTACCATTTGCTGATTTTCTTCCCCTCTGTGAACAACTTCTAGCTTCCTTTCTTAAATCTTCCTTTCTCAGAGTCACCTTTAAAGATTCCAGATTTTGTAAAAACTGCTTACCACTACTTTGAAAATACCTCATACACTCACAGTTAAGTCATAACCTTAGTTGAGGCTTGTTGGTTTCATCTGTGAGGTTACTTTCCATAAAGTTCAAAAGCCAGAAATATTGGCCGCGTGGCCTGGCTAAAGTCGGTTAACAGGGGACTTAAAAAGACTTTCTTAAAGAGTGCTCAGCTTAATTAAAAGTGGATATCCAAGGTATTGGTATATTTAAAAGGCCTTTTTTTTTTCCTTGGATCTTGTTTTTCTGGAAAAAGGCTTTTTCTCAGTCAACTGAATTATTTTTTTCCATTTAGTCTTGCCATTCTCGGTGCACGCATGAGAGGCCCTAAGATAACTTGTGAGAGCATGGGACTCCTTGGGAAAAACAGAGAAGGTGCTAGAGACCCCATTTTGGGAAGAAAGCTCTGTTTTCCTTATGGAACCCCGAAATTAAAAACAGATAGGTCCCTCCCAAAATCTGTTTTTGTTTTCCAGCTATGCCTGTTTCTTGGGCCCTGAAAACTGCATGCTTTCCTAGCCCTGCTTCTTGAAGGACTCCACCCTGAGGCCAATGACCCAATTAGGAGATAGGCAAATGAAAAAATCTTTTTTTGTTTTTGAAACAGCATCTTGCTCTGTCACCCAGGCTAGAGTGCAATGCTGCAGTCTCTGCTCACTGCAACCTCTGCCTCCCGGGTTCAAGCGATTCTCCTGTCTCAGCCCCCCGAGTAGCTGGGATTACAGGTGCACACCAAAACACCCAGCTAATTTTTGTATTTTTAGTAGAGATGGGGTTTCACCATGTTGGCCAGGCTGGTCTCGAACTTCTGACCTCAAGTGATCTGCCCACCTTGGCCTCCCAAAGTGCTGGGATTACAGGCATGAGCCACTGTGCTCGGCTCCAAATGAAAAATCTTACAACTACTGGATCTTCTTCTGTCTGTCTGTGTAATCATATGTGTTATGTGTGTGATGGTTATATAAAACAGCTCTAATTCATTGACCTAAAGAAAAATAAACACTTAGATCAAATATTTTTCAAGGAGAAATAAAAGCTGTAATGCCTTTTAGTTCATGTGACTTTAATCTTTGAAACATAAAAACAGTTTTAAAGATAATTGGTAAAGTGCAAATGTCTTCATATGTAAATATATGGTCTAAATTATGTGGGTCAGATACTAGGTTTGCTAAATGTTTTAAGGTTATAAACTACTTTTTTAGCTTTTGAGAACCATTTGATTTGTATACTTTACAATTTGGGAAGGCTTGTGGACATATGGAATTGCCCACCCCTTTAACTATGCTGGAAAGAGTAAGACCTTATCTGTGAATAGAACATAATTAAAATAACTTACCAGAGGCCAGTCTGAGGGCTCCAGTGCCCAAGTAGAGGCAGCAGGTGGCTCCCAAGGCCTGGGCCAGCCGGCCTTCTTCAGTCTGAAGGCCACGCCCTTCTTCCTGCTGCTGTCCAGTTGTCTTTTGACTGCCACATATGGACCCCCAAAGATCTCCAAAGGAAACTTTCCTCATTACAGGAGGAGGTGGCTATTTTGGTTTCCACCTGGGCCATGCTCTGAACCAAAAGGGAGTCCACGTAATTCTATTTGACATCAGCAGTCCTGCTCAAACCATTCCAGAAGGAATCAAGTTTGTACATGGAGACATCCGCCACCTCTCTGACATAGAGAAAGCCTTGACACAGATGTCACATGTGTGTTCCATATTGCCTCTTATGGTTTGTCAGGGAAGGAGCAACTAAATCAAAACCTGATCAAAGAGGTCAGCATTGGGAGTACAGACAACATCCTCCAGGTTTGCCAGAGGAGGGGGGTGCCAGAGAAGAAGGTGCTGGAGGCGAAGAGCACACCCCTGGACAGAGGTGATGGTGTCTTAAGAACCTGTTCTCTGAGGCCGGCTGGCATCTATGGGCCTGGAGAACAAAGACACCTTCCCAGAATAGTCAGCTATATTGAGAAAGACACGTTCAAGTTTGTCTGTGGAGATCCTAGAAGCCTGGTTGAGTCTGTCCATGTGGATAACTTGGTGCAGGCTCACATTCTGGCCTCAGAGGCCCTGAGAGCTGACAAGGGACATATTGCCTCTGGACAGCCCTACTTTGTCTCAGATGGCTGACCAGTGAACAATTTTGAGTTCTTCTGGCCTCTGGTTGAGGATCTGGATTACATGCTCCCATCCACCCACCAGCCGTTGACCATGGTCTACTGCTTTGCTTTCCTAAAACAGATGGCTCGCTTCATTTTGGGTTGACTCTACAACTTCCAGCCCCTCCTCACCCACACTGAAGGTTACAAAACTGGTGTCACCCATTATTTTAGCTTAGGGAAAGCCAAGAAAGAGATAACCAAATTTATTTGTCAATCATGTTCTTGACTGTAACTACACTGGACATTTTGTCATTCATAGACAATTGTTGTCTTGCTTTGATTCTTTTCAAAAGATGGTTTGTAATCAGCTATAGAACTTTGACAGGTGCTCTAAAATGCAGGTTTCTGAGAACTTTGGAGATTATAATATTGGAATAGAGGGAAATGTACAGGATTCATGAAGAGCTGAAATGTTCATGAATATCAAGCAGAACAAGAGTTAATGGAATAGACTGAGCTAATAGAAAACTGAAGTAATCTTTTTAACTTTTGGCTTAAAACGTTGCTGATCCTTGTTTTCCAGAGGCAAGGAAACTTATTTTGAGTTATCTACAGTCTTTAATAATTGAGTAAGCTATACTCTTCTGAACAAAATTTGGAGCGTATTTGTTTCTCTCTCTGCCTGGCTTCTCCTGAATTTGGAAACTATTTGTAAGTATTCTTACCTTGCGGCAATACAGTTATTTGCATCAGTGTAATAAAAGTCCATTTTCTTTTGCAACAGGACACAATTGGAGAAACTGGTTGTTTACCAAGGCTTTGACTGGAAGGATATGCTTCCACTTAAGGAATCTGGCTTGACTTGAAGAGCCAATAAAAGCCCCCTAGGAAAACTGGCCTCATTCCTTGTCTACACCATCCCTGCACAGGATTCCTAACCTGTGATGACTAAAGAATGTCATTTTCTAACGGGCCCTATGTTTTTGGGACTTAAAGAAGAGAGAAATTCACAAAACTCATAGGTGTTTGAGGGTACAAACCCACGGCTAGGCTGGGCTTTAAAAGGTCTTATCTGAGATTTCTTGTGGAACAGAATTCCCTCAAAGCCAATTTAAAAGCCTATGTGAAAAATAATTATTCTTGCTGCACTTTATGCAAATAATCAGGCCAAGTATAAGACTAAAATCTATTTTGCAAACAACTCAGTCCTATCGTGATTTGTTTTTGATAAAAATGAGGACTGGAGAGAGAAAAATTATGTTTCAAAACATATATGCTTGTCATTAAATTCTAATCTCATCAATTGTTTTTAAGATTTTGCCTACATTTTAGACTAACCTTGCTTATTCCTGTGAAACAACCAGTGATCTCTGGCTACAGATCAGAAGAAACAAAAGGGATGGGTAAAGTAAAAATCTGGATCAATGTTTTAATTCTGAGCAATTATCTTGCAAATCCTGCCAGGTGAACCCAGAGGGTTCTTTTTTTTTTGGGAAAATAAGACCAAGGGAGCTAACCAAAGCAAAGCACCATGCATCCAAATCTTAGCAGGCATAGCTGTAGCCATCAGTTATCTGGGCATATTGGCAGCCTTGGGATTTTTGAGCTGTCCTTCCCCCCTTGTTTCATTTTTATATATGTCTGCTAATAACCCAAATTGTTTATTCTCATTTAGAGGCCATTAAACTTCAAATGATGATGCAAATGAATCCATGCATGAATATGCTATTCTTCCAGGGACCCTTAAACCATACTTAGGAGGAGCCCTAATTCAGCTTTCCCAAAACAGCACACCCTGTCAGCAGGAAGCAGTTAAGAACAGTCATTATCCACTTTCTCTAATAGCAGTTGGGGTCTCCTCCTGGAGGGGGTAATGAAAGGAGTTAGCCAGCTTGCCTTAGGCAGACAGTAAGAGAAGGGTCCCCAGAGAACCGGCGACCCACCCCACAAGCACTTACATCAGTTGTTTTGTGCAGATAAGGGAACTTGCACAGGAGGCTTACCTAAACATGCCTACAGTGGAAAATCCCATCCCTTAAAACATGTGCAGTAAGGAAAATAAATCAATATGGAGCAAGTCAGTCTAAGTGCCCGCATGTTCATTGGAAGGACGGGGTGGAGCTACCAGGAATTCACACCTTATGCCCTGGTATTCAACTGTGAAGGGGGCAGCCGGAAACCTGCTTTTCAGGGTCCCTGTCTGCTGAGAGCCTTCCTTTCACTTAATAAATTCTACTCCACTCACTCTTTGATGTCTGAGTGCATATTTCTTCCTCGTTATGAGACAAAAACCTAGACCTAGCTGAGCTAAGGAGCAAAAATCCTGCATCATTGGTGTGGATATATTATTAATATGTGCTCCAAAATCATGTGAAATTTGTAAAATTCTGATATGTCTTTATATACATTGTCAGATATAATTATGATTGTTATTTTAAAATGTTGTCTGCCACAGAAATAACCAAATTTCCTTGTCACATGCATCTTTAGCCATGGCTAAAGACTTAGAGTACTAAGTCCTTTGTCATCCACAGACATTTGTTGTCTTACTTTGATTCTTCTCAAAAAACGGTTTATAATCAGCTATAGTCCAAAATTTGCTTTTTCTCCAAGGAGATTCTTGAAAGTGTACCTTGACAAGTACTCTTGAATACAGGTTTCTGATTACTTTAGATATTATATGATTGGACTGTGTAAAAACACTCAGAACTCTAATAAACTGATGCATTCACGAAGATTGCTAGCCCAACCTCAAGCACAAGAAAAGTTAATGACATGGGACTGAAGTGATAGAGGACTGAAATGATTTTTAAGATGTTTTGTTTGAAGCATTGCTGATTCTTTTTATATTTTGTTTGCCAGAGTCATGAAAAAAATTCTTTTCAGCTATTTGTAGATTATAGCCATTGGGTAAAATAGATCTTTGTGAGTAAAATTGAAGCATTTGCCTTTCTCTCCACCTGATTTCTCCAAAATTTGGAAACTATATGTGAGCATTTTTATTTTATTGGCAATGTAGTTATTTGCATAAGTTTAATAAGAATCTGTTTTCTGTAACAGGACACAATTGGAGACACTGATTATTTTACCAAGGCTTTGACTGGAATGGCATATTTTCAGATATAACCAGACTGCTTTGAAGAATTGAAATTGACTTTATAGAACCAATCAAAAGCCTCTTGAAAAGGATGGCATAGTAACTTATGTACATGGTTCCTTTTTAAGGTTTCTAATTTTGCAGTAAGTAAAGAATACCATTTTCTGACAGCTCTAGGGTCCTCAAGACATGTTGGAACCTCAAGAAGAGAGGAATTTACCCAATTTGTACAGGTATCACAGGTACATCCTGGTGGCAAATTCTTGGCTTGGCTTCCTAACCTCGAGGCTTTTAAAAGTGTAATCCAAAATGCCCTGTGAAAGTTCCAGCAAAGCCAACTTAAAACAGCCTATAGGTCTAATCATGATTCTTATTGCACTTTATGCAAATAATCAGACCAAGTATAATACTATATCTTATTTTACAAGTAAATTGATCCTAGTAAGATTTATCTTTGGTAGAAATGGGAAACTGGAGAGAGTAAAATTATGTTTCCAAGGAAGATTATAGCATACCTGTTATTAGATCGCAGCCCTGACCATTAATTGTTTTTGAGTTTTTATTATTTTCCTAAAATTTGGATTGAATCCCCAGTGAAATAGGTTTCACCACGTATCTCTCATTGCTGTACTTCTTCCAAGACAAACAAAAGCATAAAACTTCAAAAACTAGAGATAATTCAACAAGCAATGGAAGTTATATAAATCACTTGACTGGGATCTATCTAGGAATGGGCCTTCCTTGGGATGCCAAGGGATGAAGGATGCCTATTCTAACCTAAGCAGAGTTTGATCATCAGTGCTTCCATGGGAAGATTTTTGATCTAAGTGGGGAGAAAAGAGAGAAGAAAAATAGCTCAGAGTAGTGTGAGCTATCTGAGGTATGCAAAATTTATTAGGCCCAGAGAGATATGAGTACGTGACTTCAGTCATGCTCCCCACCTCTCACCCCCCCACTGTACTCATGCCTAGGGCAATTGTTTAAAGTCATTTTGTTTCTGACTAGCTACCTCATTCATTATCTTCAGGTTCTCGAACATCATGAGACAGACAACATGGATAGCCAATCAATAGCTTGTCTTATTTTAATGTAATTCTTGCTAAACAACTTAGAAACTGCCTCTTATTTTCCTTTAAAAATCTACTTGTAACTGCTGCTGGTCAGAGAATATATTCAGAACAACTTGAATCTATGGTCCCACAATGTGATCCTCAAGCTCTGCCCAAATAAAGTCTTTACTTATATTAATTATGACACAGCTTGTTTTTAGGTCGACCAGCAAAAGATCTTGCAGGTAGAAGATGGATAGTATATGTTTCTTGGATTAAATTCATGACTATACACTATAATTATTTCTCTCTCAAAAATATGAATAGTTGGAAGTCAAAAAAGTGTTTTATTTCTCCTTGAACCATATTTCTGAGAAAATAATAGGTATGCACAACATAATTTGAAACATAAATTCACCAAGTGGACTCATTTCCATTTCATCCAGGAATTTATCTCAAGTGAAATAGAACTCATTTGGCCAATGGTAACATGGTAATATATTTTTCCATCATCTATTGCTGTCTAACAAACTACCCCAAAATTTATTGACTTAAACCTAACATAGTGACTTAAACTTAACAACGTATTATTTTTCACAATGCTGCAATCTGGGTTGGGCTCAGCTGAGCTGTTGTTCTTCTCCATGTCACATCTGCTGTAGGTATTCACTCACAGGCTTGAAGCCGGGTGGGTTAGAACAGCTGGGGCCTGGCCTAGCATCTCTTTCTCTCCTGTTCTCACAATCTGCCTAGCTTAGGCTTCTTTACAGTAAGGTGATCTCAGGATATTTGGGCTTGTTACCTGGTGTCTGGCTCCCAAAAGAGGAATCGGAAGCTGAAGATCTTTTAAAAACTGGTCTGCAACTGGCAACAGTGTCACTTCCACTGTGTTCTTTTCATCAAAAGTGAACCATAAAGCCAGGCTAGATTCAAGGACAGAGAAAACACATTTTATCTCTTGATGTGAGAAACAAAATGCACATGGAAGTAAATGGGAAAAGGTGAGGAGTTGGTGGAAGAATTGATGGCAGCCATTTTTAGAGACTAGCTCCACAATGTCTACAGCAAGACTTTCCATCTCCTGTAAGCCCTGTTCAAACTCTATTAAAGTGATCAAATTCACTTTAGGAGGCAACTAAATAGCTGAAATAGTTTGTATATTAGTTCCTGCACAAATCTCACGTTAAATTGTAATTTCCAGTGTTGGAGGTGGGGCGTGGTGGGAGGTGATCTGACCATGGGGTCAGGTTTCTCATGATGGTTTGGCACCATCCCTTTGGTGTTGTCCACACGATAGCGAGTGAGATCTGGTAGTTTAAAAGTGTGTTGCATCCACCCGTTTCTCACACCTGCTTTCACCATGTGATGTGACTGCTCCCCTTTTGCCTTCTGCCATGATTGGAAGCTTCCTAAGGCTTCCCCAGGAAAAGATGCCGCTCTGCTTTCTGTGTGGCCTGCAGAACCATGAGCCAATTAAACCACTTTTCTTAGAAATTACCTGGTCTCGGATATTTCTTTATAGCAATGCAAGCATGGCTTATACAATAACTTTAGATTCAGTTTTGAGGTCTGCATCAAGATCTCTGAAACTTCACAAGGACAGCTTCCACACCCCAATTCACTTGAATATAGTTCCATTCAATGGTTATTGAACACTTACCAAAAACAACACCTTATTATTAGCCTTTTTCATTCATTCAACCTCATTTCTCCAAAACTTCCCGGGTCTCCTGCCCTTGTTCTTACTACTGGGCCTGTTGCCACATGACATTGTAAACCTGAAGCATCACATGCCTGGAGTGTCTGTTTCACTGCTCCTTGTTACCACTGTTGGAATAGGCTTGGAACAAACCCTCACATCCTCTTGGAATCCTAGGTAGACTCATGACCAGTGGTGGATACATTTTTGGGGCTCCTTCCTGTCTGCAGTTACTAATTCTTCTTGTATCCTCCTACCCTCACCTCAGGTAAACACTTATTTTGCTTTCATACCAAAGTAAATTTAGTTTTCATTTGTATTTCATGTTATTCTCTACATATGTGTAGAAGCAGCCTGGAGCTTTGATGTGCTCAGCTGTGCCAGCTTTACCTTTATTAGAATACTAGACTCTTGACGGAGGATGTTATCTAGACTTCACCAAGATGGTTTCTAGACAAAACTCATTACAACTATTGTGGTCTCAGAGTTTTTGAAGTATTAAATGGTTTCAGTTGCTCTATCAAAGGAACAATGGAGTTTTCAATTATATGTTATATTCTGAGACTATCTCTCAATAGGAACATAAAAACTCAAGTAACTTTAGACTTTAAATGTATTTTCCTTTATGTATTAATAAATTATTGCTTTATAAAATTGGTGTTGGAGACATAATTTTTCTTTTTCAAAATTAGAAAGTTAATCACAAAATAGGCTTTAGTGTTTATCTCAAAGGTCACACTTTTAGAGATTAGTTTTACAAGAAGAAAACCAAAACCCACAGTTGAGAAATTGAGTTGAAAGTTAATATTCTTTACAGGAAATTCCTGTAAAGGAAACCAGCTTACTCACTCTTTCAACTAAACCCAACCACAAACTTTATCTCATCAAGGAGGTTGGTCAGAGAAGAGTTTGAGATGCTTCTTCTTCAGAGCACTTCCTACTGAAAGAGGTAGTTTATTTGATTTTCCTCTGTATGACCATCCATTTCACAATGTCCATGGTCATTTACAAAATAAGGTTTTCCTTTTTCCTCCAGTTATAATCCTTTATTTTTGAGCTGGTGTAACGTGGCTATTGTGTCTTCTCCAGGTATCTCTCTGGATAGGAAGAAATATAGTAGAACCCTTTGAAAATGGATATTTTCACATATTTTCGTTCAGATACAAAAGCTGGCAGTTACTGAAATAAGGACTTGAAGTTCCTTCCTCTTTTTTTTATGTCTTAAGAGCAGGAAATAAAGGTAAGAGAGCAGTACTTCTTTTTTTTCACTAGATTTCCTAACCAGAAAACATAAGTTGGGAGAATAGCTTAAATAATTTAAAAAATGAGTTGCTAATACAATTACTTTTCAAGAAATATTTTAGAATAACAAAATGGGTTATTTACTAACAAAATTTACATCTCCATATATACGGAGTCTTCACTTAAAAAAACTGATGGTTATAAAATAAACCCGTTTAAAGTGCTTTGAGCATTTTACAGGAAGGGCTAAGAGCAGAGAGATTCAAGATATTTGCCAAATTTGAATGCCCATTTAAACTTAACTGTAACATCTTTGATGGCAGGTACTACAGCTTCATTTTCTGTTATCCCTAGACAATGGGGTCTAAAGCCACCATGGAGCATCTGAGAATCATAATGATATTAGTTAAATTAAATACTGTCACTATTACACGAGACCAAATCTCTGTCTGCAGGTGTTCTCTGTGTAAAGTAGTTTAAGTCTGCCTTTGATGGTGACATTTCTCTCCCTGGGTCTCAGATCCCTGTTGACACTGCTTTCTCCAGCACTTTCCTCTCTCTCCCCCGTTTCTCACCAAAAAGTTTTGTGGGTAAAGTTTAGTTCATTATTTCTGCCAGAGACAGCTGAAGGTGTAGCCTTGACCAACTGAAAGGGAAATCTTCATCCTCTGAAAAAACATATGTGATTCTCAAAAAACGCATCTGGAAAATTGATAAAGAAGCGATTCTGTAGATTCTCCCAGCGCTGTTGGGCTCTCAATTCCTTCTGTGAAGGACAACATATGGTGATGGGGAAATCAGAAGCTTTGAGACCCTCTACACCTGGATATGAATCCCCCTTCTAATACTTACCAGGTATGTGATTATCATTGAGAATGGGCACTGCCATTCCAAGCAATGTGAGCCTTGGTTGTCCATCTGTAATATGAGAAAGACAGCACCCCGCTTCACTTTACAGAAAGTAAATGAGTGCCACATTATTTTATTCCCATAAGCAGAGTCTGAAGCTTGCTTTGGCTTAAGTTGCCCAGTGCTCAATAAATGATGTACTCTGCATTTTGGTGGCTCCTTCCGATTCGGTGAAGCATTTTAGTGACGGCAGCATGGAAGACATCACTTAGACATTAGATGGCCTTCAAAAGGTAGATATTAACAAGCAAGCCACACAGTGTGGGTGTGTTGTCCCACATAAATGAGACTTCCAGAATGGTCTTGGGCTCATGTTGGTCAGTTGCCTACAATGCTGGCAACAGCTACTGTAACTCAGCACTAACCCACCTCCCCAAGCTCTATGCTTATCCCTGAGCAGGGTTTCCCAAAAGTGTCTCCCAGATGAGCGTGGTGGCTCTGACACTTGTTTATAATGTAGGTTCCATTGTTCTTCTCCTTGAGAATCTGATTTAATAAGTCCTCAGGAAGCCCAAAAATCTGCATTTGTAATAAGGGTTTCGGGTGATTCTTATAATCAAGATGATTTGAGAAACACTGTCCCAGAGTGATAGCTGCAGCCTGCAATCAGCCCCAGGCAGCTGGAGGTCTGAGGCCAGTTGGTGGGTGGGTGCATCAGTAGGCAGTATCTGTCATCTCAAGGTTGGCGGACATTCCTGAGTGCTGGAGACTGCTGGGCATCGTGGTAACTAATTTGCTATAGGCTTGGACATTTAGACATAAATTGCGGGATGGTAGAGCTGGGAGGATCTTAGCAACCATCTGATCTTATGATTTACAAGTCAGGGAGCTTTTTTAAAAATTACAAATATCCCGACTTAAACATCAGAAATTCTGATTCCCTCATTCTAAGGTGGAGGAACTACTGATACAGTCCAGACATTTTATTTTGCAGGTAAGAAAGCTGAGGTCCAAAAAGAGCCTAAGTGACTTAATTGGAGCCACACAGTATGTGAATCACCATAATAGATTGCTATGTGTTTGTTCTGATGGCTCTGGAAGTGTTTATCATTTTTTCAGAACACAGAATTTATTACTAATTGTTCATTTGGCACTCTCCTAGGATCAGGATATATGATTTCTGAAATGGGATATCTGCTCTTCAGGAGCTCCCAATCTAGTGGGAGGACAAGGTGTAAGGAACAACTGATCTACTGCAGCATGGTTAAATCCTGAACAAGTCATTACTGAGCTCCTGTTATCAGCTAGGCACTATTCCTGCAGAGAGGCTGCAGGACTCAGAAAGACAAACTCAGTTCCTGCTGGGATGGAACTTATATTCTAGTTGGGGAGAAGTTTTAGGAGTAAGATATTTTCAGACAATAATATGTGCTAAGACAAAAGTCATTTAAAATGAGTAGCAAGAGAGATGGTTGATGGCAAGAAGGGAGAGGGCGCTTCTTTATCCAGGTGGTCAGGGAACGACTCTCTGAGGAAGAAATCAGGGAAGACATGAGAGAGCCAAACGCTACAGCATTTTGTCCATGGTGCTCTGGAATCTGTGCTTCATCACATGGGTGGTGGGAGCCGGTGACGTTTTGGGCATGGAAATGAAATGCCCAGGCTTGCTGCTTAGGAAGATGTGTCTGGTGGTGGAGTTGGAGGACTGTTCTTTCGGAGACTTTGTGGACAAGGGAAAGGCAAGTGGGGAGACCACATCTTTAAAGGCCATTGCTGATCCTGCCTTGTTCCTTGGTTGCAGTCCTTGTAAGAAGAGCTGTCAGTTGTCAGCAATGGGGATAATGCAGTGACCTTAACACCTATCCGTGGCATTCTGCAAGGCGCATTGCACAGAACCCCCTTTCTTTCTTCCATGAACACGCCTTGCTCTCAGCAGACAGCCAGGTCAGCATCAGCAGCCAGGTGGTAGCATCCTGTACTTTCCTGTACTTTCTGGCTCCACCTGGACAAAGTGGTCTGGGCAGACTTTCCTTTTCACCTGCATGGTTCTACCTGCCTCTTGTCCAAGATTAATCTCCCCATGGTATCAGGGACCCCACTTCTTCTGGCTTCCTGGGAGAAAGCAGTCCATGCACCCTCTCCTCACTCTCACTTGTATTTGTCCTCACTGACCTGCTGACGCATTCCCCTCGCAGTGGAATCCTACCCAAGGCCCTCTCATCTCCAGAAATGAGCAAACACTTCCTCCTGTCTTCCTGCATCATGCAGACTCTAGCAGGCGTGGTTCTTCCCCGCTTCCCACATTCCCTCTACTCCTCTCTCTCCACCCTGAAGCTCTCCGTTATCTCACCCCAGCTGCACATGCTGAGCTTTTGGTGGCCAAACCAAGACTCTTTGGTGGACACTTTTCAGTCCTTCTCATGCCCAACTCCTCTGCAGCTTCTGAAACTGATGTCTAGTCTCTCCTCCAAGCTTTCTCTGTCTGGATTGCCAAGGTGGTCTCTCTGCTCTGCTCCTTGCATTCCTTTTAGGTTTGTCATTCTTTATTTTCCATTAGCCCTGGCCTACTTTTAAAGGTTGAGGTTCCTCAGGGAAGTTCATCTGCCCTCCCTTATGGGGCAACAGAAACAATCCAGGCTTGTTACAGATGCCCCAGGCTCCCTCCAGCTGCTGAAACTGAGACCCTGCTCTGAGCCATATGCCTCCCCACCCCTCTGCCCTGGGAATGCTCCAGCTGGATCCCCAAGATATTTCAAGTAAGTGGTTTGAAAGGTCCCATGACTGCCTTATCAAGAGAGGGGACTCAAGTCCTTTGGACACAGCCCAGATCTGATTCTCTGGAGGGGACCTGCTCCCCCTTTCATATTTGAGAGTTGATAGTGGTGCCATCCAGTGACAATTTTCCCTCTTGCATGTGGGGCAGGGAGAGGTAGGTGGCCTCTATTCTCTAATAGAATAGACTAGTATATGCAAACATTCTCAAATTTTATAAATAGGAGCTATATCTCTAGCTTTCCTAACCGTGAAAAATCTGACAGTTTTATTCAACTTGGGTCATTTTTTCAGGAAAAGTTAAACATAACTCTTTTCAAATTACTCATGGAAATACACATGCTAGGTGAGCACATCAAAGAAAAAAGATTAATGAGGGGAAAAATGGCATTAAAAGAACACACTGCATAGAGCCTAGGGATATTGGGAGCTTGAGATGATTTGTAAGAAATGACACAAGTGAAAAGGTTGCTACACACCATTGGAAATACTCACGTAAGTTATAGGCAAGTGAAGGCCGGTTTGGGTAGGACCTGCCCTTTCAAAGCTTCCTGTGTGAGATGCACTTTGTTCACTGGTTCTGACTTCTTCATTTCCCATTTCTTGATTTACAGAAATGAAGGGGATACTCAGGGCAGAGTTCTGAATCTCAAAACACTCTACTCTGGCAAAGGAATGAAGTTATTGGAGTGATGACAGGAACACGGGAGAACAATGCTCTGTTTGGGCTGGATATTTCTTTGGCTTGTTGCAGGAGAGCGAATTAAAGGATTTAATATTTCAGGTAGGGGTTTTCACTTTTCATGTTAGCACTGTGAGTCTGTGGTCAAGTGTAAAGTGATGGATAACCTGATATATCAGCAGTGTGATATATTAATACAAACCTTTCCATCCTACTATTAAAAGGGGACTGAGAGGAGAATTATTAGGGTGAACAGCTTTCAGCTGATACCAAGCATTGTCGAGGTACCCTGTTACTGTAGTTGAGTGTTCAGTGAGATCAGCTGACGAGGGATGAGCCAGAGTTCTACCATCTTTTCCAGGAAACCAGGGCTGCTGCTGGTATGCTGGAGTCCACTGGGAGGGAATTAGAACAGGCACTTCCTTTCCCCTACAAAATAGACAGTGAAGAAGAAAGACACACAAGGAAGCTAGATCTCTTGTTAAATCAAGTACTAGATGTAAATATAAGCTAGAATTCCATTTTCTAATGTGTTTCCATGTGCTTTGTTTATTATGATTTTCAGGTTGTTCCACAAAAAAACTCCTTTGGACATATTCTACAAGGAGTGAAGAGGAATTTGTCTTATTTTGTGATTTACCAGAGCCACAGAAATCACATTTCTGCCACAGAAATCGACTCTCACCAAAACAAGTCCCTGAGCACCTGCCCTTCATGGGTAGTAACGACCTATCTGATGTCCAATGGTACCAACAACCTTCGAATGGAGATCCATTAGAGGACATTAGGAAAAGCTATCCTCACATCATTCAGGACAAATGTACCCTTCACTTTTTGACCCCAGGGGTGAATAATTCTGGGTCATATATTTGTAGACCCAAGATGATTAAGTATGATCCAAATACATTTCTATCTGAAAACATTTCCAAATCCTCTATTATCTAGACAAAATATCTATGTTCACAGGATCTTGTTAATTTCCTAGGAGCCCCTATGATGTAGCCTGTTGTGTCAAGATGATTTTAGAAGTTAAGCCCCAGACAAATGCATCCTGTGAGTATTCCGCATCACATAAGCAAGACCTACTTCTTGGGAGCACTGGCTCTATTTCTTGCCCCAGTCTCAGCTGCCAAAGTGATGCACAAAGTCCAGCGGTAACCTGGTACAAGGTAAGAGTGAATTCTCTAAAATTAATATAAGAGCATTGTTTTTATGGTATCTTCTTCATGGGCTTTTCATGGAAAAGCGTGTTTGAGAATCTGAGGTATACAGCTTCTCAAAAACTGGCCCTGTGCCTCTGCAGGAGATCTGACTTTCTAAAATAATCATGTTCCCTGGGAAGCCACAGAGCTTGATATTCTAATTATTAGAGGCATCCTTTTGATCAACACCAGAGAAACTTCTAAAATTCAAGTATATTACACATGAGGTTAGACATAAACCTACTAACATCTGCTAATGTAGGAAGATAGGTTCACTCATTTTCACTGTCTTAGGAAAGCAACAGGCATTGCAAAGGGGAAGGGAGGACTCAACACATAAGTCTTGAAGGGTTTGTGAAAGTTACAGGAGCCTGAAATACATTCCCAAAAGACAGCTCTTGGAGGACAGTTAGGACGAATCCAAGGTGGGCCTGAGTGACAGATGTCTTGCACAGGTGAGATGGTGGAAAGGAGTACAGTGCAAATAGAAAAAGGGAACAAGAGCAAGTTTCACAATGACTTTTAGCTATGAACCACATGTACGTGAACTCCCATAACAAAAGCACTTCATGTTTCCATCGTGTTTGATAGTGTTTCCAAGTGCTAGCAGATGATGAAATGCTGCCTAACCATCTCCTCCAAAAGAGCCCCCTGTCAGTTGATTCTTGGGTGGTGGAATCCAGGAATAGAATCTAAATCACTTCCTACAATTGCAATAACTATTTGAAGTTCAATACTTTGTCTTCAAAGTTATGCAGAATTTTGTATTCAACCTCATAATATATGTGTTTGTTAATATAAAAATATCATTCTAAATTGCTACTGATTAAAATCAGAAAGATGAGTTATCTAATGGTTTAATGCACCCCAAATTTTAAGAATGAGAGTCTCCTGGGGATACAGTTACCATGGTAAGAGGAAACATTTCCCTACTTGATTCCTGAGACTCCAGGCTAATAGGAAGACAGATGTTATCACATCCTTTACAGAAATAAATATACAGGGTGGACGAACGGCATGGGGTATGGTCTCAAATTTGTGTTTTTATATGACACTGAAAGAATGCTGGTCTCAATAAAACCCTAATTTCAGAAACATTCATTTCATAACCTTTAAAATGAGGTTAGTAAGAAGAGCCAATAGTTTTGTTCATTATTTTCAGTTCTCTCTCAAGAACAAAACTTCCTTTGGTTCAAAGTATCCGTCATCCAGGATGGCAGCTGTCTTGTTGTCTTGGTGGGCTGTTCTCAGGCCTGTAAAGCAGTCTTGTCCCCGTTATTTCAGATGAAAATGTGTTTGGCTTTTCAATGATCATACACCTGAAGTGAAAGCTATGAATTTTTACTTTTCAGGTGAGCACAAGTTGCATAATAGTAGCCAGCTTTCTGCAAATATTGCTTTTATAAACTAAACCCTAAAACTGTATGACATTCACAAAAGGAAGCTTTGTTTCACTTCCCTGGGGCTTTGACTGCAAACGTCAACATGTGTTTAATGGTGAACAGGCAGCCACCTTAAGAATAGGTGAACAATGGCTGTTATGAAAATTGTACCTCTGATACAGATTTGGACAGGTCCTGGTTTTGTGAATTACACATATGTGTGTGTGCACTCACACATACACATGCATATAAAGGCACATAGTAACCTGGAAATCACAGACCTTATGGCAGTAGTACATCACTAAAAGTGATGGCATTAGGCAGGAAAAAACACCTAATGCCTTTTTCCTTCATGCTAACCCCCAGGTTCTCAGGTGGTGGGTAAGTCATACCTACGACCCATCTCTGAATAGGTGAAGCTGGCACTGGCTGAGAGAATGAAAACATGGCTTTACTGAATTCAAATAAAACTGCTGACCAGGGATACACCCACCAGATATACAGAGTATACAACTGAAATAAATCCCTGGGCTTGGAGTCTCTGGAGCATTCCACAATATTTTTAATTGGCGAATTAAGAACAGGCTTGCAGATTGTTTAAATTTTTTTCAACTTCTTTATTTTAAAATTATTTTTAATTAACAAATCATAATTGTATACATTTACAATAGATTAAATATATACAATACATTTAATGGTCAATAGATTTTAAAAAAAGATGCCAAGAACTCACAATGGGGAAAGGATTACCTCTCCAATAAGTGGTGTTAGGAAAACTGGTTATCTACAGGGAGAAGAATGAAATTGTATCTCATACCACATGCAAAAAAAAGTATTGATGTGATGTTTTGATATATGTATACAATGTGGAGTGATTAACTCAAGCTAATTAACACATCCATCACCTTGCTTACTTTTTTTGTGGACAGACATTTGAAACTTACTCTCTTAGTTATTTTGAAATGTGCAATACAATATTATTGGCTATAGTTATCTTGCTGTGAAATATGCCTGAAAACTTAACTCCTCCCATCTATCTGAAACTTTGTACTCTTTGACCAGTATCTCCCCATTCACCCTCTTCTCCCCACCAATCAAGCCTCCATAATCATCATTCTATTCTCTACTTCTATGAGTTCAACTTTTTAAGGTTCTATATATGAGTGAGCTCTTGCAGCATTTGTCTTTCTGTGCCCGGCTTATTTCACTTAGCATAGCTTCCAAGTTTATTCGTGTTCTCCCACATGATTGAATTTCCTTTTGTAAAGGCTGAATAGTATTTCGTTGCATACATGTACCACATTTTCTTTGTCCATTCCTCTGTTGATGGACACTAAGGTTGATTCCATATCTTGGCTATTGTGAATAGTGCTGCAGTAAGCATAGGAGCGTAGTTAACCCTTTGCCATACTGATTTCAATCTCTTTGGATATGTACCCAAAAGTGGGATTGCTGAATCATATGGTAGCTCTATTTTTAGTTTTTCTGATGAGACTTCATAGAGTTTCTCTTAATGGCTGTACTAATTTACATTTCTACCAACAATGTACAACAGATTAATTTTTTTGATAAAAGCCGCTCTAACAAGTGTGAGGTGATATGTCATTGTGGTTTCAATTTGTATTTCTATGATGATTAGTGATACTCAGCATTTTTTCATATAGTTGTTGGCCATTTGCATCCTTTCTTTTGAGAAATATCTTTTCAGGTCTCTTGCCTATTTTTAAAATGGGCTATTTGTTTTCTTGCTAATGCAGTGTTTGAGTTCCTTATATATTCTTCACATTAACTCCTTATCAGATATATAGCTTGTAAATATTTTCCCCATTTGGTGGGTTGTTTCCTTTGCTACACAGAAGCTTTTTAGTTTTATGCTATATCATTTTTCTATTTTTGTTTTTGTTGCCTGTGCTTTCAGGGTCATATTCAAAAGAATATTTGCCCATAACAGTGCTGTAGAGCTTTCCCTCTATGTTTTCTTTTAGAAGTTTTACAACTTTAGGTCTTCTATTTCATTCTTTAACCCATTTTGAATTGATGGGTTGTATGTGCTATGAGATACAATTTCATTCTTCTCCCTGTAGATAGCCGGTTTTCCTAACACCATTTATTGGAGAGATAATCCTTTCCCCATTGTGTGTTCTTGGCATCTTTTTTTTTTTTTTTAATTTATTGACCATAAATGTGTGGGTTTCTTTCTGGGCTTTCTGTCATATTCCATTTGTTCATGTGTCTGTTTTTATGCCAGTACCATGCTGTTTTGATTTAAATGGCTTAACAATATATTTTGAAATCACGGAGTATGAACCATCTAGCTTTGTTCTTTTTGCTCAAGATTGTTTTGGTTATTTGGGGTCTTTTGTGGTTCCATATGAATTTAAGGGTAGTTTTTTGTATTTCTGTAAAAAACAACGACATTTTGATAGGGTTTGCATTGAATGTGTAGATCACTTTGAGTAGTAAGGACATTTTCTCAATATTAATTCTTCCAATCCATGGACACAGAATACTTTCATATTTATTTGTGTTTTCTTCCATTCCTTTTGTTAGTTTTTTTTTTTTTATAATTTTCAGTATATAGGTCCTTTACCTTCTTGGTTAAATTTATACCCAACTATTTTACTATGTTAGTTCCTATGGTAAGTGGGCTTGTTTACTTAATTTCCTTTTCTGCAGACAGTTCATTTTCAGTACAGGGAAACACTGCTAATTTTTATACGTTGATTTTACATCCTGCAATTTTACTGAATTCATTTATCACTTCTAACAGTTTTTTAGTGGAGTCTTTAGAGTTTTCTATAAATGAGATCATGTCACCAACAAATAAAGGCAATTTTACTTGTTTTTCTACTAAAATGCTTTTTATTTGTTTCTCTTGCCTAATTGCTCTGGCTAGGACTTCCAGTGCTATGATGAAACGAGGTAGTAAGAGTGCACATTCTTGTTTTGTTAATCTGTTCTTAGAGGAAAAGATTTCAACTTTTCACAGTTGAGTATAGCTATGGGTTTGTCATATATGGCCTTTATTGTATTGAGGTACAGTCCCTCTATACTTAATTGGTTGAGGGTTTTTATCATGAAGGGTGTTAGATTTTGTCAAATGATATTTCTGCATCGATTGAGATCATCATACAGTTTTTATCTTTCATTTTATTAATGTAGTCTATCATATTTATTGATTCATGTATATTGAAACATCCTTGCATCCCAGGGATAAATCCCACTTGACCATGGTGAATGATTCTTTTAATGTATGGTTGAATTTGGTTTGCTAATATTTTGTTGTGGATTTTTGCATCTGTATTTTTCAGATACTGGCCTACAATTTTCTTGTACTGGCCTTTTCTGGCTTTGGTATCAGAGTGATGCTTGATTCATAAAATTAGCTTGGAAGTTTTATTACTGATTCAGTCTCCTTATTCATTATTGGTCTGTTTAGATTTTCTGTTTCTTTATGATCCAATCTTGGTAGGTTGTATGTGTCTAGGAATATATCTGTTTCTTTTAGGTTATTCATTTTATTGGCATATAATTGTTCGTAGTAGTTTCTTATAATCCTTTGTATTTTTGTGGTATTGGTTGTAATGTCTACTCTTTCATTTCTGATTTTATCTATTTGAGTGTTCTCTTTTTTCTTAGTCTAGCTAAGAGTTTGTTAATTTTGTTTTTAGTTTTTTCAGTAAACCAACTCTTAGTTTTATTCATTTTTTCCTATTGTTTTTCTAATCTCTGTTTCATTTATTTCTGCTTTTATCTTTGTTACTTCCTTTCTTCTGCAAACTTTGGGCTTCATTTATTACCCTTTTTCTAACATCTTTCTGTGTATCATTAGATTGCTTATTTGAAATCTTTCCTGTGTTTCAATGCAGACATTCATTGCTATAAATTTCCCTCAGGACTGCTTTCGCTGCATCCCACATGTTTTAGTACACTGTGTTTTAACTTGTTTGTCTCAATTTATTTTTTAACTTCCTTTTTATTTCTTCTTTATCCCATTGGTTGTTTAGGAGCACTTTGTTTCATTTCTGCATATGTGCATATTTTCCAAGATATTTTCTGTTTTTAGATTTCTACCTTTATGCCTTTGTAGCCCAAAATACACTTGATATGATTTCAATTTTCTTAAAGTTGTTAAGACTTATCTTGTAGCTGAACGTATCCTTCCTGGAAAATGTTCTATGTGTACTTGAGAAGGATGTGTATTCTGCTGCTGTTGGATAGAATGTTCTGTATATGTCTGTTAGGTCCATTTGGTCAAAAGCGTAATTCAAGGCCAATTTTTGAAGTTTATTTTCTGTTTAAATGAGCTGTCCATAGTTGAAATTAAGGTATTGAGTTTCTTACTATTATTGTATTGCAGTCTATCTCTTTCTTCATTTAATAAATGCGTTATATATTTAAGCGCTCTAATGTTGGGTGCCTATGTATCTACAATTGTTATATCCTCTTAGTGAATGGACTCTTTATCATTATACAATGATCTTTCTTGTTTCTTTTTATAGTTTTTTTACTGAAAGTCTATTTTGTCTGATATAAGTAGAGCTATCCCTGCTCTCTCTTGGTTTTGGTTTGTATGGAATATCTTTGTCCGTTTTTTCCCTTCTAGTCTATATGTGTCCTTATTAGTAAATCTCTTGAAGGCAGCATATAGCTGAATTTTTAAATGTCTTTTGATTGGAGACATATTGTAAATGGTTTGATTAATCCATTTACATTCAAGGTGATTATTGGTAGATAAGCACAGGCTGTTGCCATTTTGTAACTTATTTTCTGTGTGTTTTGTAGGTTTTTTGTTACTTATTTCTCTGTTAGTATCTTCCTTTGTGTCTTGATGGCTTTCTTTGGTGCTATGCTTTGAATCTTTTATATTCATATTTTGTGCCACTACTACACGTTTTTGTTTTGTGGTTACTATGAGGCTTCCATAAAACACTTCATAACAGGCTAGTTAAGCTAATAACAACTTAACTTTATATACAACAAGTACACTTTCATTTCCTCCCCGCTACCTTTTATGGGTTTGATGTCAAATTTTACATTTGTTGTAGTTTCTGTTTCTTAATGATTAATTACAGCTAGGATTGTTTTTATTAGTTTTGTCTATTAACCTTCATAGTAATGATAAATTGCTTTATATACCACCCTTACATTATTAATGAATTATGAATATGACTATGTATTAACTATTACCATTGAATTTTTTACTTTCATATTTTTTGTTATTAATTAGCAGGCATTCATTTCAGTTTAAATAATTCCTTTTAGCAATTCTTAAAAGTAGACCAAGTGGTGATGAACTCCCTTAGCTTTTGTTTGTCTGGGAAAGTTTAATTTCCCTCTCATTTCTGAAGGACAGCTTTGCTTGGTTGGCAGTTTGTTTGGGTTTTTTTCCTTCAACACTGAATATATCATCCCACTCTCTCCTGGCCTATATCGTTTCTGCTGAGAAATCCACTGATAGCAATATTGGGACTTTCTTGAACATGATATGTTTCTCATCTCTTGCTACTTTCAATATTCTTTCTTTGTCTTTGAATTTTTGACAATTTGATTATGATGTATCTTGGTAAACCCCTTTTGGGTTGAATTTGATTGGCAACTTCTGAGTTTCCTATGCATGAATGTCATCTTTCCCTAGATTTAGGAAATATTCAGCTGATATTCCCTTAAATATGCTTTCTGACTTCTTTTTTCTTCCATCTTCCAAAATTCCTAATATGTGAATCTTGAAGGTGTCCCATAATTTCCATAAGCCTTTTCATTCTTTTTTCTTTTTGCTCCTCTGACTAGATAATTTCAAATGTCATCTCTGACATCACGGATGCTTTCTTCTGCTTAATCAAATCTGCTGTTGATATTATAGTTCAGGTATTATATTCTTTATCTGTAGGATTTCTTTATTTTTCAAATACCCACACTTCAGGGAGAAGGATTTCTATTTAAAACTTTTTTTTCTATTTCTCTATTATTAAACTTTTCATTTTGTTTTGAAAATTGTTTTTAAAATTTATTTTATTTTTATACATATTTTCTTGTAGTTTCCTAAACTACTTTAAGAGGATTATTCTGAAGTTTTGTCAGTTATTTCTTAGATCTTTACTTCTTCCTATTTCATTATGATAGCTTTCTTAGTTTCTTTTGATGGTGACATATTTCCTTGATTTTTCATAATCATTGTTCCTTGCATTGGTGCCTATGCAGTTGAGGAAACAGCCACCTCTTTTGGTCTTTGTAGGTGATCTTTGGTGGTAGCAGACCTTCACTATGTAGTCTAGCCTGGGATTCCAGGTGGGCTAGTTGGTAGCAATCCCAGATAAGCAGACTTTGGTGTTGAGTTCTCTAGGTGGGCTTGGCTGTTTTCTGTGCACTGAGGTCAAGTGGAATTGCTTGCTGTGCTTTGCGTTCCAGTGAGACCACTTTCTGAACTCTATGGTCAGGTTGAGTCGCTGGCTGAGCTCTGTGATTGCCTCTGATCAGGCAAAATTGCAGACTGTCTTCCCAAATAGCCTGCAACTTTGCCTGATCAGAGGCAGTCACAGAGCAATACCCTTGTGTCTTCCATTCACCCACAACATGAAGGAATTGCTTAATTAACTAAAAGGGCACCCAAATGCCCTACATCTGGCCGAGAAATACTGTTGTTAGAATGTGTAGTTGGGCAGGACAACAGGCTAGGCCCTGAGGCAAAGTTAGTTATCTGGGATTGCTGCTCAGCAATTTGGGATGGGCAGGGGGAGAAACTAGGCTACAAAGATGTGTGTGGGCTTGATCTTACCCCTGGGCCAGGGATAGCCTTAGGCAGGGCATTGAGGCTTGATTGGGTTGCCACGCACCTTCTGGACCTGGGTGGGGCCAGCTGCTCCTTCTGCAGATAACTGCTGACCTGCCTTTGCCTCCTGGCCTGGGGAAGGCTGCAGGAAGGTGCTGGAGCCTGGCTGGGTCACCATGCTTGGAGATTATTAATTAAAATATTTAATGACTGAAAAAGTCAGAATTAAAGTGAGTTATTTATTATTTATGCTACTAACTTTTTCTATATATTTTTCTAATTTCTAAAAATGTAATGAAAAAATAGCCTTGGCATAAACAAACTTCATCTTAAATAAATAATAGTTACATGTAATGTAACGGCATTTTATGATCTTCAGCTAAGCAAATCCTTGACACAAGTCAAAATTATAATCAAGGGTAGTAGGAAAGTCTCTCCTGTACTGGCCTAGGGCACCGAGATATGAGTTTTGACGACATTGCTGTGACCTCCTGTTAGTAGGACTTGCACCTTGAATAACATTTCCATTGGTGGTTTAAGACAATCTCACTCATGCCACATTCTCTTGCCACACTTCTGACATGGCTGCTGGGTTGATTTTAAGCCCTATGTTGCATGGAAGGTTTTTGTTTGTTTGTTTTAGAGATAGGATCTTATTCTGCCACCTAGGTTGGAGTACAGTGGTGTAATCACAGCTCCCTGCAGTCTTGAACTTCTGGGCCCAAGTGATCCTCCAGCCTTAGCATCTCAAGTAGTTGGGACTACAGGCACATACCACTGCACCCAGCTAATTTTAAAAATTTTTTGTAGAGAAGGGGTTTCACTATGTTGCTCAGGCTGGTTTCAAATTCATGGTTTCAACCAATCCTCCTGCCTTGGCCTTCCAAAGTGCTGGGATTACAGGTGTGAGCCATCATGCCAACCACAAAGAAGTTTGTTTGTTTTTTGAGATGGAATCTCTCTCTTTGTCGCCTAGGCTAGAGCGCATCTAGCTCAGTGCACTGAGCTAGAGACTTGGCTCACTGCAACCTCCACCTCCCAGGTTCAAGCTATTCTCATGCCTCAGCCTCCCAAGTAGCTGGGATTACAGGTGTGCGCCACCACACCCAGCTAATTTTTGTATTTTTAGCAGAGATGGGGTTTCACCATGTTGGCCAGGCTGGTCTCCAACTCCTGACCTCAGGTGATCCACCTGCCTCGGCCTCTCAAAGTGCTGGGATTACAGGTGTGAGCCATCATGCCGACCCCAAAGAAGTTTTGTACCTATACCTGATACTTCTCATTTCCTAGTTCTTGTAACTGGCACCTGTTGGCATCCTGTGGGCCTAGTGCTGTGGATAACTGGTAAGCATGGTGAGACTGGCTAGATTCAAAGATTAATGTGTTTCTAAATAGAGAATAAGTTAATTTAATGTGTTTCCAAATAGGAAGAAGATAATTTAGATTATATTTCTCAAAACTGTTTCTAGGGTTGAAACATTGGCCCATTTGATTATTCTCACTATGAACATTTCAGAACTCTGAAGATCTGGACAGCTTTCTAACACCTGTTCAAAACAATCATCTGTATGCTGTCTAACCAGCACTGAAACAGAGGAAGAATTTCCTTACTTGTTCAGAACAGAATATTGCCACAGCCCCACTATTGTTTTAGCTTTGGGACAGCCTCATTATATGGTTGATTTATTCTGAGTTGGCAGGCAAGTCTTTCCACAAAAACTGAAATCAAGCAAGTTCTCTCTATTTTTGTTTGTAGAGTAGAATTTGTAACTTATGTTCATGATTTTATATTTATTTCTGTTAAATAATTTGTTGTTTTTAGTTCATTCTACATGTCAAGAGGTTGGAATTCTGATTTTGAATGCCAACATATTAGCCATCACACGCAGGTTTGTGAGGCATGTAGATGAGATCAACATGGTATGTTCTCCCTCAAGCCCCTGCTAAAACTACGGGCGAGGCTAACACCAGGGACAGAGTGCTCTGCTGTTAACTCCAGTTTGATCCTTCTAGTTACATATGATCCATTCATCCACAACGCAAGGGTGTTGCTTAATTAACTAAAAGGGCACTCGAATGCCCTATATCTGATCATTCAGCTCACAATGTACCTTTGGTTTAACAGAGAGATCATGAGAATATTTTTCAAGTGACTCACAATAGTGAAGATACTCTGTGTCTGCCATACTCCTGTGAACCTCCAGTCTATTCAGTTGTGGGCAACAATGAGATTGCCTTGATATGATTGTTGTTAGCAAATGCAAGCTGGCTGATATTAACCATCACTTCCTTTTCTAAGGGTTCATAAACCATCTGTTAAATAATTAATTCAAGACTTTCACTAGAAATTGACATCTAGCCCATTATCAATAATTTCCATAATATACTCCATTCCCATTAAAAGATAAATATTAGTAAAAAAAAAATCTATCAATAGAATGTTGTTAGTTGATAACTGGGGCAAGAGACTGCAACTACACTTAACGGGAAAGAGCAACATAGACAACAGAAACAGAAAAGCAAAGGGTATGTTCAGTGTATGGTCACACTGAGTGGCTCACTGTGGTGGGAGCTGAGAGTTCTTAAGTGGTTTAATTAGGACTAGAATGGAAATAAAGGTTGTGTGGTTCTCATGATGGTTATGGGGACCTTGCTGATGTGTTTGAACTTTATGAGTGTGAGTCCTGATCCAGGACAGGACAGAAAGAAGTGGAAACAGAAAGAAGGTGGCAGATGCTAGTGATATTTTCATGTAATAAAATGAAAGATTAAAAGCTTTGACTGGGAGTGTGTGTAAAATAGATGAGTAGCATATTTGGTGTTTTTCTGGCTCAACATATATGAGATAGTAGTAGTAAATTCAATTAGGAGCAGGAAAGCTGTGATGAATACAGACCTGGACACAATGAGTCTATGATAAGGAACATTAAAATGGATATGAAAACCTGAAATGCACCAGGGAGAATAGGCCAGGGAGGAGAGTGAAAGAAATGCAGGTCTTTGGAGTCCTCCCAGACTGGGTAGTGGAAGTCCAGCTAGGAGCTCCAGTGTGTTGTCCAAATCCAGGAAGTACCATTCCCATAGAATAACACAGTGTGCGTGATGCTCAGTAGCTGTACTGACTGGTAGTATAAGAAATCGATAATACTGCAGTATAATATTATAATACCTGCCCCTAGTAGTAAGAATAACTGTTCTTCTCCCTGCTTCACATATACCTTTAAAAGTCCTTTGCAGTGTCTTCATTTTTTTTTTTTTTTTGCATGCCTCCACTCTTTTGAAGACTTACGGACATTATTCATTCAGATTCACAGTGGCGGATGTTCCTGTTTCCATATTCTGCTCATGACTGCTTCACATATGAGCAAAACCAAGAGTTCCCTGTGCAGCTGCATTAGCCTCTCTTTGTCCTATGAGGATTAACTGTAATTGTATTATTAGAATGGGTTTCCCATCATCCTTGGCATAAATTGCTTCTCCCTAATTTCTTTTCTTTGATATTTCCTCTAAGTTCCATTTCATAAAGTCTTAATGATACATACTAAGCCTCACTTACCTATTTATGGGTAAAAAAGATACATTATTCCCCATCCTCCCCCTTGGCTTAGGTGAGGTCTTAGTTACGGCTCTGTGTCCTCCCACCATTACGTTCTCATGCGATTTATGACACGCCTCTCCCCTGAATTCTGATCTTTATATGTTATCACTGCGTCCTCTGAAGTTTTATCTTTGAATTTCCCCCTATGTTTTAAAACTTCCTTTTGAAAAGTTCCTGATTCTTGAGATCATCTGGTATATATTTAGCCTTGTATACCACTACCTCTTTGCCTTGTTTTGCTTCCTGCCCACAGCTGCACTTCTCTGGCCACTCTGCCCCCACCCTTAGTCTCCTTTCCAGCCTGCTGGAAATTCCTTCTTGGACCACAGGAAACACACGAGGGATGTGGCGTGGGGGAATCCCAGCTTCTACTAGTAGGCAGGCAAAGTGGAAGGGAAATTCCTCAATCAGAAAATAAAACTCAGAACCAGAAAAAAATGAGGTTGATTCTCAGTGCTCTCACTTACCAGCTTTGTCAGAGAGAGAAAAAAAAGCCACTCACGTTCCAGAACCTCTGTTTATATAAGTTTTTATTTATAAGTATGTATCTGTTTATATACGTAAATATATACAATATATGTTATATATATGTGTGTGTATGTATATATATGTGTGTGTGTGTGTATATATATATATGTATGTATACACACACACATTAAAAAATTCATTTCAGTTTCAGCCCTTAGAACACTACAGGTCTTCCAGAATACTCTCAGGGCTCCAAGTCATGCATGCTCTGGGAAGTCCTTTGTTAAATAGCTGTTTAGGGGCTGATCAGGTTTGGAGGTTTGACTCTCTCATCTCTACACATAATGCAATTGTATTGGAAAATGCCTCTTGTTTCAAATCTACAAGTACAGTTTTTGAACACAATGTCTTCATAGCTTGTGAGATACCCTTATCTCAGATTGACCTTCTTCCTCCCTGTTCAAATTTGTAAGATTTTTCTTTAGGTATGTATTTCATAAAGTTTTTCTGTGGCAAATTTATCTGCTTAAAATATCTTTTGGATTAGAATGGAAAACTCCTCTCTGTGGAAAGGAGCAACCGAATCGTAGTGGATGAAGTTTATGACTATCACCAGGGCACATATGTATGTGATTACACTCAGTCGGATACTGTGAGTTCGTGGACAGTCAGAGCTGTTGTTCAAGTGAGAACCATTGGTAAGTGAGATTTTTATCTCAAGATTTGAGATCTGAGCAGCAAATTAAAATTATCTTCTTTTGGCTTAGTAAGTTTTTCCTCTTAGGGAAAGAAAAGGATAGTCATATACTTGTAATCATGTAAAACCTTTCATGTGGGCAAACATCAAAGTTGCCATCCCCCAGGGAAGGCTAAGTTCTGAAACAGTTTCAAATTCTCACAAGTTGGGTTGTCCATGAATATGTCCCTGATTTGCTTTTGTAATAAATTTAAAAAATGTATGAAACATTTCACACACAGAAATATTGTGACATCCAGGTACCTATCACCAGTTTTAACTATGTTACCATTTTCCCACATGCTTCAAATCATAATTTTTTTTCTTTAAAGTAACAAAATATTGCAAAGACAACTTGAGGTCTATGACCCCATTCTCTTCCAGGCCTTTGCTCCCACAGTATAGTAACATCTTGTCATTTATATCATTTCCATTTATGTTTTTATGCTTTTTCTACATATGTATGCATCTATTAACAAAATAGAATATTGTTTTGAGTTATGAAATATGTTTGTGTCATAAACACTTGGTATTTTATTAAATTATTGGTTTGCCAATTTACAGCCCCATTAGCAGTAAATGCCCTTTGTTCCCAAATAATACTTGGTGTTATCAGACTTTATGACTGGTGTTAAGTGGAGCTTTGTTTTTATTTGTTTCTTTTCTGCTCCATAGTATACTTCCCTGACTAATATGAGGTTGAACATTTTGCTATATGTTTTTTGGTTCATTGGCTTTCTTCCGCAACTTGTCTGTTTTTGTCCTAACCTTTCCCTTGGGTCGTTCTTACCAGATCTGCAAGCATCAGCTTGAATCAACTATGTGATAGAATTAATTTAAATGTGGTCTAAGAAGTGAAAACATAAGACAGCCAGTCACTCATGCTTTATATCAAAGAGCAACAGAGTGGTTGACGTAGCTGTTAGTTAAGATATTAATCTTTTCTTATTACAAGATACAAACCACACAGAGCACCCCAAGACCAAGTGAAACTCTCCTGCCCCTTGCACCCTCTAGCACTTCAGAATTATTTTATATTAATTTAGATTACATGTTATATAGATAAGATTTCATTTTATATTATTAGATTGCTTCTTGAAAGAGAAGTTAGAATGTAAATACCCCACTCGCACCACTTTTCCCCTCCAAGTGATGTGTAATTGTTCTTTAACTCAGCCATCACTCAGCCCCTCAAATTCTCAATGGCATAATCTGCTTTTCTGTCACCCAAGGGACACCTTGCAACATCTGTTGCATCTATTTCAGTCAAGCCCTCTCTGTTGTCATCCCTGTCTTCCTCATTTAATCATTCATTCTCATATTTATTCATTTCCACACAAATATTTACTGAACATGTAATATGTGTCAGGCTTGGAGCTAAGGCTACAAGAATGAGTGCCCGGATGCTTTATCTGGCCTCCAAGAACTTTCCATTTTGAGAAGAAGACAAAGGTGAAGCAGGCTGTCATAATACAGTGCAGCAAGAGAAAGGAGCACTATGGGCACATGGAGGCCCACCAGACCCAACCTGGGGAAGCCCGCTCCAAGTGAGAGCTGATGGATGAGGACACACCAGCTCAGTAAGGGTGGGGAGCTTCCATTCCAGACTGAGGAAGCAGCAGAGCTGATGTCCAGGAGATGAAGAAGAGCATCTGGGAGTAGGACTGACATCACACTCTTCTAATACGTGTTAAAATTATCTAATTACCTAATTATCTAATACGTGTTAAAATTTATGAAGGAACAATGGGGAGGCATTGAGGATTTTAAGTGGGAGAATGTCGTGACTGAATTTGTATTCAAGATAGATCACCTTGTTTGCTGGGTCGGAAGTGGGTTTGTAAGAGCAGGAATGGAGGCAGGGAGAAGAGTTAGGAAGTTCTGTGGTCAAGCAGGCAGTTGCTGATAGGGATCTGAACTAGGGAGTGGTAGAGGGAATGGAGAGAAGTGGATGACTTTGGAAATGTTTAAGAGGTACATTTAAAGGATTTGGTGTTCGGGAGCAAGGAAGAGGGAAAGCAGGAGCCATGGATACAAGCCAGCCTTTGAGCTGGTCAAGGAGGGAATGTGCTGACAGAGCACAACAGTACAGAGGATGAGAGCAGGCACAGTCGTGGAGCAGCAAGCTTGACTCATGGTTAAACCATGCCTCTGCTTGTGCTGTAAATAGACCTAGCAGAGGTGATGAGAAGTAGCTGGACTTGTAGGTCAACAGAGCATGATAATGGTTTTTACATAAAAGGTAGGAGAAAGAGAAGAATCAAGGATGTTTTTTGTTTTCTGCCCTGGATAAGTTAGTGAATGGTGGTACCATTTAAGGAGACTGAAAAAGCTGAAGGGAAAGAGCATTTGAAGAGGAGATTAAGTATTAGGCTTAAAAGGACTTTTAGTCATCCAAGTCATGACGACAAGTAGGTATTTGGACAAGCCAGTCTGGAGAAGTTAGGGCTGGAGATGTGAATGTGAAGATGATCGATTTTTACATAATATCTGAAGCCAAAGAGCTGAATGAGATCACCTAGGAAGTGGGCATAGAGACAGAAGGGGCTAGAGCCAAACCCGGAAATGCTTGAAGAGGTGGAGAAGAGGAAGACAATCCTCAAAGAGGATGGGAACATACATCAGCAAGTGAATATCAGTGGAAGGGTGGTGAGAAGAGAAACAAACGAAGTGAAATTGATGATGTAGGAAAGACATAACCTCAGGCACCAAGACCTTTCATAGGGAAGAGGCCTAGAGAGTAAACTTACTACCCAGGGGTATCAGGAGGAGTGAAAGAACACTAGGAGAGGACTAATAGTTAAAAGAGACACAGAGGAAGGGACAGGCACAGAGAAGTGAATATAGCGGTTGAAAGTAAGCAGTAGAGTACGGGAACATGGAACCAAAAGAAGAGAGGGTTTCAAAGAGAGCATGGCCAACAGTGTCCAATGCTGCTAAGAGGTAAAGTAGACGAAAAATGTGATTATGCCCAATGGATTTAGGTGCATAGGTGGCACTGGTGAATTTGGTTAAGCAGTTTTAGTGGACAGATGGCGGCGGAAATCAGGTTCCATAGGAGGTGAAAGGATGGAGGGAATTAGCACATAGAACTGCCTTTCAAGAATTTGGCTGGGAAGGAAGGAGAATAAGTGAGGCTGGGATATAAGGCAGGGTGTGTTTTCTCTTTTTTAGGATGATGAGACTGAGCATGAATAAATGTTGATGAGAAGAAGCCCAGAGAAAGCGAGAGAGAGAGAGGGAGAGAGAGACAAGTTAAAAATACAGGACTGAGATGGTGCAAAGGGGAGAAGGAGGTCTCTGAGAAGTAAAAGTAGGTGATGTCAACAGCAAAGACCCTGGATTTTTCTTTATCCAGAAAAAGACACACCTTCAGGAGGAAGTTTGACAGTGGAGGCATATTTGACAGTGGAGGCATATTTGTGGCAAGAAGTTGATGGATAAAATTGTTAATTAAGGACTGGACTCTTCTTTATTTTGAAATAAACCATGAGTTTAAGGATGGAGGGGTGGACTCGGATATGCTTGACTTGCACAGTTTCTTGGGTGGATTCTCCTTTCAGTTCAATTACTCAGCCAGATGGCACCACAAAGAAATCTTGTGGGAAAAGACAGGGATAGGAGCTCAGGTCTGCAAGGGGCAGGATTAGTGTGAAAGAGAATGCACACAAGCAGATATGGATCAATTAACAACTAATGTTTTACCAGCACCCACAACCTGATGTGGCAGTCATTTTAGGGGGCAAGCTTTTTACATGGAAACCGGAATTCCTAACTTACAGGTAATTAGTAAAATGTGAAGACAGAGCTCCAAGACATTTAGATCAAAGTGTGGCTGTGCACCTAAATCTTCATCAAGCAGGCCTTCAGACTTTCCAATGCAAATAGTAATCTTTGTTTTCATCTTTCAGTGGGAGACACTAAACTCAAACCAGATATTCTGGATCCTGTCGAGGACACACTGGAAGTAGAACTTGGTAAGCTGGGCCTCATCGCCTTTGAATGACATCGTGCTGCTGGGAGCAGGTCTAAGTGTGATAGAAGGAAAACAGCATTGGGATTTCCAGTCAAACAGAATTGGGTGTGAATCTTAACTCAGCCATTGACTAGTTTTGTGACTTTGCACAGTTACTTCATCCTTTAAGCCTCAGTACTTAAATCCGCAAATAGCTATCATAAAACTGACCCTAAAAGATTATATTGCAGGCCGGGCATGGTGGCTTATGCCTGTAATCCCAGCACTTTGGGAGGCTGAGGTGGGTAGATCACTTGAGGTCAGGAGTTTGAGACCAGCCTGGCCAACATGGTGAAACCCCATCTCTACTAAAACTACAAAAATTAGCCGGGCGTGGGTGTGGGTGCCTGTAATCCCAGCTACTCAGGATGACAAGGCAGGAGAATCACCTGAACCTGGGAGGCGGAGGTTACAGTGAGCCGAGATCGAGCCATTGCACTCCATCCTGGGTGGCAGAGCAAGATTCCATCTCAAAGAAAAAAAAAAATTATACTGAGAAATAATGGGACAATGTATGTTAAGTGGCTGGAGCATGAAACCTGATCAATAGATTTTATTCTTCCTTAACTTCCCCAGGAACAGGTGGTTTCGTACATGTTGGTTAGGTCTATCAGTTATGACTACAAATTCGCCAACCTGAGTAACATTAACTCTTATGAATATGACATTTAATCTGGCATTTAAGAGAACTGTAGTAGAATTCTACAACCCCTGCCCAAACAATTTGTATTCCAAAGTAGTGTCTTCTTTGGGGTTGAGGAGAAATTGACTTCCCTGTGGGTCTCCTTTTATTTTGTCAACTTCAATAATATCTATGTCTTTCTACACAGACAAATAAGAATTGCTGTATTAAAAATAAAATGCTGTTTTTCTTTTAATAATATAAATTTTTTTATTATTATTATACTTTCTAAAATGCTACTAAAACATTTATTATTTTAGAAAGAAACATAAAAATACATGTTATGATATAAGATCACTAGATGGCAGGAGTGGTGTGTTCTGACTCTAGAAATAGCACTAACTATGTGCTCAACGTCACAGGAATGGAAGGAAGGAGGAAAGAAGGAGGAAAAAATTAGATTAATTCATATAGTCAAGTTACATATGTATTAGTGAATTATAAGGTATTACCAGTGGAAAAACGTTAAGGTGCAAAGATGAGTATTCAAATGGAGCTCCTAGTCATTTCATGGTTAAATATTAGATTTGAGGCAGAGCATATGTGAATATTCCTCATGGAAAAAAATGGGTAGAAAAAAGTTAGTCTCATAATATGCATGCCCATCCATAGTGAATTGTTCAGAAAAATTGCTTAATATCGAAATAATTTTTTTATTTAAACCACGTGCTACAATAACTTTATGATTTTTACTTAATAAACAAATATTGGATAGTAAAATTTTCTTTATGGACACACCTTGTACTTCAACAGTAGTGCAGAAGACCGGGCTGATCTCAGAAACTCCTCATTTTCTTAGTTTTCTTAGTGTCTCCCTCAATCCACATAAGGACCCTTAGTGATATAATCATGCTCATCTTCATTTTAAGAACATATAGTCATATGGTTGAGATAGAAGGATTGCCCATTAGAAAAAATGTACCTGGTTTTATGCATTTCTGAATGAGAGCTGTGTAGACGTTTCATTATTTCTGGCACACATATTCTACCTGCAAACCTGATTGCATCAGGAGACAGCTTCTGGCGACGTCTTCCTCCCAGATGTAGGACAAAGTATTCTCACCAGCTTCCTTCTTGTTTTCTCTGGCCTCTTCATTTTCAGGAAAGCCTTTAACTATTAGCTGCAAAGCACGATTTGGCTTTGAAAGGGTCTTTAACCCTGTCATAAAATGGTACATCAAAGATTCTGACCTAGAGTGGGAAGTCTCAGTACCTGAGGCGAAAAGGTAAGAAAAAAACTCACGGATTCTGTTCTCTGCAATTCAGAAGAGATACTTCTACCTTTAGAAATGCCTAAAGTATACAGTTGATGGTGTAGCCACCAGCACCGACTAGTGGTGAAAATAAAAGCACAAAAATGCAAAGTGCAAACGGCCGTTGAATGAAATATTTAAGTTGTTTTAAACCTCAATTTGTAGGAACAGTTTGACGTGGCTGCTCTCAAAGTCAAGCTATTGAGCAGACAGTTGTACTGACCCAGACTGCTTGGAGATAAGTAATATGTCCAAGAAATGGGAGGAAATGCTGCTTACCCTCACTCTGCTTTTCACCGGTGCCACCCGTTCAGAGAGTGTGGGGGTACAGGGATCCAGATGTGTGGGGTAATGAACAGTCTAGAAAACCTCCAGGGGAAATGGCATCATAATAATAAGTCTGACAAAAAATATGTGAAGTGAGGAATACCTGAAGCAACTTAACCCCGAAAAAGAGGCTCAGAGGAGGGCTCTCTGTCTTGAAATCCTTGGGAGCTATTACATTGTTTGAGAAATTTGACTTGGTTTGTTGCTCTCTGGAGCACAGAACCCGGATCAGTGGTTTGAATTTACTGGTGAGATATTTTGGCCAGTAGAAAACCCTAGATATTTGGAGCTATCCAATCACAAAAAAAGTTGATCTCCAGTCCCCAGAAGGATCAAAGGGCCTGGATCCAGTGATGTCCAATCAGATGTGTCTCCAAAGGATGCATTCCCTGATTTTTCGAAGATGTGACCCAGAGTAAGAGTCTATGCATTAAGTACCTTCTTCTGATACTTAACAGATATCAATAAGAAAATGCAATATCATTTTGAAAAGTATACATCATTACAAAAAAGTACAGAACAGATTTTGGTCACAACAATAAAATTTAGCAAGAATTTCTAAGATCAGGAAGGTCATTGGGGCCCATCTTAAGCTGATATTGCATTAGAGTTCACAGTAGGAGAGTGTAGTCAAGAGGGTATGTTTTGACATCACCCACCCTTGGGTTTAAACCCATTTTCTATCTGATGTCAACATGACCCTTAGCCCCGGTGAGCCTCCATCACCCATTGATAATCTATGGATAATAGCCTGCACTTTGCAAGCTCACTGGGAGGCGTGGTTACAGCAGAGGTGTTATGCCTATCACAATGTGTGACAGGTAGGAAGCACTCAGTGAATAGGAGCTGGCATCGTGGTCTCAGAGCAACACAGCCTAAAACATCATTCACATACACAAGATTTCTTAACACAAAGATGGATTGTAGATTGGTAACTTCAGAGAACTCAAATTGTGAATAAATGCCAAGACTCCCAACTTCCTGGGTGGAGCAGCGTGGCACAAGCCCAGGAATCAAGCTGCCCATTCCCTGCAGTGTGGTCTGGGGCTACTCACCCACCTTCTTTGCCTTGTCCTTGTCACTGGCCAAGGCCATTATGATCCTATTATACTCTAGGGTTCCTGGGAGGTGAGGAATGGAGGACATTAGAGTCCATATTTTGTGCACAGAAGAGGGACTGATACATAGTAAACCTTCAGTAGGAGTTGGTCATTTTAAATATTTTTCTTAAGGTATTGTTATTATCTATTCTCAAGGGGAATTCTTAAGAGTAAGGAAGGTCAGATGAGTCTCACAAATAAATAATGTCTTAGCGTGAATGCTTAGAAGAGTCAATAATTGAATCAAGAATGAGCCCTTTTTGACCATCTTACATTCTCGTGGTATCTTATACTATTGATCTCACAGTTCTCTAAAAGCCAAACTGTTGGCTGCTTATACGTGTTCCAAATGCTGCAAATGGGTGTCAATGTATGTTACTGAATGGAGTGGTATTTTTTCTCCTTTCTCAGTATTAAATCCACTTTAAAGGATGAAATCATTGAGCGTAATATCATCTTGGAAAAAGTCACTCAGCGTGATCTTCGCAGGAAGTTTGTTTGCTTTGTCCAGAACTCCATTGGAAACACAACCCAGTCCGTCCAACTGAAAGAAAAGAGAGGAGGTAAGCCCAGAAGGTTGCCCAGGAGGCATGAAACTGCTTTCACTTGAGAGGGGAGGAGTTTTCCTAAAGAATAGTAATAATGATGACAGCGATTACATTTTCTAGGTGACAGACATTGTTTTAAGCACTTTCCTGGTGTCAACCCATTTAATACCTTGACCAAAGCCACACAACTAGTAAACTGCATATTACTGGTTTAGAGCTAGTTCTCTTAAGTAATAGTCTGCGTTTGGGAGGCCATGTTGGAAAAGCAACTCATTCATGCACTCATTCATTCACGCATTCATTCTACAATAGCTATGGGGTATGCCCAGAATGGCAGGCATTGTGCTAAGACCTAGCCTCCTTTCCAATTTTTCTTTCCTGGCTTTCAAATCCAAAGGACATGATGGATTCATGTTCTGATGAGTGGAGAATGGAAGAGAGAAGGAGTAATCTTGTTCATTGTTCAAAATGGTGTGTGTATATCACGGATATATTAAAAAAAAAAAAGCTGGAGTAGAAATTCTAGGTAAGGAAAAGCGTTTAAATTTCTTTGAAAAGATGCCCAGAGATGAAATTGATATCATTCATTCCTTTAATTAATAGATAACTATAGTTATAAGCAGGTTTGAATGTTTCTGAGGCTTCAACAAGACAAAGTGTGTTCTGGCCTGTAGTAAACGCTCTGTGAAGGGGGTTTTCCCCCATGGGAGTATGCAGGAGATCCCTCGTGTCAGGTAAGCCAGATGGGACTCCTGGTCTCAGGAAATTTAGGCTGCAGTAGGAATGATAATACAGGAAAATAATTTACAATATGCAATGAGAGAGATGTAAATGGATTGTGTGGACGTTTACGAGGGGAAAAAATAAAAGGAATATGATAAGTTTCCCAGGCCACCCTGATCAGGAACTGCCCATTCCCCTGGGGTCTCTAGTGTTTATTGTAAGACAGGTCTCAAAATGTGATTTTTTAAAATTTTATTTTAATAGGTTTTGGGGGTACAGGTGGTTTTTGGTTACATGGATAAGTTCTTCAATCTGAAAATCTTTAGATTTTTGAGATTTTGGCATACCCGTCACCCGAGCAGTGTACACTACACCCGTTGTGTCGTCTTTTATCCCTCACTCCCCTCCCACCCTTCTCCCTCAGTCTCTAAAGTCCGTTGTATTATTCTTATGCCTTTGCGTCCTCATAGCTTAGCTCCCATTTATAAGTGAAAACACACAATGTTTTGTTTTTCATTCCTGAGTTACTTCACTTAGAATAATGGTATCCACCATCCTGGCTAACAAGGTGAAGCCCCGTCTCCACTAAAAATACAAAAAAAATTAGCCGGGCGTGGTGGCGGGCGCCTGTAGTCCCAGTTACTTGGGAGGCTGAGGCAGGAGAATGGCGTGAACCCGGGAGGCGGAGCTTGCAGTGAGCTGCGCGCCACTGCACTCCAGCCTGGGCGACATACAGACTCCGTCTCCAAAAAAAAAAAAAAAAAGTATAATGAATAATGGTCTCCAACTCCATCCAGGTTGCTGCACATGCCATTATTTTGTTCCTTTTTATGGCTAAGTAGTATTCCATGGTGTGATTTGAGAGGTTTCCAGATTCACAAAAACTGCTGCTAGTGGCAATGATTTTGATAAAATAATAGAGCTGGAAAAGGTGCTGGGTGGGCCATAGCGCCGGCCTGAACATGGTCTTGGTCCAATCCCGCTGCCTCTATGTCTCTTCATACTGGCCCTGTCTCCACAGTGGTGCTCCTGTACATCCTGCTTGGCACCATCGGGACCCTGGTGGCCGTGCTGGCGGCGAGTGCCCTCCTCTACAGGCACTGGATTGAAATAGTGCTGCTGTACCGGACCTACCAGAGCAAGGATCAGACGCTTGGGGGTAAGTTTACCTCCACATGCAGCCCTCTGACTTTTCCTCTGGGAATTGACTTGGAGCAGGACAACAGAAAATACCATCACTACCCCTTGGCTTTGTTTCCTCAGAGTTACCTTAGAAAAGAACTTCAAATGTCCCCTGCCAGCCAGGGCAGAGCATAAAGGAGGAGCTGAAGAAAGAAATGTCCCCACTGGATAAAGTCATGCCCCTGAGGTTTTGAGGCCTTCCTCCAGGTCTAGTGACCTTACACTGAGGAAGGCTGGAGAAACAATTATTTTTTTCATTCCAGTTGCCAGGAATCTTGTAGGCAATGCTATTGTGAAACATGTTGGACTTAAAAATAATCCCTCTATAACCAACCTAAAGCAATAGGGCAAATGAGTGAATATCTCTGTGCCTTTGTTTCCTCATCTATAAAACAGGATTGTCATAGCACCAATTGCAAAGGATGCTGTGAGGGCTCACTGATGTATTCTTAAGACACATTTAGTATTCATTCATTTATGTATGTATGTATGTATGTATTTATTTATTTATTTATTTTGAGATGGAGTCTTGCTCTGTCTCCCAGGCTGGAGTGCGGTGGCACCATCTCAGCTTACTTCAATCTCCGCCTCCCAGGTTCAAGCAATTCTCCTACCTCAGCCTCCTGAGTAGCTGGGATTACAGGCATGCGCTACCATGTCCAGCTATTGTTTGTGTTTTTAGTAGAGACTGCTGGGTTTCACCATGTTGGCCAGGCTGGTCTCGAACTCCTGACCTCAAGTGATCCGTCCGCCTCGGCCTCCCAAAGTGCTGGGATTACAGCCGTGAGCCACCGTGCCCAGCCACATTAAGTATTTAGAATGGTGCCCAGTACACGGTAAATAGCTCAGCATGTGCCAGACTATGGCTGTTTCTTGAGGACTAGAGTGTATGCCTGCCATGTGTGTTAGCTACTTTAATGGTCACAGCAATCCTACCAGCCAGGTAGAGAGACAGGAAGTCATGTGCCTACAATTGAACTACTGGAAGGCATTAGAGCTTGGGATTTGGGCACAGGTTGTCTGGCTTAAGAGGTTTCATTAGCTGTTACCTCAGTTAGCCTCATCTGTAAAATGAGGCTTTTAAGACGGTGGGAATGCCCCCAAAAGTGAGAAGTCCTGTAAAATGCAAGTGCTATTACTATTAATGAAGTGCCTGTCAATATTTGAGGCAAGATAATCATGTTCATTGATGTTTGCTTCTGTGGAATAGAAGTCTTGCTTCTGTTTTTTTCTAGTCCTGGAAATCTCCAAGGTTAGAAGGTTTGCAGTTTTAGTAAATGACTCTGTTGCTTGGAAAAAGCAGAATCCCCTTTTGCAGGATTTCACGGATAATTATTTACCTTACTGAGAGGCCCCTCCAAATTCCAGTGCGTTCCCAAACTAGGAATTCAGTGAGGAGTTGTCAGATCCCTGGGGGAAGAAAGGGTGAATAAAGACCGGCATGGGAGGCTGGGTGTGGTGGCTCACACCTGTAATCCCAGCACTTTGGGAGGCCAAAGTGGGAGGAATGCTTGAGCTCAGGAGTTCAAGACCAGCCTGGGCAACATGGTGAAACCTGCCTCTACAAGAAATTTTTTAATGTTAGCTGGGCGTGGTGGTACCCACCTGTAGTTCCAGCTACTTAGGAGGCTGAGGTGGGAGAATCACCTGAGCCCCGGAGGTCAAGGCTGCAGTGAGCCATGATTACATCACTGCACTCCAGCCTGGATGGCAGAGCGATACCCTATCTCAAAAAAAAAAAAAAAAAAAAAAAAGTGACCGGGAGCAGTGGCTCACATGTGTAATCCCAGCACTTTGGGAGGTCCAGGTGGGCGGATCACTTGAAGTCTGGATTTGAGATCAGCCTGGCCAACACGGTGCAACCCCATCCTTACTAAAAATACAAAATGTAGCCAGGCTTGGTGGCAGGCACCTGTAATCCCAGCTACTCAGGAGGCTGAGGCAGGAGAATCACTTGAACCTGGGAGGTGGAGGTTGCAGTGAGCCGAGATCATGCCACTGCACTCCAGCCTGGGTGACAGAGCAAGACTCCTTTTCAAAAAAAAGGAAGAAAGAAATGCATCAGTCACATCTTTCTTTAAACTTACTATAGAGAATACATACTAGAAATCCTTAAGAGAAATGTTTTTAAGATTTATTTTAATAACTTTTTTGAATGAAGCAAATTATGTAATCAAGGTCATAAAATGCTATTTACCTTAAGATTCTGGAGCTGGCTTAGAAGAGTCAGTCAATGGGGAAACATTTACTTGTGTCCTTTCTTTTTCTATTTTGCAAAGACAATGTTTTTAGTGATCAGATCTGGAGGCAGAATCCAGTTTTCAAGCACGGGGATGCAGTGCCCTCTGTTGGCCAACCTAACATTTTTTAGCAAAATGACTGCTTTGAAGTTAATGCTAAGTAACCAAAATTTTAGAGATGTAGAATGTTAGAATTCTGGAGGACCTCAGAGATCATCTAATACTCCACTCTCTAATTTTATGACTAAATAAATGTAGTTTCCAGGTTATAGAAAAATTTTAGTTTGCTGGGATTTCACATGATGTGGAAGGAATAGAGGCAACTGTGGTGTGTTACACATTTAAACAGCACAGCACCTACCTGCCAGCCATGCCCCACAAGTCTCATCCTTCCTACATGAGCAATGAGGTGCTTCATAGGTTAGTTTCCCAACCTCAGCTCTTTTATATCCTCCTCTGTTGACTCTGGGAGCTTCCCTTTTGGTACCTGGTACTTCCATCCACCGAGGCATCATTTTAGGTTCACCTTGAACATGGTGTACTACTAAATAGCATCAGCAATCAGGGCTACTGTTTACCGTTTTGTAACAATACTTTGACAGGGATTGTGGAAATTGCTGGAATACAAATCTGATGTATCCCATTCCGAAGCCTGTGAGTTAAGTGTTGGGATTTTCTACTTCTTCCAGTGAGTTCCTTAGTCTCAGTAATCATATGCATTTATGAAGTATGCATATGAAAATATCCTATAACAAGTTATATACATATAGTTTTCCATCTAGAATAGAGGGGAATGGACATTTATCTTGCACCTCCTATGAGCCAGGCACCAAGAAGTTCATATACATTATCTCATGAAACCCTTAAAACAGCCTGCCCAGGAGTTATGATTGTCTTTATTTTACATATGGGGATTCACATATCAGCATATGGGCCATCAACTCTCCGAGCAAGTACTTTTTCTCCTTGGATACGATGTGCTGGGTGTTAGCAGTACTTTGCTTACTGGATATCATCATGTTGGATGGGGCAGACTCCTGCTTGATGTGTGACTAATGAGACAGAAACACTGCAGGTGCAAAGAAGGCTCAGAGAAACTCCTGAGTTCATGTGACTTAATCAAAGAATGCCTCAGCCATTTGACCTAAAATCAGTAAAAATGCAAGACTGCTTCATAAATTAGAATTCGATTTGGGGTGAAAAATCAATACCGCTCAGTGGTATGATTTTGAAATGAATTTTTAAAATCAATTTAGTCAGGATCCCAAATATTATTTCTTATTCATTTACCATATGATTCAAGCATATGTATGTGTACCATAACAGTAAAAAAAAGAGTAAATGACTTATGTTTTTATAAATTTTCCTATTCTTCAGATAAAAAGGATTTTGATGCTTTCGTATCCTATGCAAAATGGAGCTCTTTTCCAAGTGAGGCCACTTCATCTCTGAGTGAAGAACACTTGGCCCTGAGCCTATTTCCTGATGTTTTAGAAAACAAATATGGATATAGCCTGTGTTTGCTTGAAAGAGATGTGGCTCCAGGAGGAGGTAAGTCCAACATGTCAAGAAAAACTGCAGTGCAAAAAGGGCAGTTCAATGCAATCCCCAAGTCTTTTTTGTCATTCTTTGTTTTGGAATATAGATCTGGGAGATTACATGAGGTTAGAACATCTTGGGCAACAACACAGAAACTATATGTTCCAGAGATGTGTTCCATTATCAAACAAATCCATCTGCAGAAGAAGACAATCACATGGGGCCCTAGGCAGTCCTTCTAGGACAAAGATACCTCTCCTGGCTTCGCAGCTGAAGGCTGCGAAGTGAACTACTCGCTCACCCCAATTTAGTGGCCCCTCTGATTTCTGGGACTCTGCCTTCCACAAAGCTCACTCAGCACTGGGTCAAGCAGGCTTCTCAGGCCTGGGCCACGCCCTGGACACCCTGAGAAGTCCAGATCTCAGCCTGTCCTGCTGGCCTCCTCCTCCTCAGATACCCCCACCAAGGAGCCTGGGATGTTCCATGGCTCCCATTATCCCAGCTTACCTAGTTCCAGTCAGCTTTATTCCTAGAGGAATTGCCAATTTGGGGAGACTGGACACAAAGCAGGGAATGTAAAGGTGAGGGTCACTAGACACTGGAGCGTATCTCCAACTGGCAATAGAGCTGATACAGTGTAAGTGGTAGAGTAAACATGTCTCCCTTCCTCCTTATGTAAGAGAATCCATTGCAAGGACCTCTCTGACTCAAGGTTTAACAATATCCATTGCAAATAATCAAATGTTTTATTTCCAGTGTATGCAGAAGACATTGTGAGCATTATTAAGAGAAGCAGAAGAGGAATATTTATCTTGAGCCCCAACTATGTCAATGGACCCAGTATCTTTGAACTACAAGCAGCAGTGAATCTTGCCTTGGATGATCAAACACTGAAACTCATTTTAATTAAGTTCTGTTACTTCCAAGAGCCAGAGTCTCTACCTCATCTCGTGAAAAAAGCTCTCAGGGTTTTGCCCACAGTTACTTGGAGAGGCTTAAAATCAGTTCCTCCCAATTCTAGGTTCTGGGCCAAAATGCGCTACCACATGCCTGTGAAAAACTCTCAGGGATTCACGTGGAACCAGCTCAGAATTACCTCTAGGATTTTTCAGTGGAAAGGACTCAGTAGAACAGAAACCACTGGGAGGAGCTCCCAGCCTAAGGAATGGTGAAATGAGCCCTGGAGCCCCCTCCAGTCCAGTCCCTGGGATAGAGATGTTGCTGGACAGAACTCACAGCTCTGTGTGTGTGTGTTCAGGCTGATAGGAAATTCAAAGAGTCTCCTGCCAGCACCAAGCAAGCTTGATGGACAATGGAGTGGGATTGAGACTGTGGTTTAGAGCCTTTGATTTCCTGGACTGGACTGACGGCGAGTGAATTCTCTAGACCTTGGGTACTTTCAGTACACAACACCCCTAAGATTTCCCAGTGGTCCGAGCAGAATCAGAAAATACAGCTACTTCTGCCTTATGGCTAGGGAACTGTCATGTCTACCATGTATTGTACATATGACTTTATGTATACTTGCAATCAAATAAATATTATTTTATTAGAAATGAGTGATTTTTTTCTTTTTTTTCTTTTTTTGAGACAGAGTCTCATTCTGCCGCCCAGGCTGGAATGCATGTTCTTGGCTCACTGCAACCTCCGCCCCCTGGGTTCAAGCAATTCTCCGGCCTCAGCCTCCCTTCTAACTGGGATTACAGCATGCACTACCATGCCCAGCTAATTTTTGTATTTTTAGTAGAGACGGGGTTTCACCATGTTGACCAGGCTGGTCTCGAACTCCTGACCTCAGGAGATCGGCCCACCTCGGCCTCCCAAAGTGCTGGAATTATAGGCGTGAGCCACCATGGCTGGCCTTAGAAACAAGTGATTGAAACTCTGCCCGAAGAATTTCTGTAAAGAAGACAATTCTTACTCCATGGTCAGCCAACAACTCTGGAGCACAGAAAGTGAGCATAAAAGGTAAAGACTAACGGGACCCAGAATAGACAGGGCTAGGGTTGGTTTCTACTGTGTCCTCATGCGAAGTGCCCACACTGGGTGGATGAACTAGAAGAAGAATCCCTTTTTTTGGGGGCGGGGGGAGATGCAGTCTGTGCCAGGATATGGGCTTGGAAAGAAGAGTAGAGTTAATTTCAGCTCCTCCTTGTGATGTCGGCCAGAGATCTTTGTGTTAGGTATAAAAGTGTAAATCCTTACCCTGGGCCCCTGGAAGTACAGACCAACTGGACCAAAATGATCAGGCCAATGAAGAGACAAGGAATGCACTTGCAGTGACATACAAAGCAGAGAGACACTGGCCAGAGTCAGCAGTGCAGCTAAGAGTCTGGGGAATAAGGATATACACTGGTTAAACAGCAGCAAGAATGGAATGTGAACAGAGCTGTAGCCTGAACCTTCTGCTGAGGCTGGCGATCCTATGGGCTTCCGATCTGGGCGTCTCCCTTTAAGTTCTCCTAAGTAATAAGGTGATGGGCTGCAGGGCCATGAAACTGTTTCTGATAGACGAGGCCAATTTCCTCCTCATAAGTGTGTTTCCTTTACCAGAGTTTAACCTGCAGTTAAAATAGTGTTCCACTCACGTATAAACATCAAGCTCTTATACTCTGTCTTTTCTGAAGGAATAAAATGATTTATCATCTGAGCAATAAATAAAAGCAATGTCTGGACTCATTCACATGCAGTGTGTCACACCCACCAGTCTGGATGTGATCCAAGTTCAGAGTGGCTAAAAGTCATTGTCGTCTTGGGGCCTGCGTGAAACACTCTTCTGCTCTTTATTCACAGAGGCACCCACATCATAAAAACCACTGTGGCTTTGGCACCAAGCAACATCCTTGTTGGAAATTTCAGTGATAAAGTTAACAATGAGTTAAAGGGTATAAATTATTCTTGGAGGAAGTTTCTTGTGGGAAGGATCATTGCAGGGTCTCAGTGAAGAGGAGCCCATATTGTCACTGTGCCATTGTGCTTTGGTGATGGCCAGGATCCCTGGCCTTCCTGCCCGCCACTCTCTGAGATTTAAGACTCAGACTTCTTTTGGCCACTTTGTTCAGTTTATCCTAAGATAGATAATGCTAGAACCAAGCTATTCAGATGTCCAGCGTTTTGACCTTAGCTTCGTGGAAAATCAAATAGAGCTTCAGGTTAGCACATACACAAAAGGAGAAATAGCCAGCTGTAATATTTACAGAATACACTCTTTCCAGGCTGCTAGGTACACTGAACATAACAAGGTAGCATTCGGGACAGGGGGCTATTTATATTTCTTATATGTCAATTAACCACAACAAAGCAGACAACCAAAACAAATTTTCTATGTATAGGAGACTGATTGCAATAGAACAATTGGACTCAGTGGAATATAATTAGAAAAGAGTATTATTTCCCTGTCACATCTTCTGAGGTGTCCATATGTTCTAGTTCCTGGTTGCACCTATTGTCCAAGTATAATTATTATAGTACTCTCTTTCACTCTGAAAAAGTGTCCTACCTTGGATGATGGTCACTCTACCTCTAACACTCATCATAGAGAACTCCTTACTGACCCTTCTATGATAGCCCGAGCAGTTCTCATAGCTTTCCTGGTCCTTTTCGGGTTTTAATACCTACATTTAACATCTATATCATTTCTAGGTTAAAATTCTAGGTAAGATGGAGTGAACAACACCATCCTGTCTCTTCCTCCTAGTGCAGCCATAAAGTCTGGATAAAAATGCATCAAAAATCAATTTGAGTATTCTGAAAAGTAAATAGAAGCAGACGGATTGGGGAAGACAATAATTCAAAGTCTCATAATTTGTCTCCAGTCTCTTCTGACTTAGACTCAGTACAGTCTGAAACCCAGAAGTAGACATCAGTGATAACAGAAAGAGCTTCAGAAGAAGCACTCTAGTTCTGGCTTGAAGACTGAGAAAGAGTTTCCTAGCCCTTCCATATTTTCCCTTTCATTTTCTTTCATTGCCCACTCTCTAAGCAATCCTGTGGTAGCACCAGTGACACCACCAAAAGCAGTGGTATTAGCGGCCCTCGAGAGCCTAAATCTCCAGGAAAGGGAATTGTCCACCTTGATATGAGGACCTGTAGTCCCAGTAGGGTGTGGCAAGCCTCTGTTGATGTTTTATTCTTTCTTTATCCTCTTACCTTTTCGTGAGGTGGATGTAAGCAGTTGTAGGAAGTGCACTGCAGAGTGAAGTAAATAAAGCCTCAATGCTTTGGCCAGAGAACTGCACAGAGGAGGAGAGTACAGGCAGAAAGGAGCTCAGGAAACTGAATCCATAAAATTGTTTATAAACCTTTGGACCCATTCCCAAGCTGTGCATGTATGAATCTGATCCTAAAGGGAATACCATAAACTTTCAGAACTGAGCTATAGGAGAGATCACTTTCTGAGTTCCAGACTGGCTGCTGAAAGGTATAAATATGAAGTAGGTCCAAATAGAACTGAAAGGCAGTGAAACAAAACTGAAATTGAAACCACAGGCTTAGTTTGGAGCCTTAATCCCACTGGGCTAATTGCCTGTTGAAGCAGAAATAACATAATACATAAGATTTCAACAAGATCTAGAATCGTATAACATAATGTTTAAAACATCCAGGCTGTAATTTGTTAAAAGCAAAATTATGACATTTTCTGGTAGGATTTTCAATATAGGTAGATGTAATGCAACATAAAGGAGGGCAGGTAAGGGGCCCAGATGACGGTAAGGTGTCTATTTCCCACTTGAAGTGGCACACTATTGATTCTAAGTAGAATGTGAAAGTTGTGTGTAATATTTTATTCCATTGAGTAACCGTTAACACAAACAAACAAAACATCAAATATTGTTAAAACATGATGGACATAGAAATACTATTCAGCCTGTAAAAAGAAGGAATTTCTGCAATAGGTCTCAGTATGGACAGACCTTGAGGAAGAATGCTATGTGAAATAAGCTGGACACGGAAAGACAAATACTGCATAATTTCATTTATGTGAGGTATCTAAAATAGTCAAATGCATAAAATCAAAGACTAAAATGGTGGCTGGAGGCTGGGGAAAATAGGAAGTGATTGATAAATAGGCATAAAATATCAGATACGTGAAATGGAAAAGCACATAATGTACAACATTATGCCTATAGTCAACAATAATGTATTGTACACATAAAATTGATTAAGAGGATAGGCCCCATGTTGAGCATTCTTTCCACAATAAAAATGTTTTGATGGAATAATCAAAATGTTTAAATAATCCAAAAGAAGGGAAGAGAAAAACAGAGGAACAAAAACTAAGATAAATAGAAATCAAATAACAAAATGGTAGACATAAATCCAAACATCATAATAATTACATTAAGTGTAAAATGTCTAAACACAATAATTAAAAGACAGAGATTATTAGAATAAACTTTTATAAATTTATTTAAAACCATCTTCAGTAAGCCTTTTATCAGATTTGACTTGATCAGAACCAGATTCAGCTAATTTGCTGTCTTTAAAATTAGTGAAATCTTGATCATTGTCCTGCATTCTCAGCACATTGTCTTTTGCAAGCTTATCTGAACAAGAAATTTAACCCCCTTACAATAAAAATGCTTTGAGTATAATGGTGTAGGTAGGTTAATAAGATATAATTACATGAACATTAATTAAAAGAAAGCTAGAGTGCCTATATATATATTATTTATTTATATATTCTTTAGAAATGAATAATATATTAATAAATATATTATATATTTTATATGATGAACATGTTAATGTAAATTACTATTTATTATATATTATACATAGTATATGAAAAATATATTTATATATTACTTGTTTCTAAATAAATAAATATATATTTATGCACATTTTTTGGGGACAGGGTCTCCCTCCGTCACCCAGGCTGGAGCACAGTGGTGTATCATGGCTCACTGCAGCCTCGACCTCACAGGCTCAAGCAATCTTTTCATCTCAGCCCCCCAAGTAACTGGGACCACAGATGTGTGCCACCACATCCGGCTAATTTTTTTCACATTTTTTTTGTAGAGATGGAGTTTCACCATCTTGCCCAGGCTGGTCTTGAACTCCTGAGCTCAAGTGATCTGCCTGCCTTTGCCTCCCTAAGTGCTGGGATTGTAGGTATGAGCCACCATGTCAGGCCCTGGAGTACCTATAATACATCAGCTAAAGGAGACTTTGGAGCAAAGAAAATTACCAGAGAGAAAAACAGATATTACATTATGATAAAAGGACAAATTTACCAACAGGACATAACAGTCTTAATTAAATGTGTATGCACCTAACAGCAGTGCTTCAAAATACATGAAGCAAAACTGACAGAACTAAAAGAAGAAATAGACAAATCCACGACTGTAGTTGGAGACTTGAATATTATTCTCAAGTATTGATAAAATGGTAAACAGAAATTTATCAAGAATATAGGCTGCGCGTGGTGGCTCATGCCTGTAATCCCAGCACTTTGGGAGGCCGAGTTGGGCGGATCACGAGGTCAGGAGCTTGAGATCAGCCTGCCCAGCACGGTGAAACCCCGTCTCTACTAAAAATACAAAAAATTAGCCAGGCATGGTGGCGCGTGCTTGTAATCCCAGCTACTCAGGAGGCTGAGGCAGGAGAATCTCCTGAACCCAGGAAGCAGAGGTTGCAGTGAGCCGGATCGTGCCATTGCACTCCAGCCTGGGTGACAGAGTGAGACTCCGTCTCAGAAAAAAAAAGAAGAAGAATATAGAACAACACTACTTAATTGTTGTTTTCTAGATCTACTTGACATTTATAGAATGTTCCACCCAATGATTGCAGAATACACAATCTTTTGATGTACACACCGACCATGTGCTAAGATATACCGTATCCTAGATTGTAAAACAAACAATAACAAGAATTTAGAAATTGAAATTGTACAAAGTTATATTCTGTATTTATAATGGATTTATAATGAATTCAGACTAGAGATTATTAAGAGAAAGATGGTGGGAAAAATCTCAAAACATTTGGAAATTAAGTGACACATTTCTCAATAATCTATGGATAAAAATGGAAGTCTCAAAGCAAATGAAATGATATTTTCAAATGAATGGAAATGAAAATGCAACATATCAAAATTTGCAAGATGAGACTAAAGCCATGCTTAAGGGCAAGTATATAATATTAAATACTTATGTTAAAAGAGGAAAATATATAAATTAATAATCTAAACTTCCACCTTAGGAAGCCAAAAAAAAATAATAAATTTGAGAGCAGAAACCACTGCCATTGAATAACATAAAACAATAAAGAAAATCAATAGTACAGGAACCTGGTTCTTCGAGAGCATCAATAAAACTGAAAAACTCCTAGCAAGACTGACCAAAAAAAAAAGAAGAAGAAGGAAGACACAAATTACCAGTATTAGTAGTGAGATAAGAGATATCAATACAGATCCTGCACATCTTAAACGAATAAGGAAATGTTATGGATACTGTATAAATACATATTTGACAACCTAAATGAAATGGATAAATGCTCAAAAACCACAAGCTAAAAATACTTATCCAATATTAAATAAATAACCTAATTGGTCATAACTGTTAAAAAAATTAATTCCTATTATTAAATTTCCAAAAATAAAATCTTCAGACCCCGATGGTTTCACTGCCTAATTCTATCAAACATTTAAAGGAAAAAAAAAATGTGAATCCTACACAATTTTTTTCAGAAAACAGAAGAAGGAACATTTCCTAAGTTATGCAAATTATTATGAGTCCAGAATTTTTCTAATACCAAAACCAAACAAAAAAAATTATAAGACAACTATAGACCAACATTCTTCATGAACATTGACACAAAAATACTCAAGAAAATATTAGCAAATTGAACCTAGTAATATATAAATAGAATAATGCATCACAACCAAGTGGAGCTTATCATGGGTATTCAGGGCAGGCTTCATATTTTAAAATATTTCAGTGTAATTCTTTATATTAACAGTGTAAGGAAGAACAAAGACATGATCATATGAACCAATTCCAAAAATATATTTGACAAAATTCACCATCGTCTCGTCATAAAACCTCTCAGCAAACTAGGCATAGAAGGGAATTTTCTCATCATGATAAGGGGCTCTAAAAACAACAACAAACAAACTATAGATGAAAAAATCATACTAAATGGTGAAAGACTGTATGTATGTTTTCTCTATAAGATGGGAAGCAAGGCAAGGATACTTACTCGCAGAATACTATACAACCTTGTATGAAAGTTTTCACCAGTGCAATAAGACGAGGAAAAGAAATAACATGCATGCAGTTTGGAAAGAAAGAAACAATCTCTCCTTTTTTTCTAAAAAGTAATTTTCTATGTAGAATATCCAAGAAAGCTATAAAAATATTCCTAGAACTGATAAGTGAGTTTAGCAAGTTCTTAGGATACATGATTAACAACGTAAAAATCAAATGTATTTCTATCTCTATTAAGAAACAATTGAAAACCAGATGTTACAGACATTACCATTTATAATAGGTCAAAAAAGAAAGAGGAAAGGAAGGAAAGAAGGAAGGATAGGGAAGGAAAGGAAGAAAGAGAAAGAAATAAGAGAGAAAGAAAGAGAGAAAAAAGAAAGAAAGGAAGGAAAGAGAAAGGAAGAAAGAGAAAGAAAGAAAGAAAGAAAGAGAGAAAGAAAGAAAGAAAGAAAGAAAGAAAGAAAGAAAGAAAGAGAGGGAGGGAGGGAGGGAGGGAGATTCATGTATAAATGAACAGAATGTGTGGATGTTCCATAAGCTAAAAACTATGAAATACTTATGAGCAAAATTAAAGAACAATTAAATAAAGAGAGAAGCATAGCATGTTTGGTGATACAAAGATTCAACATATTGTCAAATCAACAATCCCCTTTACATTGATTAAGAGGTTTAACGCAATTCCAACTGATATTCCAGCAGAATTTTTTGTAGATTATAGGCAAACTAATTCTAAAATATATGTGGGAAAGCGAATAAACTAGAAAAACCAAAGCTATTTGGAAAAGAAAATAAAGTTGGAGGAGTCATGCTAGACGATTTTATGAATCAATAAAAAGTTACAGCAACCAAAATGGTGTGATATTAACAAAGCAATAGATCAATGGAACTGAGTAGAAAGTCTAGAAATACATCCACACAAATATGGCCTATTGATTTTGACAAATTTTCAAAGGCAATTCAATAAAGAATAGAGTTTTAAACAAATGGTTTTGCATCAATTGGACATACATATGCAATAAGATGAAGCTCACAGCTTATACAAAATTAACTTGTAATAGGCCATAGATCTCAATGTAAAGCCTAAATCTATAAAACTGTTAGAAGAAAACATGACCTAGGATTAGAAAAAGAGTTCTTAGATGTAACACCAAAAGCATGATCCGTAGAGAAAAAAAAAGTTGGAGTTTAACAAAGTTAAAACCACTTTTTCCGAGAAAACCACTGCTAAAAGGATGAAAAAAAAAAACAAGCTTTAAATTGACAAAAATTATTTCAAAATCACAAGTCCAATAAAGGACTTGTGCTGAGAGTTTATAAAGATTTCTCTAAACTCAATAATAACAAGTAGCTACCAATTAAAAAAGGAGCAAAAACTTGAATAGACATTTTGCTAAAGAGGACAGACAGATGGCAAACAGGCACATAAAAAGATGTGCAACAGCACCATCCACTGGGAAAATGGAAATTAAAGCCACAAGGAGAAAACACACACACACACACACCATGGGGCACATAGAGAAAAAGAAAAGAAACCTAACAACACGAAATGGTGATGATGTAGAGAAACTAGAACTCTCATATACTACTGGTGAGAGTGCAAAATAGTGCAGCCACCCTACAAAACAATTTAACAAGTCCTTATAATGTGACTTCCTTACTAGATGCCCAAAACATCCTACTTGTAGATATTTACCCCAGAGAAATAAAAACTTACGTTCACACAAAATCCAATACACAAATGTTTATTGTGGCTCTACTCATAATAACTAATACCTAGAAAAACTCAAGGACTTTCAACCAGTATGTGTCAGCTAAAGTCCAATCAAAAGACAGAAATCATGTAGTAATTTAAAAAGGGATATTATGATATAAATGATTATTTGGCTGTGATGAGAGACTGATTATAAGGACATGAATAGAACTCCAAAGAGTATCTCAGGGCTGAGAGATAGTAGAAAGACAAAGTTGCAAGTGGTCCCCTCCCCAAGACTGGGGTTCAGACATCACTAGAAGCAGTGTGGTGTAGCCCACTGAATGGCAAGGAAGGTCTCTTACGTGCCTGGGTCAGAGCTAGTTCACAGTTGCTGGGAAAGCTGGAAGCAAACCTGTCAGGTGCAGTCAAGCCATGGCTGGTGGGCAGACATGCAGCATGGCCAGGCCATGACTGCTTTAGGATGCAGGCGAGCTGTAGTTGATATGCGGGTACACAGGGCATTCAGAATGCCACTGTGGGCATGCGGCCTGGAGTGCACAGTGTCCACATCAGGAAGATATTGGGAGGTGGTCACCTGGCCTAAGCTAGTACTGCGAGGTCACTGAGCAACGGCTTCCTCTGGATATAGCTAGTGCAGAGCACCAACAGATGTCTACACACACACACTGCTGCCTGATGGTGCAGCACAAGTGAGAAAAAAAAACAGAACACAGCAGCTGGAACCAGACGGACCCTCCTGTAATGCTTGTCCAACTCCCTGTACCAAAGAGGTGAATACTATGCTCACTGTATAGGATGAATGCTTCAAAAATTCAATCCATTACACACAGCAGGTACTGAATGGTGAATTCAGAGCTGTGAGGTAATACATTGATAACTGGTGATAAATTGATAACTGGTATAGGGTGAATTAATTAACAAATAGTTGTACAAGCAAACCATGAAATACTTCTCAGCAATACAAAGGAATTCACCACTGAGACATGCACCAGCTTGGATAAATCTCAATGCAGTATGCTGGGTAGAAAAAGCTTATCTCTAAAGGTTACATGATTCCATTTCTATGACATTTTCAAAAAGTCAAAACAGTGACAGAACAGATTATTGGTTTCCAGGAGTTAGGGATGGAGGAGGGCGGGTCTCAAAGAAAGAGCATGTAACCTGATTGTCTTGGTGATTATGTGAATTTACATCCGTATTTAAATGCACACAACTGTAAATCAAACAAGCTAATTTTATTGTATGTTAATTTAAAAATAAAAATGTAAACCCATTCTCCCTAACCCTACCAAGATGTCCACTGCTCCTGGTGCACCTGATGAAGGTGATACCTTCTCTGTCTCCACCTCGTCTTCTGCCCCATGCAGTAAAGCCCCTAATGGTCCATTCTTCCAATGTGACTCTAACCTGGTTATTCTGCACAGCATTCACCTGGTTCATGGGGAATTGGATGCCCACTTTCCCCACCATTGCTCCCAGGCTTCCCTCTCTTTCCTTGCTCTCCAACTGCATTTGTTCCAGCTGATCTGCCATTGTCAATGATATCCTGCCGAGGATCAGGCACCAGTCTGATTTTTGAAACCCAAAGAAAAGATTATAAACTCTTTCAAGACTTTTTTTACTTGTCTACATTCCAATTACATAGATTCTGTGGGGATGAGAACTCAGCTCTGTACAGCTTTAGCAGGGGTGAAATGTCAGTCTTCCCCGCTGGCAGAAAGCCTCGCATCTATGAGTTGTGACCTTGGAGCTCTCTAATTGGGGGGCTGTAGGGTCTTTTACATAGGTCTCTGGGGATGCGAGTGCTGGACCAGTTTGGCTACCCTTAGCAAGTCCTGCAGGGGTTTTGTCTAACATCTCTGTTTGAACTGAGAGTGCACTTGCCACTCTAAGTCCTTAAATTTGTTACCTTTGCCAAAATTCAAGGTCAACTGAAAAACGCCCCATTTAACCTCTGATTGTACCACCCCCAGGTAAGTTTCTGTGCCCTTTAAAAAGCCAACTATATACAGGAAAGTCTCTGACCAGAACTTGGCACAGTTAAATATCACTTACTGGCTTTTCTTACCTTTGTATTCTGGTTCATTTCACGTCTAGGAGTTTTTCATAAGCCCCACATCTGTAACTGGATAATTGAACAGGCTGAATTTACTAAGATATCTGCAGAAAATGGCGTTGCTCTTCTCCCACCATTGCCTCACTACATTTTTTAAGGTCGCATTTGCTTCAACTGATCAGATCTCATAAGAAGCTATTTACAAATCAACCACTCAGTTACGGATGGATGATCATGTACGCAATTGTACTTTAACTAGAGCTAACTGCAGCGATGTGACAGAGAAAATGTTACGTGTTCACCAAAATCATTTTGTTTTTCTGAACACACAGCCACTTTTCCCAGCCTTCTTTGTAGTTGGTTTGGGACACGTGACTAATATTTTCTAGAAGTAGAGTGGATGTGATAGGGTGATTTCTAGACTGAGGCAATGCAGATATAACTTTTGCACACTCTGTCTTGCCCATTGTGACCTTGGAGGCTACATGCTTGAGCTGGCATGCCCACATGATAAAGGTGTTCCTTATCCACATTGAAACTATAATGTGGGTACAAAGTAAACTACCTATGTTCAGCCACTGAAGTTTCTAGATGATTTATTATTGTTGCGGAGTTTAAAGTGTCCTAACTGACAAAAAAAGTTGAGTCTTTTTTGTTCTCTTTCTTAACGTCTCAGAGTGTTCTGAGGGTTTTCTCATCTGAAACTGTCATGGTTTTCAGAGTTAAGAAATTCACACTGAAACAGTTCTCTTTTGGTGGACAGCATCCTGATTTCCCTCTATGTTGTTCTGTCTCATTTCCCCGCATAATTCCTACTTCTTGCCTTTTGATTCTGCACTATGTGCCTGTGACAAGGCAGTTCAGGCAATCATTGCTCAACTGAACTGAGCTCTTTGTGTACCACCACACAAGTGAAGATCCTAATGAAGAATCCTTCGCACCCCACTCCTAGACTTGCACAACAGGTATTGACAACTTATTCCAGTAGGCGCTCTTACCAACAGTTTTTTTTCTTTCTTTCTTTCTTTTTTTTTTTTTTGAGACAGAGTCTCACTCCGTCGCCCAGGCTGAAGTGCAGTGGTGCGATCTCGGCTCGCTGCAACCCTCTGCCTCTCGGGTTCAAGTGATTCTCCTGCCTCAGCCTCTGGAGTAGCTGGGATTACAGATGCGTACCACCATGCCCAGTTAATTTTTGTATTTTTAGTAGAGACGGCGTTTCACCATGTTGGTCAGGCTGGTCTCGAACTCCTGACCTCATGATCCACCCGCCTCAGCTCCCAAAGGGCTGGGATTACAGGTGTGAGCCACTGCGGCAGGCCACCTTCAACGCTTTTCCAAGTCTTTCTGATTTTCTCTCTTAAAATTAACTAAATGTCTCTTCCCTTTTGCCAGGTAGGTACAATATAGACATTTCTCAAAGGGAACAGAATACACTGCAGTCCCATCATTTAGCATATTTCTCAGTAAAATGGGATTCACTGTGAGTGTGCAAGTGTGGGTACCTTATGGCAAGTGGGTTTAATTGGTATGATCAATTACAATCACATGTACCCATCCAACATCACTGGTCCTCATCCAACAACATACACAGACACTAAACTCAGTAGAATAGGGCTGGCTGCTGTGGGAGGAGCACATGCAGTATAGCTTGCAAAGATGTTCTTGGTCATTTGATCTCCTACAGATCCATCACTTTCTCCATGCTGTGAGATTCCTATCAAAGGTGCCAAAATAGCCTCATCCTGGGTACCCTACCAGTCTTGATCCTCAGGGCTTCTATCACTATTTCACATAAAATTGTGAACAGTCTGTGACTTTTGTATGAGGGGCTTACAAACCCTGGGTGCTCTTGGTTCTTGAACAAAACTGAGCACTGGTTAGGCCACACCCTTGAGTCTGGAGGAGGCAGAACCAATGTCTGGGCCCCTAAATTTTGCCCCTGCCCCTGCTGTCCTATGCCTCAGAAGCCCATCTTTGTTTCTCACACAGAAAACATCCTGATTCTGATTAGAAACCCTCTTACCTGAGTAGTTCCAGTAATGACTTTGGACCAAGAACCATGTGCACAAATTCATTTGCCTACAAAATGGCATAATCCCACCCATGCTGGTTCAATTATCAAAACATGACCTCACTGTAAAAGACTTTTTTTTTTTTTAAGACAAAGTCTCACTCTGTTGTCCAGGTTGGAGTGCAGCAGCTCAACCATGGCTCACTGTAGCCCCAACCTCCTGGGCTCAAGCAATTCCCCCAATCCCCTCTCAGAGGAGCTGGGACTAGCTGGGACTACAGGTATATACCACCATGCCCTGCTTTTTAAAATTATTATTATTAATTTTTGTAGAGATGAAATCTTCCTATGTTACTAGCACTGGTATCAAACTCCTGGGCTTGAGGGATCCTCTCACTTTGGCCTCCCAAAGTGCTTAGATTACAGGCATGAGCCACCACTCCCACCTGACCCAAGAGGCTTTCAGCTTCCTTTACATCTGAGCACTGGGCAAATACCCCATGGATAGGTCCTGCCTACTGGTTGACAAGAGCCTATTACCCACCCCCTGCTTCTAGCCTCATAAATTTCTGGAACCACACATGTGTTTCCCAGGCCTTCTTTGCCCACTGTGCGCTAATTGTTTCTTATCAATGTTAGAATTTGTTTGTTTTTGTTTTTATTTTTTTTGTTCAGGAGCATGCTTTCATCTATGTGTCATGAAGGTGATGGAGAAGTGAAGTATTCAAGCAAAGGGAAGGATGTCTTATCAGTTATGGAAGCTCAGACTGGCAGGGAAGTATCTGGGGACAGCGTGGTATTGCTAGCCCATGTTACCGAGGTGGAGATATTTATCTTCGCCTCAACTTAAAGCATTGGGGGAAACTAAATGTGGAGGTTTAGAATCTTGCTCTCTCCTTCTGAGGCACCCTTGGCAGATTGGTTAGGTATAAAAATGCTTCCTGGCCTCTGCTTCAGTGGCCACTCAGCTGGTAGCTACAGGATCTGTTCTGCAGCAGAGCATTCTGGGATAAGCAGTTCATTTCAATGATTTAATACAGATGGATCTTTGGAGAGTCTCTCTAGTGCTTTAACAAAAACCCTCCCTTTGCTAAAGGCTGATAATCATAAGTACTATATTGTTAGGGGACATAAACTCTGTCTTGTAACAAAGGACAGATTTCAGAAGTAAAAAGCTAGCTATGGAAGTGTCCTGTACCAGGGATACTGGCATACTTTTCTGTTTTAATAGAGTACTGAAGAAAACTCAGGTTCTGCCAATCGAGACAACAAAGAGAACAAATTCTTTTACAGGTCACAACTAGTTTCATCACAGGAAGCCAGAGCCAGGCAGTGGAAAGCTCTCCTAAAGTTTTCTTCTATGGACTGAATTGTGTCCCCCTAAAATGCACATTTGAAGCCCTACCCCCTAACCTCCAGTGTGTCTGATTTTGGTGATAGGGTCTTTAGGAGGTAAAGTTAATGAGGTAACAGGGGTAGTACCCTGGACCCATATGATTATTGTCCTTGCAGGAAGAAACACCAGAGATTCTTTCTTTCTCACACTAGCTTGCACAGAAAAAAGGCCACATGAGGACTTAGCAAGAAGGCAACCATCTACAAGTCAGGAAGAGAGGCCTCACCAGAAACCTAATCAGCTACCACCTTGATCTTGGACTTCCCACCTCCAGAATCATGAGAAAATAAGTTTTTGTTCATGAGAAAATAAGTTTTTGTTGTTTAAGCCACCCAGTCTGTGATAACTTGTTATGACAGCCTGAGAAAATTAATACAGTTCCCAAGCTTACCTGGGTATGTGATGCTGGAGATGATATGAAGCAGGCAGAAGCCTTGAAGGAGGAATAGATTTACCTGCACTGAATTATAGAAAATGGGAGGTGGCACTGGTCACTGGTATATGAGTTGGTTCTTTGAAGACTAATTGTGAATAAAGTTCAGCTGGCTTCCTCCACACTCATGCACGTACTCGAAGCCTGAGTAAAGGAGAAAACTGCAGTCTCCTCTGGTCCACGGTATTGCCCACATCTCATTGGCTTATGTTTGCAATGTCCATTTATCTAAACTGCCTGAATATCTATCAGCAATCCTTCTGCTAACAAAAGCAGCCTCTTCCCAATGTCAGAACACGTTATCCACCTACCTTAATGAGAATCAGTGTTCCTCGAAATCCAGTGTCATGGTCCCCCCTAAGGGAATAGGAATTTAGTTGAGGAAAGAAAGAAAAGAGGGAAAACAGACCTACTAGGCGTTCCTAATGTAGGTGTTGTTGGTGATGGGTTATGGGTTGAGTGGGGTGGAAGTGGGAGGGGATCAGCCCTTGGAACAAAGAGGAAAGATTAGGGAAGATACAATTGCTAGCTCAGCCATTTTAGACTGGGTTCAACTAGCCCTGTGACTTATTGTCTAAACAGTGGTGACTGGTGACAATGTGGGTAAATAGAGAAAAATGACACGTTTCATTTTTAACCACCTGTCTGTCTTATTTCCACCATCCAATAAATTTAGGATGTTTTGTGGACAAGTAACTTATTAGGAAGTATTATAGGATACTGAAGGATATTAGACTTCTACCTATGTGGAGTTTATAATCACTTTGAAATAAAATGAATCTAATACTAATCTGGTATCAATTCTGTATTAAGCATTTTTCTTTCTGTTATTTGTCATGTCACCTAATCCTCAAACATCTTTAGAATAGGCATCATCATCATCATCACCATCATCATCGTGGATAAAGTAACTGAGACTGAAAGAGGTTTAAGACTTGCCCAAGTTCACATAGCTTCAAATTTTTCCCCCTTGCAAAGTTTGTATTCCCTTAGGGAAGCTATCACAGTAGAACTGTAAGAATCTGACATTAACTCTGGTGTGAAGATCTGTCTTATTTCAAAGCTTACATTCATGCCCACCCCATCCACCCAGACTACACTGTGGTATTTACCCTCTCCTTCCATATAGGGGGGGTCTCCTGGACTTGATTTTGCCTTTACCCATCCCCTCTGTTTCACTCTGAGCAGTGGAAGTTTGACTTTGGGGAGCAGAGACAGAGCTCAGCTTTCTGTCCTGAAAGCAGGGTCATAGCTTTTGACTTCTCTCCAGCTTAAGATGTAGGCTTTCAATTTAGGGGTATGATATACCAGAACTTGATCCAGGCCATCCAGTTTAATTGCTAGCTGTGGTCTTGGAAGGCAAATCATCTTTCTGGACAGCATTGACCAATTCTCTATCACTACTCTTTTTCATTCTTCTTCCTAAAAAAGAATATAAATTTGAGCCCTGACAAAGTATCAAGAATTCAGGGGCAAGCAACAGATACTTTAGTCTCAGAGTGCTACACAAATACTTTCTGGTAAAGTCAACAATGAGCACACGTTATGGGAAGGAAGAAGAGGTGTGCTGATTATTTTGTTGAAAACTATTCCTGGAGAGAGGTGACTTTCTAATTCATCATGTGTAAAATATGGTGTCAGTTCTGCCTTTTTTTTTTTTTTTTCCTTTGGAGCTTCTCTAAAACAGAAGTTGCCTCTAGAAAACTGAGGGTAAAAAGAGAAGAATGTTCCCTAAGCTCCTCTTCTGGCTATGCACAGCTGAAACCCTGGGGGATGGATGGGAGATTCTCTTGCCATGTGTACCACCCTCAATTAGTCCCATGAGGGAAGACAGGATATAGCAATCTAAATTATAAGGCACCCACTGGGGAGAGGATGTCTGGCCATTCCTTTCCTGCCACTGGGCTCTATGTGTGAGCGGGTTTCTATGAACAGATGACAAGAACCACAGGGATTCTTGGGACTGGCACCAAAAAGGGGTCAGGAAGGCAGGTCAGAGAAGGTCAAGTTTCTACAACCAATATAGTTATCTGAATAATTAGATCAAAACTGTCAGGTATCCAATAGCTTGCTGCGGACCTAAAATTCCAGGATGATTCTTTTAACTCTCTGCTTTGCAAATGAAAACTGTTTATATTTTCCCTTCACCATCACAAGTATAAACAGGAAAGCGCACAGCACCCTGCGATACTCTGGTGCACCTGTGAATGGATCTTTTCTGAGAAATTAAGTTAACTGATAATTATTATTTGGATCATATTTCCATTTATTTAGATCTTCTTTAAACAATTTTTTTTAGAATACAAGTGTGACACTTTTTTGATAAACTTATTCCTAAGAATTGCATTTTTTGATGCTATTATAAATGGCATTATTTTCTTAATTCCATTTTGTTTTATTCATTGTCACTATAAAACACAATTTGTTTTTGCATATTGATCTCATATCCTACAAGCTTGTTAAACTCATTTATTATATCTAATAGTTTTTTAGTCAATTATTCAGGATATTCTGTTTAAATATTTTAGAGTAATCTATTTAAAAGATCATGCAAGTGGAAATAGTTTGACTTTTTTTCCTTCCAATCTGAATGCCTTTTGTTTCTTTTCATTGTCTAAATGCCCTGACTAAAAGCAGCTCTAGTAGAATATTGAATGGAAGTGGCAAGAGTGTATCTCTTTGTCTTGTTCCTGTTCTTTCAGGGAAATGTATTTAGTCTTTTCCCTTTAAGTATGATGTTGGCTGTGTATTATCATGTTGAAGAAGTTTCCTTCCATTCCTGACCTGTAGAGTGTTTTTAAAATAAAAGGTTGTTGATTTTGTCAAATGCTTTTCTCAGTCTGTTGAAATGGTCATGTGGTTTTGCCTTAATTCTATTGACATGTATGTTATATGAAATAATTTTTAAATATTAAACCAACCTTGCCTTCCTGAGATAAATCCCACTTTGTATAAATAAGTTTGAATTGTTACATCTTCTTGATAGATTGACACTTTTCTTTTTCTTAAATGTCCCTCTTTATCTCTAGTAACATTTGTTATTTTAAAGCATATTTCGTCAGTGTAAAGCCACTCAAGTTCTCTTAGCATAGTGTTTGTGTAATATATCTTTTCTCATTTTTTTTTTTTTTACTTTCAACCTACTGGTATCTTTGAAACTAAAATGTGACTTCTGTAGACAGTATGTAGTCCATAATTTTTTTCTGCCTAAAAACTGGATATTTTAGATGATTTCTTGTAGCAATTCTTGATGCTGCTTTCTCCCCCTCCCCCAACTCCAGGGCTTGTTGTTGCTTAATTGTTTGCTGTTTGTTTAGTGACTTGGCTGGACTATATCAGCAAAGTCTATTTCCCTGTGCAGCTTTTTATACTGATCCTCAGCCAGTGAAGCCTGGGGCATGGTTATAATACCCCTAAGCCCTTTCTCCCTTCCCCCAGAATAACAATGGTTTTAGCAGGCTTCTCTGACTTTCTTTCACTGATATATTAAGCTTCTAGCTGGTCTGTTGTATCTATTGACATCACACTCAACTGTTAGCCTCCAGTAACTGCTGGCTGAAATGGCCTATTGTTTTCAACAATGCCTTGGGTTATAAATTACTCCACAGTCCGATCCAATTAAAGTCAGGCTCCTTTGCAGGGTAATCTTTGAGACCAGTCTCTGAGACATGTTATAGCCTCAGGAGAGCTCTTTTCAGCCATCTCTTTTTCTGGTTCTTCTGTTAAACTTCTAGTTGGTCTACTCTTTAACTTATTGCAATCATGGAGCTACTAGCTTTTCTTCCTTGCTCACAACCTAAATCTTCATTGTTTTTGACAGTGCCCTTAGGCTTGAACATCTCTATATTTTGTTCCAAATAAAGTTAGCATACTTAGAGTTAGTTATAGAGTTCTCTGTTCTATAGCCTGTCTCCTCTCCTTGGCAGAAACTCTGTTCCACTACTCTGGAGATGGGGATAGAGATAGTAACCTACTTCTCTTGGAGTGATACCCCTGGTGTGTGAGTGGGATGCTGGACTGGGGTAGTAGCCACTGGTCATCTTGGTTTATTTCCAGTGTTGTGAAAACTCAGTCTTATGAGTAAGTTGAGAGTTATCGGGGTCCAGTATTCCTAATTTGCTGTTTCTGGGGTAGATTCAGTTACATTTGCCTGCAATAGAGTCTGTTCAACATATTGCTAGGATTGGGGTAGGGCAGAGTTTGGTTACGTATGCTGACAACCTGACTTTTCTGGGTAGAAACTGTAGTCATAAACTGGGATCTGGGATTAGAGGCAGCCCCATCCTCGTGGCTACATTCATCCAGAATAGAGTTTTTCTCACATTGAGCTGAGGGGTGGGTAGAGAAAACAGGCCGTGCCTTCAGGTCTTACCAATATTTAGAAGATTTTTTTCAATTTCTGTCTGCTCTTAGGACAATTTCCAGAGACTGGATGGTTGTTTTTGATTTTTAATGATCTCACCAGTTATAGTTGTTTCACTAGGAAATCTATGGTGCTTCTTATGCTGTCATTCTAGAAGAGCTTCTCCTTTCTTCCCCCTTTCCCCTCACTTTTGCTGCCCTTAGTTTGCACTTCTCATGGAAGCTTTGTCTCACATACACTTTCTGGGGACCTTATACTAAGAAATCATTTTAGAAAGAATGTTCTGACATCTGTAAGAAAGTACTGCATGAGTGGAAGTGATGCCGATGGTTGATGAAGTGGGCTGCTACATCTTAACCTGGACCACAAGTTAGTAGACTGTTGCAGAGCTCAAGTTGTTCTCTTACCATCCTCCCAAGATTGGCATTTTTACTCTGAGAGGGACTGGACTATCAGCCATCAGGTGATCATAAGGCTAAACGGGTTGCCATATACTCACAAAATTTGGAATTTTAGAGCAGGAAAGGGTTACCAGGTATGGACAGCATCTTTATTTTATAGATGAGAAAACTATAAAGGCTCAAACTATAAGGCTCAAACAGGTAATTTTCCAAAGCCAATCAGATAACTAATGTCTGAGTACATAAGTCTTTTGATTCTTCATTTTGGTCTTTCCACAAGGCACTATGTGAGACTTGCTCCCTCATTTCTTTTTAGAAAGAAAAGTACAATAAAATGCAAATAAAAATAAAACACCTATTATAAAGCAGCTTTCTATTAAAGGATATTCATATATTCTTTGAGAAAAAATAATCGACTCAATATGTGTACCCTTCTTGTAGTCCACCTGATAGTCTCATTTCAGTGACTGAATCTAATCTATTCTGGAGTCAAACTGAAGGAAAAAGAAAAAATATTCATATGTGAACTTTTAATTCTATTGCCTCACTATGAATTTGCATCTAGGTGTTAGCCCTTCTCAACCATTCCTTTCTCAATTTCCCAGTGATGTTAGCTGAGTGTGTGTGTGTGTGTGTGTGTGTGTGTGTGTGTGTGTGTGTGTGTGTTGGCTGGGGGGAAATCCCCTGCACTCACTAATATGAACTAAGAAAAAACAAAACACAAAGCATCTTGCAGTTTGATGTAAAAGAGATGTTGGGGTAGTATATGGATGATGTATTATTCTCATTTTTTACTGAGTATCAGTAATCATTGCAAAAGTGTTGTATCTTATCCTAAAAGTATAAGAAATGTAATTTAAAATAAAAACTAACATTTAAGTGCCAACTACATGCCAAATTCTTTACTTGCTTTATCTCATTTAATGTTCCTAGCTACTCAATGAGGCAGATATTTTCCTCTCTGTTTCAGATAAGGAATTTCTGAAAGGTAATTAACTTCACCAAGGTCACCTGGCAACAAGTAGAAGAGCGAGAAGTAGGCTCATAAAAATTATCTCAAAATTCTTTCATCAACATTCTATGATGCTGCTTCTTTTTAACAACAACAAATGTTTTTTAAATGGAAAATCTGGATGTGCCATGGAGTTTTACAAATCCAGGTATTTAGGTGTATTTATGGAACTTGTTCTTTGGCTTCCTGTTTTTTAAAAATTATAGTGTAAAGTTCATAGAGATCTGGAACTTCATTCCTTCTATGAATGACTGCTCATGGAGTCTGGTAACATGCAAAAGTTTCAGTGTTTGCTACCATCCTTGTTGTTACCACCTCCTTCTTATCCTCCTTCTTCCTCATGTATAGAGACCATATAAGACAGTTTGCTGGACAATTCTGGTTTGTGCCTATAGCTTTGCATAATTATCATTATTATTCATTCCCCAAAGTGTCCTGGTTTAGATAATTTCATGGTCACCTTAACGTTCATAACTGAAAGTGTCAAGGGTGTTGTATTGCAGGTGCCCACTAGGTGTCAGCAGTGTGACCTCCAGAGAACCCTCAGAGAAAGGATTTCATTACAAAAGTCAAATCAAAGCAAATAATTAAGTGTAGTTCCAGAGCTACCTGAAGCCGTGGTCATTCAAAACAAATGAGAGGACAGGGGGAGGAGAGAAGGAACAAGCGCAGATCAGGTAGCTCCTTCTTGGGATCTGATAGACAGGGAAGGTTTCCTTTCCTCATTAGAAGGACTCCAGTGATCTGTGGAATGAGCACTACAGTATCCTTTTAAATTTTCACCCACAAGACAAAGCCAGTATGCAGTGAAATGAGGAAATGCCTTTAAGTGAAGAGATTTTTATTTCTTTCATAAATTGCTCAAGCCATGATTGGATGGAGGTCCTCCAGGTAGCTCCATGGACTTTAACAAGTCTATTGAATAACTGCATTTGAGTTGGAAGCTGAGTTGCCTGAACACAAACGATTTAAACCAGATTAGAAAGTGTCTACATACAGAGCTCAATAACACACTCGGAATCTTCTTGGGAGGACCCACAGACTGTACCTATATTACTTTTGACCCAGGTGGATGCAGTCACTCTCTAGAAGCCTCCCCGACTTCAGATGTGTGGCACACATCCACACAGGGGTGTAGGTAGGAGAAGCCCACAGGAATGGCTCTGCAGATGTTCGTGACTTACAGTCCTTGGAATTGTTTGCTACTGCTAGTGGCTCTTGAGTGTTCTGAAGCATCTTCTGATTTGAATGAATCTGCAAATTCCACTGCTCAGTATGCATCTAACGCTTGGTTTGCTGCTGCCAGCTCAGAGCCAGAGGAAGGGATATCTGTTTTTGAACTGGATTATGACTATGTGCAAATTCCTTATGAGGTCACTCTCTGGATACTTCTAGCATCCCTTGCAAAAATAGGTAAGTCCTTAAACACCTGGTTTGGTGAGTTATCTTTTTACATAAGATAGTGAATGTGAAAATGCCTTATAGATAACGGGCTAAGAGGATTTTAACTGTTACTGCTATTACATTAAAAATTCTCTTCCCTTCAGTCAAGGGAAAGTCATAACTGCATTTTACTAAGCTATTTAATACTTTGAGATTGCTCTTTGAAATTTGAGAGCATACTTCTGGGTACTGGGCTGTGTTGGTTTCTTCTCATTTCAGGGTGACAACCATGTGACATTGTTGACATGCAAAACTCTCAAATTCTATGCTTTAAAAATATAGAGAATAAAGCACGTAGACCTGGGCATGATGCAAGGTGGAAATTTCAGGAAACACATAATGTTTCTTCTGTAAAATATTCTTGGCTGTGTAATTGTGGGCTTCATCAATCACCCCATTGTTTATTCTTTAAAAGTAGCGTGTGCTTCTTGCAAATTGACAGAAAGCAAAAAACAAGAAAACCATAGGCAACTTGTATTACTCAGTGATGGGATGTCGGGGCATATAAGATTATATCTGTCAGTAAAATATTAGTTTATACCTACCAAGTGGGGCCAGTGAGGCACCTCTAATTTCCTTTGTGAAATAAAGTGAATCCAAGTTAATAGATTAAATTCCAATCAAGGGATCTTTGTGTCAAAAACCAAAGAGGTGGCTATACTCTGTGACTGTTTAATCCCTAACTGCTCCTCCTTATCTCTTTAAAACCAGCTTATTCTAAAGTGGAAAATTAATATAATTATCTCAAATGCTAAGCACAATGCCTCCTTTGCCTCAGCTATAAACTTTATGCTATTTGAGTATGTAGATTGCCTTATTGAGATAGAATCAATGAAACATTTTAATTCTCATTTATTTATATGTGTATGTTTTCTCTAGGATGGGTGTGTAATGTGGGTTGAGCCTTGAGGTCTGGCAGTTACCTTCTGTGTGCTCTGGCTATTCACTTAGCTCCCTCCCTGTGGGTGTGGGGACACTGGTATAGGTGTCCCCTTTAGACTCTCCTTTATAGTTGCTATTCATTTTGAGCTAGTAAAGTGTGAATATTAAATAGGAATGTTAGTTTGAAGAAGTCTTGTGCAATTTGCTTAGTGAATAAGTTACACAAAGGATCTTACTATATTTTTAAGAGGTATACAAGTAAAAATGGCTTTCCAAATGGATAACATTCTCAGTTCAGAACAGTCTAACATCTTTTGTGAAATCATATAGACACTGATTGTGTTCAAGGTGATCTTACTTGGTACTTGAGTTTTCCTTTTAAAACAATATGCTAGAGATTCTGTGTTCCCTGCTCCCCATTCCACAACCTGGCTTCCTCTTCACAGAAATGGCTCAAGTCAATCTGAGTACCAGGAAACTCGTCCTGTCACTGACTAGCTAGTTGCTCTGTTTATCAGTAAACATCTAAACGCAGAAAGGCTGCATTTTGTCTTGGTTTTATATTTGTGTAAAACCTAGCTTGTTTTGTAGAGGCATTGTATGCACCCAGATTCATTCTGTCTAGGAGCGAAGAACACTGTGAAAATACGATTATTCATAGAACTGTTGGTTTAAATGTTCTTGATTTTCATGATGTAATTTAACATACTTTAGAAAAAAAGAGTAGGATATCAGAACACGCTTATTCGAGTACAATTTCATATTTACTAGTCTTCAAGAATTTAGATTATTTTTATATTCCATATGGACATGAGGAGTGAGGAGATAAAAAGGCCATATTTATTGAATATATACTATGTGCCAATTACTGGGCTGGTAGTTTTATGTATAAGGGCTTGTTTACTAGGGCCAAAATAATAATGATGATGATGATTTATAATTTCAGCACTTAAGAAATGCATATGAGTTTTTAAAGATTATGTTATAAAACATGAATCAGAATAAAATTAATAATCATTATTATGATTCATTCTTTTATTCCTCATTCCATCAAGGTACATTTTCTGAGAACCCATGAAATATGTGGAAATGACCATGGTCCCTGACCTCAAGGGACTTGGTCTAACGGGGAAGATAGGTTAACTTAGTACTTATTGCCCATAGATACTCTGACAGAAAAACATCAAAACTCTCCCCCAATCCTTTTTAAAACACCCAACTATATGCACTTATAAAACAAAGATAATGTATAACAAAGATAATACAAAGCCACCTCAGACTTTGTGGTTTATCTTCTACTTCAGTTCCACATCTTAGAACATCACAGATGAATGTTTCTTGAATCTTTGGGAAGAACATAATTGTAGGGCGTTCTTTGACTTTCAGACAGGACTTTTAATATTTGTGTCCATTTAAGCTCTAAGGCCTGAAACTGTAAATTTTAAATGATTGACTCTATTGTCCATCATGAAAGGGAGAAGTTTTAAAATGTGAAAGGCATGTAGCATTTCCCTTTACAAGGCCCTACTTATAGGTGTGTGGCCTCTTCCTGCTACAACTGTGTAGAGAGCAACTTGGCTTAAGGCAGGTGAATGTTGGAACCATTTCAGGAAACTGGATTCCTGGAAGCAGGGCCAAACTGGGGAGCCACAGGGCCTGAGAAAATCACACTATGGGCTCTTCCACCTCCTTTACATATTGAAAAAAGTTAAGTTTGGTTAAAATAAGCACTAACTGAAGAAGGAGGAGAAGGAAAACGGTAAGGAGAAAGAGAAGAAGGAGGAGATGGATAAGGAGAAGGAGGAGGAGGAAAAAGGAAGAAGGAGGAGGAAGAGAGTAAGAAGGAGCAGCAGGAGTTGGACAAAGAGAAGATGAAGAAGGAGGAGGAGAAATAGGAGGAGAAGAAGAAATAAGTAAAATAAAGAGGAGGAAGAGGAAATGCAGAAATAAGCAGTGATTAGAAAATGATGAGTTCAGTGCTCCAGAAGAGGTGCTTACACCAACCCTGAAGCCAAATGAAAGTGGGGATGGTATTCCTTGGTGATAATTATACCCTGTTGTGTTAACTTTCTTGCTTATAGTGAATGGAGAAGTTCAAAGCCATGGTCAGGGAAGCTCATATCATCTATGGATGGGTGAATCTAACAATTCCCAAGGAGATATTTGCTGGCTCCCCATGGCCTATGGCTGGAAGTCCACCGCCTTCCTTAGGTTTGAATTCAAGGTCTTCCATTATTTGTTTCAAAATCATTTTCCAAGTCCTCTCCTGACACTTTTCCCAGTTCAAAGGTTGCTCCAGCCAGGTGGATCCCCTCAATGAATGTCAAAGATATCTGGCTGGGCCATTTCTTCCTCTCTTATTTCACTCTTGATGTTCTCCCCACCTAAAATTTCTCCCATTCTGTCACCCAAATATGCAAATCCTCATCATTCTCCAACAATCTGTTCAATCTCTTGTCATGAAAAAGCTTCTCTGATAAACATTTAACTGTTCATTCATTTATACACTCAGCAAATAAGCCAGCTGTTGTGGACAAGATACTGTGCTAAGCATTTGGGGACATATGAAGATGTAAATCATTCTGCCTGAGTCTGGGGAGTTTCCACATTAGTAGGAGACATGAATCATGCACAAAACATAGTAGACAGGGATTATTGTTATTAGACGGAGTGAGATAAAATGTTTTATTATTAGTAATTCAGAGGAAGATATGAACTCAGGAAGGAGCTAGGGAAAGCTAAGCCTCAAAGGATGAGCAGGACTTAAAGGGACCAAGGAAAAGGACAATCCAAGCAGTGACAACGGAATGAGAAGACAAGTAATAGGCCTTCAGAGTGACAAGGTCCTTTGGCTGAATGCAGGCTACATAAAGATAGTGCAGAGTGTGTGGGAGACAGACTTGGAGAGAGCCCTGTGGTGGTCTCCTGAGCTCTGAACTCTCACCATGTTTGTTGATATGTTCAATATACCCTTCATTATATACTTACATGTCATCTTCTTCTTTGTTCATGTCTTGTTTCCAAAACCTTATCAATAGTGGGAATTGCAGTTGTCTATCTCTTTGGTCTTCCACCTGGCGGTACTTAACATCGTCTTTGCACAACTAATACCCTTGGTTTACAATCCAGAAGATGCTTTGTGTGCCTTCAGAATCTTAGGTGGGAATTGAGACAATCAGAGACCCATGGTGTAGAAAAATCATCTGGCAGTAGAGTGTGGTGAGACTGGAGGTCAAGAAGACAATGCAATCATTAAGATGAGAAATGGGGAAATCCTAAATAAAGGCAGTGGCCAAAGAAATGGAGAGGAGGGGATAGATTTTAGGTGTAGTGAGTGAGAGTCATGACATAAGAAATAAATACAGAGCTGAATGCATGAAGGGTCACTCATGAGAATGCGACCTGATTTCCCTCTTCAGTGGCTGACCAGATAGCAATGTCATTGGTTAAACACAGGAGACAAAATAAAGGACTTTTAATTTTTGTGTATGTGTTTGGTGAAGAGGGGAATGAGGTCAGGTAAGTTTGGAACAAGCTGAGGTTTTGGTGACTATGATAGATTCTGCATGAACTTGAAAGCTGGGCTTGCACGAGTGCAAAAGTTTCACCCTCGTTTCTCCTTTTCCCTCATGCACCCTCGCAGGTCCCTGTAAGATAGGAAAGCAGGAAGGAGGATGGGGGAGGGGGCAGCTGGCTGTGAATGATTCTGTGACCTGCGCCGAGCTGGGCATGTTACCTACTGATCTTATTGGCGACCCTCATGACACTACCAGTTCCTGCTACAGATGGGACGCTGAGGCTGAGATGCCAGTCAGCTTGTCCACGGTCCTGTCTGCTTGACTTTAAAAGACCTCAGGTACACCCAGACCGTTTCGTTTGCAAGCACCTAACTGCTCTTCGCTGTTCTGCAGGCTTCCACCTCTACCACAGGCTGCCAGGCCTCATGCCAGAAAGCTGCCTCCTCATCCTGGTGGGGGCGCTGGTGGGCGGCATCATCTTCGGCACCGACCACAAATCGCCTCCGGTCATGGACTCCAGCATCTACTTCCTGTATCTCCTGCCACCCATCGTTCTGGAGGGCGGCTACTTCATGCCCACCCGGCCCTTCTTTGAGAACATCGGCTCCATCCTGTGGTGGGCAGTATTGGGGGCCCTGATCAACGCCTTGGGCATTGGCCTCTCCCTCTACCTCATCTGCCAGGTGAAGGCCTTTGGCCTGGGCGACGTCAACCTGCTGCAGAACCTGCTGTTCGGCAGCCTGATCTCCGCCGTGGACCCAGTGGCCGTGCTAGCCGTGTTTGAGGAAGCGCGCGTGAACGAGCAGCTCTACATGATGATCTTTGGGGAGGCCCTGCTCAATGATGGCATTACTGTGGTGAGATGTCATGTGCCCGCCCGGCTTCCGGGGGAGATGAGGGTTCGGGGTGGGGCTGGGGACCGGAGGCTGTGGAGACGGCTCCAGTGTGGCTCAGCGCAGCAGGACAGGGATGAGCTTCAGCCCATGCGGTGTGGTCCGAGTTCTGGTGAATTTCCTTGGGATCTGCACTGCCTACATAACGGTTCACTCACACTGCTTGTCATTCACAAACCAACTAGTTTCGTTAAAGAGTGGAAAAGGAGAGAGAACGTATCATTCTTGAGTTAAATGTACTTTTTCACTTAGCAAACAGAAACTGTTGCTAATGGCCCTTCTGGGGTTTCACGACAGCTAAAGCAGAAACTGATGTTTTTATTTCCTCTCCATCATCAGACCTCACTCTTATTCCCTTTATATGCATTTTTGTTTTGTTTTTAACATACCACATTAGATTAGGTGAAATAAAAGATAAGGGTCAGGGAAGAGATGACAACAGATTTGTGAAAATGTGTTAGTTTTTGTATCACTTAGTTGCAGGACTTGTATGGAAAAAAGTGAATGAGGCGTTTTTGCTTATGAGCCTTTCTGGTGGGAAACTGAGAAGAACATACAGGCTTGAGCAACACCCAGCATTAAGGCTCAGGGGATGTCTGTAGGCTGGGGGTGCTGGAATATTGAGAACTAGCCAGTCCCGTTGCTCAATTTCATTAATTACTAAAAACCTTCAGCAGTTGTTAGACAAGAAGACTTTTATACATACTTTCATATACTTTTCTTATTTTTAAATTTCTATCACAGCACATAAGTAATACTAGAATACATTTTCACTGTAAGAATCAAACAGTACAAAACTATATAGCATGAAACACAAAAACTTCTGCTTGCCCTCACCTCCTCCTCTATGAAAGAGGCAACCACTTTTATCAGCTTGACCTTTTCCCTCCTGTATTTTTTATATGCATATACAACATTTTTGCAAATCTTTTATCATCTATGTGTGTGTGATCTGTATTTTTTAATATAAAGTGGGTGTATTTTATGTATTGCTTAGATATAACAAGTCTTTCCGTGTCTTGTTTTTTTTTTTCTTTTTTTTGAGACAGAGTTTCACTCTTGTTGCCCAGGCTGGAGTGCAATGATGCAGCCTCGGCTCACTGCAACCGTGTCTGGCCCTCTTTCTATGTGTTTTCAGCTATTGCATAGTATTGCATAAATTAAGTTTACAGTAACTTATTTAGCAGTTTCCTGATGAATGCGTCATTCAGGTTGTTTCCAATGTTTCATTCTTACAAGCAATGTTGAAATGCATATTGAATATTCTTTTTTTCTGCATGCCTCTCTCTTTGCATTCGTATTTTTACATGATGTTTTCTTAGAAGTGAAATTTCCAGTTTAAACAGTATGTACATTTAACAATTTAAAATGTGCTGCTGTTTTAATCAGCTCCTATCTGCCTCCTTGGTAAATGAGAGATTCTCACTCTAAGGTTATAGATGGCCAAACACAGACACCCAACACTGGGCAGATGAGACTGACAACAGTTTATCAGTCACCTGTACTTGCCAAGGGGAGGAGGATGCCACATGCCCCGCAGGACCACACAGAGGCTGCGCTTGGGAACGGAATGAACAACCAGGAGCTGTGGGAGGCAGGCTTTGTGGTAACAAGAGGGTGAGGTGCTCCCTGGTTCTCACAGGAGGAGATGATTGAGTTGTTGGAATAATTTTGCAGGTTGGCAGGGACCTAAGACCTTCTACTCAGGAAGAAGCAGGAACTGTGCCTGGTACCCTTGATAAGGAGGGTGGTTTGGCTGGGGCACCTTATCCAGGGATCGGCGTGGGGAGGGAAACTTGCATGTAGACCAGTTGAGGTCCTCATAATTTTGCCAAATATCGTGGCATTACATAATATCAAACCTTAATTTCAGGCCCTGGAACACAGTCGTCAAGATTTTCCAGAAAGCCTTTATCAGCTTATACTTCCTTAGTGTATTGCACCCATATTTTCTTATATCTTTGACAAGGGACATTGTTTCCTTAATGTTTTCTAATGCCATGAGCAAAAAGGATTTCTCATGTTTGTTTTAATTTGCATTATAATAGTAAGCAACTTTTCAGCAACTGCAAATCATGACTCTGTCACATGCTGTACATTGAAAGCTGATGTCCTTTCTGGGTTGACAAACTTAAAAAAATACTGGACACCAAGTTAAATTTAAATTTCAGATAAACAATGAATAATTTTTTTTAGTATAAGTATGTCATATCCCAATTTTTATATGCAAATGTTGCGTCTTGCTCATTTTTCTTCACTTGCTTAAAAAAAAGATTTATAGGAATTCATTAAATTATCTTACCTTTAAACTTTTCAATGTCCCATAAAGACCAAATATTTTCTTCCATTCTATTATTTAAATTTTTTTAGATTATGGTATATTTTACCCTATAAAAGTTCTAAATTTTTATATAGTGAAACCTGCTAATGACTCTTTTTTTGCTCCTGGGTTTCATATTTTGCTTCCAGAGATTGTGTCTAACCAAAAGACATGCAAACATTCTGTTTTTAATTTTTTTCCCATTTACAATTTACTAATTCATTTGGCAAGCAAGATCTTTTTTTTTTTAAACTTTATGCAACAATAGTACAGAGAGGAAAAGTCCCCCTTTGAAAAATAATCTGTGCCATACCCATGGATTTCCTAAGCGAAGGAGGCCCATACATGAAGCCGGACGTCAAATCATTTATTCATAGCGAGAATCCCTAACTTTTGAGGCAAGGCACTAGAATCATCAGGCTGGTGCATTCTACCCTTGCGGGCAAGCTTCACAAAAAGCCACATTGTCAGGAAGCTGCCCGGGGAGTCTGGACTCCAGACTGTCATAGGATTCAGAGATTTCATTTCTCAGAGTCTGGTCCTCAGGCCAAGTGTTTCTGCATCACACTGGTGGGACTGATGAGTCTTCGGATGTCCAGTCCCATTTCATACCCTCTGACCCAGACTGTCTGGGAGTTGAACCTAGAAACCTGTGTTATTAAAACCTCAGATGACCGCTGAAGTTTGAGAACTATGGATTTATTGCCTTTAGGTTGAGAGAAACTGATATATGTTGATATAAAATGATGATACGCCTAGAACAAGGACCTTATCCATCTCCCCAGACGACACTGGACTAGTCTCTGAGATCCCCTTTCCCCAACCCATTCCTTCTATAAATACTGTCATACTTTCAGTTTTGTTACAAATGAGTAAGTGTCGTTGTCTGGGAATCCATTCCATCTCTTAAGGTAGCCCCTCTGACCCATGATGTGTCCATTTCCTAGTTCATCTCCCAGAGATAACCTTCTTTCACTCAGATCCAAGTTTTTTGGAGGTTATTTGGTTACTCTCACCCGCACTACTGACAATGTCCTGGAGGGTGTTTATCTGTGACAAGACCAGGGACACCCCTTGGAAATCCATTCTGAAGCAATTATTCAACCTCTCCTTCATAAATTATTACAGAGGTCAAGATACTACTGGATAAATGCCATCTCTTTAATTTTCACAGCATATTCTTTATTCATCAAAAACTCAGATATAATCTACAAAAGTTCTTGCCAAGGCAGAGTCTTTATCAATTACCAAGGAAAGCATTTGACTCCTTCCTCGAGCTTGAGAATCTGACTTCCTCCTGAGTTGTCTCTAGATTTCACATGGAGAGCCAACTCTGGCTTGGTTTCTGGTTGGGGTTTGTTTGTTAGCAACATGTGTTTGACTTCCCCAAAGTTTAATTGCTTTGGGGGAGACATTTATAAGAATGATCATTTCAGGATAAAATCATAATTTTCAAGCTACCGGAGTATCTGCTGAGGACACTGCTGTGACCTCTGCTGGGTAGAGCTGCTGTTGCGTTGGCTCCGTGGGGTTGTCCACACTTCAATCTTGGGCCACTCTGTGGTCACCCACAGCACAGTGAGTATTAAGTGTGCACTGGCACTGCTGGGTCCCTAAGTGAAACCAGAGAAGCCCCAGGGCCATATTTAGAACACAGCTGAAAAGGAACGGGTACTTGCTGCCGTCCAGTTGTATTTTGAGCTAAGGGCCTTGACCTCACCCTTTCATTGAGGAAGGAGCCTTCTTGGGGGCAGCAGTCACAAGCATGCCTTTTCGGCAAGGAGGCTGAGTCATCCAGAAGGTGGCCTGTGATTGTGGGTTACATGCGACAATGCTGCAGATCTTCATCCACGAAAGAGCTGCCTTCCCACCAAAGAGAAGGGGTTGCTCCCAACAGTCGAAATATTGATGAATCTGATTCTCCAGATCTCTTGTCCCACTTTTTTCTCCCTCTTGCTGAATATTTTAGGTTATGACACTAATCACCAGAACACACATACGCTTAATGGTAGGCAAAAGGAGGGAGACAAAACCCAGATAGCTTTAGTGTCCTCACCCGCCACTATACACAAATGGTTACAACGTGAGAAGATGGATACAAAAATTAGCTTGACCTTAGTAACTATCTCACCATGTACAGCATATATATATATATATATATATATATATATATATATATATATACACACACACAATATACACACACATGCACATATATACATATATAATATATAGAAAAATATCTCATATATATTTATATATTAACATATTAGCATATATAAACATCATGTTGTACAGCTTAAATATATACAATTTTTTATTTTAAAAAAAGAATGTTTCTAAAATTGCATAAACAATATCCCTAGTTAAATCTCATGGCCAAAATCACAGCAGGAAGACAGGTGCATCTACTATGTCACTTTTGCATTTATTAGTGTTTTATTAAACCCTTTGCTTTTACTAAGAGGCATGACCAAGTGCCCTTACTTCATGAATGAAGACAATAAGGCAAAGGAGGTTAAAATAAACTGCACAAGGACACACTGCCTGAACAATGACAGAGCAGACATGGGTGTGCACAGCTCTCCCTCCTCCCAAACTTTTTCCTTTTTTCCTTACCTTTTGAATTTTCCACTCATGCAACTGGGAGTGACAAGAGAGAACCCACATGCTACCGATGAGGAGACTGGACTTAAGTCCAGTGAGTGAAGCCAGTGTTCTTTCTGCAAAACACTATGGCTTGAGGCAACATTCTGATCCTGTTGTGCCTCCTCTTGCTGTAAAATTGGGATAATGACATTCTTCAGCTCATAGGCTCACTGGAAAATTTATATTCAGCTCTTAGCAGAGTGAATGCCCAACCTGGAGTAAGCACTCAATGAATGCTGGCCATGACTTTGTATTGAAGCAGCTCCCGGACACTGTTTAGTGGTCGGCTCATTCTGAACAAGCAGCTGATTTTAAATATGGCACCACCTCACAGATGGGAGGGCGGATTGTTCTTAGATTTATAATCTGCCTTCGTTTTCTTGGATCAGCTTGCTGGATAAGCAACAAAGTGAGGCCACCAAGCTTTCTATCACCCCTAGCTCCTTATCTCCTCTACCTCATCAGAGAGGTCAAAGGCCCAGACAGGCCAGGGTTGAAGCTGGAACCCAAGCAGCCTGACTCCAGGGTGTCTCTGCTCTTGACTGCCACCCGGTACTTCCCCTTTTCCTCATCCCTCTCTCCCCTCCTACTCTTGCTCCCTCCTCTGGTGACATCTTCCTGGCTCTGGATGCCATTCTCTAGGAGGATAGTGGGAGGGGAAGTGGAGCTAAATGTTCTGAGCACTGGGCCATTCACCTTGATGGGTGCTTCATGCCATTTTCCTTATTTAAGCCTCATGGCACCTTAATGAGGTGGTGATAGTACACAGTGGTTAAGGACAGAGACCCCCTGGACCCAGACTGTCTAGGTCCACATCTCTGTACTGACCCTTCTCGGTCCTTCAGGCCTCTTGGGTGACTTAGCAGATCGCCATGTGCCTAAGTTTCTTCACTGTTATTTTTGTTATAAAGACACAGATTCTCATAGAAGTCATTTATCTATTCATTCACTAGAGTTTATTCTATGCAGCTCAGTATCCCAGAGACAGAGTGAAAAGTCATACTCACTGCTTTGCCCAGCCAGCAATTCCCTTTGGGTGAGGCAATCAGTGGCAACAGTTTCTATCAGAGACCATTGACCTTTCATGCAGTTTGCAATTTGCCCTCTATTTATTGTGGATTCTTGCTGCCAGCATTAGATTCTATATCTCCTGATCCCTCATGCTAGAATTCCTTTGCCGTCTTCTCTTCTCATCTGTCTGTCCCTGTAGCAACATAACTTTGCTGGCTAGTTGCCTGTTGGCTCTCTTAATTTCTCTCCATGCCATTCCCTCCTGCAGTCACAGGACTCAGCATCTAGAATGGAGCATTGCGGAGGGGGCTGAGTCAAGGGCTCTAGTGGAAGAACGAATGCAGCAGGAAGAGTGAATAATGATGAGGCGGCAAGCAGTGGGGACTAGAAGAGGTGGGCAGGGGCCATGTTGGCCCTGGGGCTGGCCTGCTGCCCAGGTCTCTGTTTCCAGTGACTGAAGCCCTCTTTCCTCAAGCCCCCAAGAGGGAGCAAACTGGGGTGATTTTCCTCAAATTAACTGTCACCGCCAAACTTCAGAGTTGCTTCCTGAACCTAAACGCTAAGGGTGGGATAAAATCAGGGGCAGGCATGGGCAGAGGGAAGAGTCCCAGGGTCCTATCTCTCTTTCCCCACACCTTGTCATGCACGTGTCCTGCACCCCCACTGTCCTGGACACAGGGCACATGAGGGTGAACCATGTATCCAGCCTATTCATTTGAGGGCAAATTTTCCTTCATGATTCCTCCTGCTTTATATTTTCCTGCCTCAAAAGGGACCCTTACTCTATTACTTCTTATTCAAAAAGTAGTAAAGCATAGCCAAGAACATGGATGGGAAGCCATATGCTTCATTGCAGGTCCTGCCTCCACTCCTTGCAAGCTGAGTGACTTCAGGTGAATCACTTACCCTCTCTGGGCCTCAGTTTCCTTTCTGTAATATGGAGATATGGTTGATGGAGGGTTAAAATGGATTGATACACGTAATGCATTCAAAATAGCACGTGGCACAGAGTGAGCCCCTGTGTTTGGTGTTATTCATCCAAGTCCACCTGCATGAGTACGTCTGAGCCACAGAGCTCTCCTGACACCCTAATGATGCCACATCTTCGTGTCTGTCTATCTGAACGTTGCAGTCTCAGCTTTTCCTAAAGAAGAGCTGTATGTGCACTTGAACAGCATCTTGAGGGGAGAGTAGGCATCTTTTCCTTGTCTTCTTTATATTTTCTTTCATTTTATTCTGATTCCAAGGATGGGAGCCAAGAGGAGATAGCTTTACCAAGAGACAGTTTCCTCTGGCCAAGAATACAGGGATCTCACTGTGTATGGGGGGCGTGGACCTACAAGTTGCACGATCTTGGGACCCAATCCTTTTGTGCCTCAGTTTCCACATATGTAAGATGAGAATGATTAATCTGACTTCAAAGGGTGATTGTGAGGATGTTGTGAAATGAGACTTCGGATGCCTGGCACAGGGCAGGTGATACACAAATGTCTTCTTGCCCTTCCTGTGTGCCAGAGATAGGTCCACACAAGAACAACCATCTGCCATCTGCCGGGTGTCTGTCAGGCATAGAAATGGAGATTACGCCTAACCTTCAGGCAGAAAGGGCCATGCAGCCTTGATTGGTTGGCTTTGGGTGCCTAGGGAGTGAACTCCACAACCCTGCAAAGTCTCAGCAAGTGCTTTATCTGTGAGGCTCTCCCCTGGGGCTGCTTCTGACCTTCTGTTGGGGAGGGCAGGAGTCTGGTGCCCATCCAGCCCAGACATGGGTCCCAAAGGATTCAGGCATTTGCCTTCAGACATGCACTTTCAGCCAAAATATTTGGAGGTTTTCACGGTGAACTTCTCAGCTCACAGCTGGTGTGTGTGTGTGTGTGTGTGTGTGTGTCACAGGCAGAGGGAGAAGTAAACCAAGAGAGAGAGAAACAGAGAGAGAGATGCAGCAACCACTATAGCTTGTGATGAAGAGCTTGGACTTGGCTGGGGAGGTGGGAGGACCTGGGAGAAGTGAGGAGCAGATCAGTGCAGGTCCCAGTAAATGAAGGAGAGTGTTGCAGGGGGCAGAGGTTCACCAAATCTGACTCCTAACCTTCCACAACAGACAACCCCTTTACTTCCTGCACTTGTGGAGTCTAAGCCACAGACTTGCCCTTTAAGGAGCAGCCTGAGGGGTGTGGGCTAATCCTTGGGAGGCATGCTAGAGCAGGACAGGGCTGGAGGGGCACTGTATTATTTCATTGCAATGCCTCCCATTTGATTCATCAAACACCTGTTTGGTTCATTTTCTTCTGGCTAAATAAACAGAATGGTTGAAGTTTGAATTGTACAAATTGGCTTTCAACTAGACTACACTGTGAGCTACCTAGGAGTAATTAGAACTCACTTCAGGTCACATGCACAAGAAAAAAGAAAAAGCCTCTCGTTATCAAGTTGTCTTTTCTTTGTCAGGAGATGGGGTTGAGCAGCTATGGAAATGGATTTGGAAGAGAAACAGGGAGAAAAGCAATGTCGCTTTAGCTTTTTAGGGAGTAATCAGAAAGAGGGCAGAAAAGCGCATGGGAGAAGTTCTCTCCCGCCAGCCTTGCTGAGTGCCTGGGATGCAGAAGCAAACAAGCTTCATCTCCTGCCTTTGAGGAGCCACAGCTATGAACACATGACTTATTTCTTTTTGTTTGTAGATTATTCCTTTTAACCATGGACCTGCTTGTTCTGTATTTTATTAGAATCCTTTCTAGCCACAGAGAATTCCTAGGAAGTTGCATAATACATTAATAGAAATTCCTGACTTGAGAGAAAAGCGTAGAGCTTCAAGCACAGCCTGGGGACTTTCCTAGTCCTGTGGTTTTCAACAGCTGTCCCACCCCCAACAACACCCGTTCATGCATCCTTAAGGGTCTGTGGGTGTGTTGGGCTGCAGTGGGAAAAAAAACATGCCCGGTGTCACGTGAAAAACCCCATGAGTTGGCTGTTTGGGAGGTGCTGGCTGACAAATAGTTTCCTTATAGCTTCCTCCATGGTTGCATAAATGGATGACATCCAGCAGAACCTGTTACACAGGCCTGGATGGGAGCACTAGATCCAGGCGATGGGTGAGGGAGGAAGCCATTGACCCTGACTCCAGGCTGAGGTCATCCATACTTTCCTCCTTACCCCACAGGACCAGCTTTGATTGTTGGTGAGTAATAGGCTAATACCACTGAGAAAGCTGAGAGACCATGAAATCTAATTCCTTTTTTTTTTTTTTTTTTGAGACGGAGTCTCGCTCTGTTGCCCAGGCTGGAGTGCAGTGGCGCGATCTCAGCTCACTGTAAGCTCTGCCTCCCAGGTTCGCGACATTCTCCTGCCTCAGCCTCCCGAGTAGCTGGGACTAAAGGTGCCCACCACCACGCCCGGCTAATTTTTGTATTTTTAGTAGAGACAGGGTTTCACCGTGCTAGCCAGGATGGTCTCGATCTCCTGACCTTGTGATCCACCCACATCAGCCTCCCAAAGTGCTGGAATTACAGGCGTGAGCCACTGCGCCAGGCCTGAAATCTAATTCCTTTATGTTAACAATTAAGTTCAGTCGTGTCTGGTGGAGCCAGAGGTCCCCTGAGTTCTAATCCTCCATCCATCCATCCATTCATTCATCAAAAAATATTACTGAGCTACTACTTAGGGTCAGACACTGCTTGTTCCACTATGCCAGAGCAATCTCCCTCTCAGAAAAAGCAAATTACAGAGCTAGTCTTTAGTGAGTTTAAATCTATCAGTTACAACTGATGCTTGCTTTTATGGTTAAAAGAGTTTTGAGGTTAAGTGGCTTTTAAACTACCTTTTGTATCATGCAGGTGAACTGACACTAGATGGTGAAAGATAGTCCTAAAGTCATTTGCTCCAAATTGATGTGGGGAGTGAAGGAGGAGAGGGATTTGCATAGACTGAGGGGTGGTAGACTCAGGTGGGTTCTTGGATGGCACCATGGGTGAGGAACAGGTGTTGGTGGAGGTGGATGATAGTATTAGGTTGGTTTTTAATTGTTGAGTCTTAGAAACCTACAGGCAATTGAAAGAAATTGTTCGGTAGTTATAGAAATGAAAATCTAGAGCCTGGGCCAGAGCTCAAACAAGATGCATGTTTGGAAGTCATTGGCAAGTAGGTGATAATTGCAGCTATGAACTATGGCAATCCTCCATCTTTCTTCAAGTTCAGAAGAGTTTCAAACTTTTTAAATTGAAAAAGAATTCCTTAAAGAAATGTCATTGCTGCACCCTAGGTCAATAAACAGGATTTATTGATACACATACTTTTTTCTCCTCCTCATTACGTGTTCTGCCATCCATTCAGTTCACCAGCTTGGCCTCTGTTCGCTGAACTTAGAAAGGATAAATGTCCAGAGATCTCAACCCCATGAACATGGATGAACACCTTGTTTAACTTCCCTATCCTGGGCTTCAGGTCTTTTTTTCCCCTCATTTAGGAGTGAGGTGAAAGAGCTTCCTCTCTTCTGCTTTTCACATTGTTATGCAAGCTTGCTAGGTAATTGCTGGTCTTCTTAGTTGGTTTCCTTTTGTGGTTGGAAAGTCAGAGAAGGTGGTTGCCAATAAACTGCCCATGACAGAGTTTACTATGCCAGAGCTCCTTAATACAAGCTAGAAAATGAACTGGGTTCATCATTTAATTTTTTGAGTCAGGTTGTTTACTACAGGTCTTTATGATATTCTTTGCATTTTTCCATTATTTGGCATGCAGGAAAGATCATTCTTATTGTATTATGTTGTGACTCTTAACTTCCAACGTTTTTTTTTTTTAACTTGACAGTAAAACAAATAAAGGGTCAGTAATTAGTTAGGCTTTTTGTTTTAAGAAACTGAGTTATGGCAAGCTCAAGCAGTGAAGATTAATTGTAAAGATATGCAAGGCGATGAGGAAGACATAGCCCTCTGTATTAGCCCTCTAGGGCTGTTGTAATAAAATAGCAGAGATTGGGGGGCTGAAACAATCTCTGAAATATGAAAGACTTTTATTCTTTCACATTATGGAGGTTGGAAGTCCAAGAACAAGATGTGGGCAGGGTTGGTTTCTGTTGAGGCCTCATTCCTTGCCTTGCAGGCAGCTACCTTCTTGCTTTGTCCTTATGTGGCCTTTCTTCTGTGTGACCCTCCCTAGTATCTCTTCATTTTCTTATAAGGACACCAATCATATTGGATTAAGGCCCCACCCTTATGATCTCATTTTAACTTAATGACCTCTTGAAAGATGCTGTCTCTATATGCAGTCACATTATCAGGTACTGGCAGTTAAACCCCAACATATAAATTTGGAGAGGGGGGCATGATTCAACCCGTAGCTGACCCCTCAGGAACCCAGGAATAATAAGTGCTTTATGATGAGGTGTCACAAAGGTTCATCTAGAACCAAGCTGCTTTTAGGAATTTCAGAAGCAAAAGTTCATAGATCTTTTACCATCAGGATGAACTTGATTATGCTGTGTAATAAGCATCTCTCCAAACCTAAATAGCCAAAAACAACAAAGGTTTATTTCTTACTTGTACTACTTGCCTTTTGCTAGCCAACAGGTCTCTCCCTTCATAATGTTTACTCAAGGTCTTTAGCTTATAGAGCAGTTACCATATTGAACATTGCTGGTCACTGTGCTGGAGGAAAGAGAGATTTCTGGAGGGTCTCACCTCAGCAAGCAAATGCCCCATTCTGGAAATGACATATATCTCTTCTATTTGAAACTCTCTCTTGTAATTCTTTCTTGAGAAAAAAACAAACAAAAACTCTCAAACTCAAAAGTTGGCCAGGCATAATCACATGGTGACAACCAACCTCAAAGAGACTAGAAGTGCAATCCTACAAGATTCCTAGAAGGGAAAGAAATATTGGATAAGCAGTACTAATAGCTATTACATTGTCATTTCGGAGCCTCATCAGGGATGCATTTGGTCGCTTGCTCACACTCTGCTGCTTTTTCAACTGAATTTTTTTATTTCTCTTCCCATTTGTACTAATGCTTTTTTTTTTTTTTTTTTTTTTTTTTTTTTTTTTTACTGTTAATGAAGAAATACCCGAGACTGGGTAATTTATAAAGAAAAAGAGGTTTCATGGACTCAAGCACCACATAGTTGGGGAGGCTTCACAATCATGGTGGAAGGCGAAGGAGGAGCAAAGCCACGTTTTACATGGTAGCAGGCAAGAGAGCATGTACAGGGGAACTGCCATTTATAAAACCACCAGATCTCATGAGACTTATTCATTATCACGAGAACAGCATGAGAAAAACCCACCCTATGATTCAATTACCTCCCACTGGGTCCCTCCCATGACAAGTAGGGATTATGCGAGCTACAATTCAAGATGAGATTTGGGTGGGAACACAGCCAAATCATATTGTTTTACCGCTGTCCCCTCCCAAATCTCATGTCCTCACATTTCAAAACCAATCATGCCTTCCCAATAGTTCCCCAAAGTCTTAACTCATTTCAGCATTAACTCAGAAGTCCACAGTCCAAAGTCTCATCTCAGACAAGGCAAGTCCCTCCCACCTATGACCCTGTAAAATCAAAAGCAAGTTAGTTCCTTCCTAGATACAGTGGGGGTAAAGGCACTGGGTAAATACACCTCTTCCAAATGGGAGAAATTGACCAAAATGAAGGGGCTACAGGCCCCATGCAAGTCCAAAATCCAGAAGGGCAGTCAAATCTTAAAGCTCCAAAATGATCTCCTTTGATTCCATGTCTCACATCCAGGTCATGCTAATGCAAGTAGGTTCCCATGGTCTTGGGCAGCTCTGCCCCTGTGGCTTTGCAGGGTACAGCCCCCACCTCCCCCACCACCCCAGCTGCTTTCATGGGCTGGTGTTGAGGGTCTGTGGCTTTTCAAGGTACAAGCTGTCAGTGGATCTGCCATTCTGGGGTCTGGAGGCCTGTGGCCTTCTTCTCACAGCCCCACTAGGCAGCACCCAAATGGGGAGTCTGTGTGGGGGCTCCAACTCCACATTTTCCTTCTGCACTGTCCTAGCTGAAGTTCTCCATAAGGGCCCTGCCCCTGCAGAAAACTTCAGCCTGGACATCCAGGCATTACCATACATTCTATGAAATCTAGGCAGAGGTTCCCAAACCTCAATTCTTGACTTCTGTGCACCCACAGGCCCAACACCATGTGTAAGCTGCCAAAGCTTGGAGCTTACACCCTCTGAAGCAATGACCTGAGCAGTATTTTGGCCCCTTTTAGCCACAGCTGGAGCTGAAGCAGCTGAGACACACCGTACCATGTCCTAAGGCTGCATAGAGCAGGGGGGCCCTGGCCTCAGTCCAGGAAACCATTTTTTTCCCTCCTAGGCCTCCAGCCATGTGATGGGAGGGACTGCTGTGAAGGTCTCTGATATGTCCTGGAGACCCTGGAGACATTTTCCCTATTGTCTTGGTGATTAACATTCAGCTCCTCATTACTTGTGCAAATTTCTGCTGCAGGCTTGAATTTCTCCCCAGAAAATGTTTTTTTTCTTTTTTAGCTCATAGTCAGGCTGCAAATTTTCCAAACTTGTATGCTCTGCTTCCTCTTGGATACTTTGCCTATTAGAAATTTCTTCTGCCAGGTACTGTAAATCATCTCTCTCAAGTTCAAAGTTCCACAGATTTCTAAAGCAGGGGCAAAATGCTGCCAGTCTCTTTGTTAAAACATAAAGAGAATTACCTTTATTCCAGTTCCCAATAAGTTGTTCATCTCCATCTGAGACCACCTCAGACTGGACTTTGTTGTCCATATCACTATCAGCATTTTGGCCAAAGCCATTCAACAAGTCTTTAGGAAGTTTCAAACTTTCACACACCTTCCTGTCTTCTGAGCCTTCCAAGTCTCTTGGAAGTTCCAATCTTTCTTGTCTTCTTCTGAGCCCTTCAAATTGTTCCAAATTCTGCCTGTTACCCAGTTCCAAAGTCACTTTCACATTTTTGGGTATCCTTATAGTAGTACCCCACTCTACCTGTACCAATTTACTGCATTAGTCCATTTTCATGCTACTATGAAGAAATACCCAAGACTGGGTAATTTATAAAGGGAAAGAGGTTTAATTGACTCACAGTTCCACATGACTGGGGAGGCCTCACAATTATGGCAGAAGGCAAAGGAGGAACAAAGTCACGTCTTACATGGTGGCAGGCAAGAGAGCATGTACAGGGAAACTGCCCTTTATAAAACCATCAGATCTTGTGAGAACTCACTCACTATCATGAAGACAGCATGGAGGTAACCATCCCCATGATTCAATTACCTCCCACCATGTCACTCCCCTAACACATAGGGATTATGGGAACTACAATTCAAGAAGAGATTTGGGTGGGGACACAGCCAAACCATATCACCACTCCAGTTAGCTTCCATATCATCCACTCAATTATCCTTTCCCTACTCTTAGTTTCTATTTTTCAGTTTTTCTGTCCCACAACTCATAGTTGTTCATGGTCCCTCATTGTCCCTTAATCTATCTCATTGTATTTATCTAGTCATCTATTCCAAATCAATTATGTTTGTGACAGAAAAAACAGTTACCATAACTGCAAGCTGGGCAGAGTGTTTCACCTCAGACTACTTCCCAGACCCCAGTCTATAGACAGACTTCTTGAGGGTCTGTCTACTCTCACCCCTGAGTAGAAAGTCCCCTGTTAAAAGTAATGTAGTCAAACAAGACTAAACCCTTCCTCAGATGCTATGTCATAGAATTTACCCTTACAGGGATCCATGTGCATGGTGGGGACCATAACTATCATGACTAGGAGGGTTGGTGGTCACAAAGAAAGGCAATTAATTATGATTATGGCCTCAGCTATCAGTGTCATATGAATCCATAAGATTTAATATTATGACTACAAAGAGCCTTCTTACTTTGGTTCTTAAGGACAGTTAAAAATCAGTACATTTAATGAACTGACATGGCTATAAGGTTTCTTTATTTTATATGAACTGGTATAATGTTAGCCAAAAGTATACTGTAAAAAGTTAAGGATGTTACTGTAGAGCACCACTAAACATGATGCAAAAAATCTGGTCAATAGATAAAATTAAAATAGAATTCTAACAAGTATTCAATAAATAAAAATGAATGCAGGAAGAGACAATAAACCAGGAGTGAAGGAAGGGAAAATAAAAAAATATATAGTAATATGGTAGATCTAAAACTAACCATAACAATATTACATTAACTGTTAATGGACTAAACGCTCCAATTAAAAGTCAGAGATTAACAGAACTGATTATAAAGCGGGGCTCAAATATATTCTATTTATAAGAAATGCAATTTAATTATAAAGGCATAAATAAGGTGAAAGTAAATGGATGCAAAAAGATAAACCAAGCAAACAATAAGCATAAGAATGTTGATTTGGCTACGTTAATATCAGTTAAAAGACATAAAGATAGAAAGTATTACAAAGATAAAGAAGGATCTATCATAATGATAAAAAAGCTGACTAATCAAGAATACCTAAAAATTGTACATGTATATCCACCTAATATTAGTGCAACAAAATACATGAATTAAAAATTGACAAATTGAAAGGCAGAAAATGACAATTCTATAATTTTAGTAGGAGATTCTAATACCTTTCTCTTAGGAAATGATACTAAAATTAAGTAAAATATTAGCAAGGCATGGAGAATCTGAATATTATCAACCACCTTGCCCTAATTCCTATTCATAGAATATTAGGCCCAACTACCGCAAACTCAACATTATTTTCAAGGGCTTATGGTATGCTTAATAAAAATGGCCATACATTTGACAACTAAAGAAGCCTCAATAACTTTAGAAGACTTGTTACCATACAGAGTATATTTTTTTTACACAACAGAATTAAAAATATATTTAAAATATCTAGGAAAGTCTTAATATTTGGAAATTAAAAAACAAACTTCTAGATGTTTCATGGTTCAAGAAAGAAAATAACATTTTAGATATCTTTTAAATAACATTAAAAAGTACTCCCAAAACAGAAATACTTCGAAGTGAATTTAACAAAGATATGCTAGATCCTTTCATTGAATATTATAGAACATTGCTGGCAGGAATTAGAAGACCTAAATAATGTCATATTCATTAATGGAAGAGTAAACATTTTTAAGGAATCAGTTTTCTCCTATTTGATCTATAGATTCAATAAGAGCCCATCAAAATCCCAGAAAACATTTTAGTAGAAACTGACAAAGCTGATTCTAAAAATCTGTTTGGAAATGTGAATGACCTAGATTACATGAAGCAATGTCTAAAACTAAAGAACAAAGCTGAAAGACTTATTTGATGACTTACTATAATGCCACGATAATTATAATAATTCTACACAAATGACAATATTAATTAAAGAATAGAGATATAGACTATGAAAGAGACTGGAGAGTTTAGAAATAGACTTACATATACATGGCCAATTAATTTTTGGCAAAAGAACTAAGGCAATTCAATGGAAGGCAAAGTCTGTTCAACAAATGGTACTGAAAAACTCTGGTATCCATGTGGAAAACATGAAAATCACCCCTAACCTCAAGCCATATTTAAAAATTAACACAACATGTATCATAGATGAAATGGAAAAGGTATAATTATAAATCTCCTGGAAGAAAACATGGAAGTAAAATCTTTATGACTATAGAAACAAAGACTTTTTGACCTTGGAGTAGTCAAAAGACAGGAAAAGCACAAATCAAAACACACACAAAAAAGAAAAAGCAATGAATTGGATTTTATCAAAAGAAAAAAAATGCTCTTCAAAATGCACAGTCAAAAAAGCAAGCTACATATGAAAGAAAACCTTCACTATACATGCATTTCACAAAAGACATAGAGAATATGGAAATAATTTTAAATAATTTTAGTTCTCAATAAGGGTATAAACAGCTCAATTGAAAATAAGAAAAAGATTTGAACAGATACACCATAAAAGATGATATACTCATGGTCAGTAAGCACATGAAAATATGCGCAACATAGTAATCAGGGAAATGCAAATTAAATCACAGTGAAATGCCACCCATCCATTCAAATGACTAGAATTTAAAAAACTGACAATATCAAGTGCTGACAAGGATATGGAGCAACTGGGAATCTCATACATTTCTGGTGGTGTTCTGCAGTAGATAGGGTTTGTCCAAATCTACACTGAAAGTCCAAGGAAGCTGAGAGGCAGAAAAAAGGGAGGGATATACCTAGTTTTTTAGAAATAAACATTTAGCAGAGACTTAGGAACAGAAGCTATGCTTTTGTCTTTAGCAGTGATGAGACAATATGGTGGAGCACTATGCCATTAGCTCCCAGACCCAGGGCTTATATACCATAGAGAAGGAATGTGTAGGACAATTGTAGGGAAAGGCAAGAATGTTGTATAAATCTGTCTATGGGCAGAATTTATGGGCAAAGTTGTTTGGGCTTACTGTACTTACTTCACTTACTGTAAATCAAGGGCACAATTTATAGTATGTGCTTTTACAAAAAGAACAGTAGATAAAACAGAAATCTTAGAGGCATTCCCAGAACTGGGATTAATCAGAAATCATCATGGTGGATTAGCATCCAAGATGAGGTTGCTTCAGTCTCCACAGGTGGGTGTGTAAAATGATATGATGACTTTGTTTTGTTTTTAATCTATTTTTGAGAGAGAGTCTCACTGTGTTGCCCAGGCTGGAGTGCAGTGGCATATCTCTGCTCACCTGCTCACTGCAATCTCCATCTCCCAGATTCAAGGGATTGTCATGTCTCAGCCTCCTGAGTAGCTGGAATTACAGGCACATGCCATCACACCCAGCTAATTTTTGTATTTTTAGTAGAGACAGGGTTTCACCATGTAAGCCAGGCTGATCTTGAACTCCTGGCCTCAAGTGATGCATCTGCCTCGGCCTCCCAAAGTGCTGGGACTACAGGCATGAGCCACCGTGCCTGGCCTGACATGATGACTTTGAAAAACAATTTGGCAGTTTCTTAAAACTTTCACGTGTCTACCATACTACCTAGCCATTGTACTCCTAGGTATATACGCAAGAGAAATGACAACATAGGTCTACAAAAAAGGCTTGTACATGAATGTTCACAGCAGCAACATTCAAACAGCCAAAAACTGGGGAGTTGGGAGTGGACAAATATTCATTAACAGGTAAACAGGTAAATAAATGAAGAAAATATGCCATAACCAGATAGTGGAATACTACTCAGGTATAAAAAGGAAGGGACCACTAACACCTGCAACAACTTGGGCAACTCAAAAACATCATGCTGAGTTAAATAAGCCCGAAAAAAGGAGTTCATAATTTATTATTCAAACTGTATAAAATGCAAATTAATCTATTGTGACAATAATAAATTAGAGATTTCCTGGGGCCAGGGTCGGAGAGAAGGATGGACTTCAAATGAATGAGGAACCTTTCAGGGTTCTTGGGATTTTTCTATATCTTGACTATGGCGATGGCTTTATGAGTATCTACAATGCCCAGAATTCATTCATTTTAGATGCAGTTTACCATATGTAAGTCTTTCCTCAATAAAGTTAACAAGAAAAAAAATGTCAGCACATTTGGAATTGACTCTTCATCTCTGCTGAGCCCTGGTCGAAGGACTAATGTTTTTAGTCATTGTGTGAGTCTCTGTGTGTTAAAAGGGCTTTGCAAACTTTTACAGTGGCATCAGCTAAAGGATCATAATTATTATAATGTTGGAAGGCTTGGAAAATCTGTTAAAGGTAACAAAAAGGACCGTTTGCTGAGACAATGAGTGAAGAGGAAAAATCTAACCTTGTTCTCCATGGGGCTGTGGACATGTTTGAGATTTAGCATTGGCTGAGCTTTTCCCTTCAGTGTATAAAAGACACACACACATTATTGTGACTTGAAATGAACCCAAAGAAAATCTTTTGCAACTATAATGTTACCCAGAGCCTGGTAATTTGAAAGGTAAGAACTGTTTTTCGTGCAGTAGTAAGGATTGTGATTGTAAATGCAGTCTTCTTAATTATATGTACTACTTTAGCTTCTGAAACTGCCATGGCATCTTCCTGGCAGGGCACACTGGTGTCCAGAGACAAGGCTGGCCCAGTTGACTTTCCCAGGCCATTGGGACAGTCTGGGTAGCTACTAATAATCTAACAAGCTATGTGAAAGAGTTTTAGTTTGTGGCAACAATATTCAAATCTTTGAGTCTCGGTCATATTCTCTGAGTTTCCTTTGGATTTGAGAGTCAAATAAACAGGTTCCACTTAACCTCATTCAGACTTTCCTTTTCTGGGATTGTGGGGAGTGTGTGACTCCTCACTGTGGCTTCACTCCTTTCAGTGTGAGCTCAACTCCAACAGTGCAATACTCAGGCCTTCTAAGACCCATATGTGGCAGAAAGTGAAATTGGACAAACAAACTCACCGAGTCAAGACACAACCACTGAGATTCTTTTGGATTCATTCAAAATCATATGTCACATTTTTTTTCAAATACTCAGCCCAGGTTTTCTTAAAGCATGGCTTCAGTTTGTTTAAATAAAATAGACCAGGATTTTAGCAGTTTTGTAAAGTGTGATTGATACACAAACAGACCAATAGATGTTGTCCAGGTCCTTCATGGATCAGACACTCAGAGTGCATTAAATGTACAAGAGTTTTACTAAAGAAACTCCTGTGAGGGAAAATGGGGAAGAAGCCCAGGGGGATGGGAGAGCCCTCAGGTCGCAGTGCAGAGTGATTCCAGGGGAAGGAGAGAGGGAAGGACAGAAGCTGGATGGGACTGTCTTTGCTGCACTTCTTAGAGAGTTTATTAAGCTCATCAGGAACCCACAGGCTGAAACACGTATCCAAGGAGTCCTTTGCCTTCCAGGAAGGGGCCTATCTCAGTGTCCCTGCCAAGCTCAGGCCTTAGCTGAGAATGGCAGATGGGCATCCCTGCAGTTAGAGATCTGAGGGGCTCTGATGGCCCCAGATAGAGAGATGGATGATAGACAGCAGATGGATAGATGATATATAGATGGATAGATAGATAGATAGATAGATAGAATTAGAAAATACATATCTGTAGTAGTTTTCTCTAGGAGGGATTGTGGGACTTTTGTGGGGGTTTCCCTTTGCTCTTTTGTTTCTGGACAATTTCTACACTTTTTCATGTATATTCTTAACCAAATTCAGTTTAAGATCTCTGCAAGTCTTTCTCTTTTTAAGTAATTCTTTTCCTAATACGAGAAATTCACAATGTTCATGGTATGTGTGTGTGTCTGTGTGTCTGTTGCATGTGTCTGTTGCTTGTGTGTCTGTTGTGTGTGTCTATTGCATGTGTCTGTATGTTGTGTGTGTACTTGCTTGGACCCATTGGCACCAAGCTTTCTGATTCTTCTTCATCTTCCCCAGCTTCCTCTCCTCCCAGAAAATACACTAGAAACTTATCTTTGAGGGAAGAAGGCAAGCCTATTATAACCTTCTGCCCACATTCCCTTATCTAAACATGCTTATTGGCTACTGGTTACTTATTACATTGAACAGTGAGCACTAATTTATACACTCAAAACCTGCATCCTAGGCTCTCTTAAGAAACATGATTGAACCATTTGGGGAATAAGCCAGAGTTTAAGACCTTGTAAAATTCAAAATAAAATTATTTGTGCTCTGAGAGATTTATAACGAAAACTTCTAGTCTGTAACACAAGTTAATTTCACAGTATGGTCATTTTGTTTATAAAAGCTGTACTGGCTGGAATAGTGTCCCCTCAAAAATCCATGCTCACCTGGAACTGCAGGATAGGATCGTAACTGGAAACAGTGTCTTTACAGTTATCCTTATTGAAGGCGAGCTCGCACTGGACTATGGTGGGCCCTAATCCAATGCCTGATGTCCTTATAAGAAGGTGATATGACACAGAGGAGACACACAGAGAAGACCAGGTGAAGACGCAGGCAGGGACTGGAGTGATGCACTCACAAACCTAGGAACGGTGAGGACTGCCGGCAGTCACCAGAAGAAGCTCATAAGAGGCAAGGAAGGGCCCTCCCCTAACGCCTTCAGGGGGCGCGTAGCACTGCCGACATCTCGAGTCCAGACTCTTAGTCTCCACAACAGTGAGAGGATACATTTTTGTTAATTTGAGCCACCTAGCTTGTGGTACTTTGTCACAGCATCCCTAGGAGAGTCATATAGGAGTCAAGGTGACAGAGCCTTATTGTAGAGGTGCTTGTGGACAAAAAACTCATTAGCAGAGGGCCACTGTGCAACCTCCTCGTGTGGCCTCCCCCGTCAACAAAGTGTATTGTCAATGAAACTTCCTAGATGAGGACTGATGACACCTGAGCTACTTCAAGCCATGCCCCTCACTGCCAGCTCACATTCCCAAGCCCAGGGCCACTCTGTATGATGTTTGATATCTGCACATAAGGGAGTAACAAAAAGTGTACAGTTACATGGTGACTGCAGCATAAATATGTCCATCCCATAACCTCCTGCTGCTTTTGCTTGTATCTGTCCCTAGAGGACAGCCTCCCTCAAACAAACGTGAGGCATTCTTTAGAAGGGAGAGCAAGGAGAAGGCCTTTGTCATCAATGCACTCTGACTGTTCATGATTATGAACAAAACAGGACAGCAGCTTAGGGACAACTTTGCACATGAGCAATCATTTACTGCCAACCTCTCTGTGGAAAAGCAACAATCTTTTTTTTTTTTTTTAGTAAGATAGAGTTTCGCTCTTGTCACCCAGGTTGGAGTGCAATGGTGCAATCTCAGCTCACGGCAACCTCGCCTCTCGGGTTCAAGTGATTCTCCTGCCTCAGTCTCCCGAGTAGCTGGGATTACAGGCATGCGCCACCATGCCTGGCTAATTTTTTTTTTTCAAGAGATGGAGTCTCGCTCTGGCACCCAGGCTGGAGTACACTGGTGTGGTCTCAGCTTACTGCAACCTCCACTTCCCGGGTTCGAGCAATTCTCCTGCCTCAGTCTCCTAAGTAGCTGGGACTACAAGCACATGCCACCATGGCTGGCTAAATTTTGTATTTTAGTAGAGATACGGTTTCACCACGTTGCCCTGGCTGGTCTCGAACTCCTGAGCTCAGGCAATCTGCCCACCTCGGCCTCCAAAAGTGCTAGGATTACAGGCATGAGCCTAATTTTTTGAATTTTTAGTAGAGATGGGGTTTCACCACGTTGGCAAGGCTGGTCTCGAACTTCTGACCTTAGGTGACCCACCCACCTCGGCCTCCCAAAGTGCTGGGATTACAGGCATGAGCCACCACGCCCAGCCAAAAACAACAATCTTTTATAATGGAGGTGATGTTATAGGGAATCAGCAGAGGTCGGGCTTACAGAGGACCTGGAGGGGCCAGAACTAGCTAGGAAAGGGGCTGGGGGAGGAATGGCTTCCTGCAGGCTGCAGACCACAGCAAGGGGTTGGTGTGCACACAAAGCAGTGTGTGGTTCTGGTGAGTCCTGAGGATGAAGCCAAACCCAGAACCCAAGGGCTGTCAGACCACACCCAAGATCAGTGGTGATACTGATTGTCACTCAGTGGAGACACTAAGTGTCTCCATAAGGAAGATGATTCCCATCTTGGAGAGATCAGAGTCAAGCAGAAGGCGTGGGTGAGCCTGGCAGGGTGCAGCATGAGGGGCCACAGCCAGAGGGGCAATGAGAGCCAACTGTGAAGGTGAGGGGGCATCATCAGTTCTAGAAGGTCCACACAGTCCATCTATGCTTCTGCAGCACGCAGAATACCATCACGGCCACGATTTCCTTGAGTTTTAGCTTCCGTCCTCTGCTCTGATTTTTTGCATTTTTCCTGGTGTAGATAGATGCTAAGAGGCAAGTACTGTGATTTCGCAGGACTCTTCAGGGGCTGATATTCCCAAAGGTCTTCATTTTCTGCAGAGATCTTCGTTCAGCTCTTCTCTATGTCTCATTACCTGTACACCTGCTGCTGCTTTTCAGGACCTAGATCATAGTTCTGGGCTATGGAGTGGCATAAAATAGTGATAAGTAGATCCCTGCAGCTTCAAAATAAATGTTGAAATAAATAGGGAAATAACATGAAAATTCAGAGTGTGTGTCACATAGGCTAGAATCGTTTGGGGGATTCGATGAAATGATGTGTATGGAGGGTATAACGGTCTAGGTGCAATCAGGTAAGATACACCACATGATAGGTTAAATAAAAAATGTGAATGCATTATAAAATGTATTAACTATAATAAAGGCATAACTATAAGATATAAGGAAACTCTCTATGTACCCTAGGGCTGAGGGAGGGCCCCCAAGGAAGGACACGCTTGGGAGGGGTTCACCTTTTACTGGAGAAGGTGTGGACTGGCCACTGGGTAGCAGAGAAGTTGGCTGCTTTATCCAGACTGGAGTTGGTCTGGAGTTGGTGGGCAAACAATCGACCACCCTCCGGAAGGCAGGCAGGGCCAGACATCAGTCAGCAATCCCTGTGCCAGGGCTGCAGTGGGAGCCTGCACTTGGGAGATGGCAGAGAATCTTCAGAGGAGCAGGCTGCATGGGAGGACGGGGAGAAGGCTCTCAGAGCGTGGGCTGCTCGGGTGGAGCCCTGGGCCACAGACATGTGGCACGTGGGTCATGCTGGGGCTTTTTGCAGACAGGTTATCACCAGGCCAAAGCCGCAGGGTTGCAGAGGGATCACTTTCAGAGCCTGTGGCTCAGGCAGGATCCGCTGGAGTTCCTCACACCCACGTGGCTGACTCTCCCCACAGGCCCCAGAAAAACTGCAGGAAGGCCCTTCTGCCTGCACCTGAATGTCCTTTCTAGGCCCTCTACGGACAGAGCTTAACTAGGTGCTCACTTTAAGGAAAAATTGCTTAAAGGAATTCCATTGTCTATTATAGAACACAAATGGAAGGGTTCATTTGGAGTCTAGAGGCAATAAATTAACTGCCACTGAAAGCTTTGCAAAGAGACAGGCACGTAGTAGGTGCTCAGTGATTGGAAGTTGTGAGTATTACACTTTTTATTCAGTGAAACTGTGTACATCTAAATTATTGGGAATACAGTTAAAAGGCAGTCATCTTAGTATTTTTTGTTGTGTAATTTATTTTTGTGTATTACTTAACTAGACACAAAGCTGAGAATGTGCATGCAAAGTGTTCCTAGTTTCTATTCATAATTCATATTTGTTTACTCTCTTTTTTGCCTAGGTCTTATACAATATGTTAATTGCCTTTACAAAGATGCATAAATTTGAAGACATAGAAACTGTCGACATTTTGGCTGGATGTGCCCGATTCATCGTTGTGGGGCTTGGAGGGGTATTGTTTGGCATCGTTTTTGGATTTATTTCTGCATTTATCACACGTTTCACTCAGAATATCTCTGCAATTGAGCCACTCATCGTCTTCATGTTCAGCTATTTGTCTTACTTAGCTGCTGAAACCCTCTATCTCTCCGGCATCCTGGCGTGAGTACAAACCAAGGATCAAGTCACATAGTAATAGAAAGAAAGTTTAGAACCACATCACATGAGCCAGGCATCTGGGAAAGACATAACCAATGACGCTAACCCTCCAACATGTTGCAGATTTAGGATCTTCTAAACTTTTATGAAACCTGATTCGGGTTCTTTGTCAAACCAACGTTCTCTCCAATGCCTGCCTTCATCTTCTTGTGATTTGCCTGAGGAGGAAAGCATAGCAATTATCACGTCAATTTAGAAGGCTCAGGAAAGCTGGTACAGAGAAAATCTGGGGAAACTTCAAGGTTAAGTTCTCATCTCAGTAGTGTGTTTTTTTCCTTGAAAAGTGTTTTTTTGTTTGTTTGTTTTGAGACAGAGTCTCGCTCTGTCGCCCAGGCTGGAGTGCAGTGGCACGATCTCGGCTCACTGCAAGCTCCGCCTCCCGGGTTCACTCCATTCTCCTGCCTCAGCCTCCTGAGTAGCTGGGACTACAGGTACTGGCCACCACGCCCGGCTAATTTTTTGTATTTTTAGTGGCGACGGGGTTTCACCATGTTAGCCAAGATGGTCTCGATCTCCTGACCTCGTGATCTGCCCGCCTTGGCCTCCCAAAGTGGAAAAGTTAATTTTAAAGTTGAAGAGAGGCATGCACGAGGGACTGACATTCCTGGGCTCTGCCTTCTGCTGTGCCCCTCAAACCACATCACACAGCCATGGCTCTTCAGTGTGTGATGAAACTAGACAGATGGGATAAGACTAGAAATCTACATTTCCTTGCTCTAATGAAAATATTTTTGAAATGCTTATCCTTATGTCCTTGTATCCTTGAGATGTTTATCTTTGAATGAGGCTTCTCAGCTTGGCTTATTATATCTGATGATGTTGTTTTCTGTACGGCATTATCTTTCTTTCCAGCTATTCAGGCAGATACATTTAATTTTATTGTAGAGAAATACCTCTTTCAATTAAATGTGATAGTGTAAACTCTAGGCATCTGTCACTTTCCCACCTGGAAAATGATCAAAACTTCTAAGACAAGGCAAGTTTCTTTCTCTTTCCCATACTTGCTTAATGGCTCTAGAACAGAAATATTTGAAATAAAGCCAATAAAAAAGAACCTTGCATTGTCTTAGAAGTTTTGATCATTTATGGTTGGATTGGAGGAAATGAGAACCTTGAAGAATTATTCTGTTATTTTGGTTTAAGGCAGAGTAACGCAGAGAGTGTGAGTTGGGACTGACAAACTCTTCATGAAGAGGGCAAGAGGGAAGCATTCTGCATTGGGTGTGCCCATGCGAATTACGTGTCCTTTTATTTCACCGTGCCACGCCCACCTTCCCACCACATTCACCTTTACCTTGTAAAGATCTCTTAGGGAGGGAAAAGAGGGAGAAAGAAAATCTGCGGAAAATCTGCAGCCACAGAAGGGAATAAGGGAGATATTCCTGCATCAACACGGGCTTCATGCATCTGTGGCATTGCCTGTGGGGAGGGCGTTTTGTGGAGGGGGAAAACCTCATGGATTTTCTCTGAGACTCTGCTCCTTTTATAGAATCACAGCCTGCGCAGTAACAATGAAAAAGTACGTGGAAGAAAACGTGTCCCAGACATCATACACGACCATCAAGTACTTCATGAAGATGCTGAGCAGCGTCAGCGAGACCTTGATCTTCATCTTCATGGGTGTGTCCACTGTGGGCAAGAATCACGAGTGGAACTGGGCCTTCATCTGCTTCACCCTGGCCTTCTGCCAAATCTGGAGAGCCATCAGTAAGAGACGGCAGGGCTCCAGAGTCTCCGGTCCTGCTGCATTTTCAGTTCTCTTATTCCCTTCCGCAATGTTAAAACTGGAGGACTGAGTAGATGCTAACTGGTTTTACCGGTTAGGGTAGACTAGGAACCTGGTCGTGAGCAGGAATCTTTTCTGTTTGTTCCCTCAGTCAGCTCAAAGTAATTAGTGGTTGATAAGGTTCTGCATTGAAGCAAGGCTGGGGCAAGGAGTACTTTTTTTTAATTGAAGAAAGAAGTTTCACATCTACCTATTTAAATATAATTCAGTCAATGGAAAAATACATGTTTGTTACTTTTTATTTGGAGTTGCACCAATGTTTTTGGTTCCTAAGACCAACATATCCCTTGCTCTTCACTTCTTTGCAGATTTGTATCCTCTTGCACCTTAAATCAGATATGGATTATAAACTGTGGGCATTTATTTACACTTTCACTATAGGATAAGTGAGATCTCACAAATTGTATTCTATGGAAGACAAATACTGATAGAAAACATCCCCCTAAATAGTATAGGTGGTTTCATTTGAGGGTTGAGTGCATGAATGTGTGATGTATAGCAAACAAACAAATCAGAAAGTGAATATTTTTAAAAGAGCTTCGTATTAATTAGTAAGAACAACTTTAGAGTGTAACTGGCATCACACCTGTAAAATGTAACTAATCTTTTAAAATGAGAACTAGTGGCTGATGATTTATCTTGTACATTTATGTTTCAGGAGCTAGAAAAGAACATTAAGCACTGAACTACAATATATGTGTTGCCTTTTGATTAAAAGCAAATCTATTTTTAAGTGACTTGACTAATATTTGAAGCGTTATGTTAAATGACTTTGACCAATATTTTCAAGCCAATTACTCAAAGAGAAATTAGGTGAAATGGCTGATAACCTATCTTGAACATATTAATTCCAAATTCATTTAGGATGGGTTTTAGGCTCTAGAGGAGATTAACAGGAATACAGAAATATTAAAATATCTATAAGTAACTCTGAATATATATGTTTGTTGGGCTCCTTGGGGGAGAATAGAGGAAGCTGTGATACAAGTTTATTATCTTAAATCATTATCACCGGCCTTATTACAAACTAGCTGTTTGATCTTGGACAGACATGTAACTACTCAAAATCGTCTCCCTCAACCACAGAATGATGGATTTGAACAAATTTCTTAGTTCCCTTTCAGTTCTAATACTCTGGGACTCTGGGAATCTACAGGGGAGTAGAGCTAATGCCAAGAGAAGTAAAATTACAGAGCTTTAGCCGAGCCAAAAAGAAAAGAAACTACCTAGGAGAGGATTTATATTGCAGGAACCTCAACATTGTTAATCCTTCATGATCCAGCTCAACCCCATACTCTTACAGTTGAGGAAACTGATGGAAAAACCACCAAAACAGTGACAAAATTGGCCACATCACAGCAATTGACAGAGCCAGGTGTTGGAATCCGGTTCTCCCGCTCATAGCCTGTTCTCTTCCCACCCTGACTCATCACAACTAATAGTAGTTCACACTCGCGAAGGCTTGCTACATAAAAGGCTGCATCTTATGTTATTTATGGATGTTAAATTTATTTAACCCTTACATTCACATTCTGAGAGAAAAGCTATGGCTACCCCATCAAGCAGATGAGGAGTCTGAGGACAGGAAATGGTTAAGAACCTCGCTCAAGGTCACATGACTGGCATGGAGAGGAACCAGGACAAACACAACAATATTTTAAAAAGTAAATTCACTTATCTTTTGCACTATCCATGTGCCTATTATCAAAGAATGCTTGCTGGCAAGTCTGTGTGACGAGACGCACATGAGGATGTGGAGAGTTTTATTCTACGAAGTGAAACTCTTCTTTGATTCATCAGAGCTTTAGTGAGGACCTTTCCTAGCAGGCACCACTGCATTGGTGGTACCTAGGTTATGTGAGCCGCTTGGGGATGAAAACCAATGTGGTAGAAAACTCCTCTATGTTTCAAGCAAGCTCTTCCACCCTAAACCTTCTGTTTGAGAAGCTCACTGAGAGTAAGAAGCGCCCACTCACCCCCCAACCCTTGCCAACTTCCTTCTTTGCTTGCATTGAACCTCAAGAGGGACAAGCCAACAGTAAGGGATTTGATTGTAGAGACCACGGTCTCTAAGAGGACCCCTCTCATTTTTAAATTACAGACCTCCTTTGGATACCCAATGAGAATATGAGATGATAAGAATGCATTTATCCCCCCACCCACTCAACAATATCCTTGCTTTGACTAGTTTTGAAAGGTGGGACAAAAATTATGAATATAGATTAGAAAATATATACCTTACATTAACAAAATCAAGATTTTATTAATTTAAACACATAAATGCAGGCACATACACACAACACATGCCAATAAACTGTAGCGAAGATTCCCACTTGAAGTGCTACTGTCTCACAACTATCAAAGTGAGAAGCCATAAAAGATACTCTACCTGGGATAGACAATCATGGGTGTATGATGGAATTAGGCTGCATTGTTTGCAGGGCACGCGCACACAACCTCAGTTCACTAGCTCTGTATCTCTGCTCGTTCATGATCCTCTGCTCTAATACACGTTTCCCCCTTTCTAGGCGTATTTGCTCTCTTCTATATCAGTAACCAGTTTCGGACTTTCCCCTTCTCCATCAAGGACCAGTGCATCATTTTCTACAGTGGTGTTCGAGGAGCTGGAAGTTTTTCACTTGCATTTTTGCTTCCTCTGTCTCTTTTTCCTAGGAAGAAAATGTTTGTCACTGCTACTCTAGTAGTTATATACTTTACTGTATTTATTCAGGTAAGTAGATTTCCCTTATATTTAAATAAATAGGTTATTTCAGGACAATGTAGTAAATTAGTAAAATACAAATAAAGGCATTTTATCTGATTTTCAGATCTGTGCTCAATACCCAAACTAAATTTCCGGAGATTTCTAGATCATGTTTGTGACCATCCTTTAACTTCTAAAATGTATTGCCTTTTAATCAATACAGCATATTTATCAAAAGATTCCTGAGTAACAGGTGACTAATAGTCACTCCATATTTCTGAAAATGAGATTCCAATTAGTACTACGTAGCACAAGTTTTTGTTTTAGTTGGAGTTAGCTCTTAATGAACTAATGAAAGATTATTTTAATGGGTGAAACCAAATTCCTATATTAACATACAGGCATGATATCTATTTTTATTGCAGTACTTAAAGGAATGGAAAACTGAAATGAACATTGCAGCATTTACTCTGTAATAGCTAGTACAAAAACATATAGATTGGACATTCTAATAGTTTTGTTAATAAATTTGCTCTCTCTAGTGACAGTCTTCATTACAACAAAACCCTTTGTTTTGTTATTTCTGATCTAGGGAATCACAGTTGGCCCTCTGGTCAGGTACCTGGATGTTAAAAAAACCAATAAAAAAGAATCCATCAATGAAGAGCTTCATATTCGTGTAAGTTATCTCATAGTCACAATTAATAAATTAACAAGACATTTCCCCTTTGTCACCATGAGACATGTGCACGTGTCACTAGACTTCCTCTTTCCTTCCCCACTCTGCCAAGAGTGACTGTATAAGTTTCCTATGGCTGCTGTAGGAAATTGCCACAAACTTAGTGCTTAAAACAATGCAGATCTATTGTCTTATAGTTCTGGAGGTCGGAAGTTCAAAATCCAGTTGTTGCAGGGCTGCGCTCCTTTCTGGAGGCCCTGGGGAGAATCTGTTTCCTCACCTCCCACAGCTTCCAGAGGCTGCCTGTGTTCCTTGGCCCATGGCCCCTTCCATCTTCAGAGCCTGCAAAGGCTGCATCCCTCCAACAATGATCCTTCTGCCTCCCTCTTCCACACTGAAGGAGCTTTATGATCCCACTGCAGCCACGTGGATAGTTCAGGAGACTGTCTCCAGCTTAAGGTCAGCTGATTAGCAACCTTAAGTCCATCTGCCACTTAATCCTCCTTTAAACTAAACTACCATATTCACAAGTTCTGGGGATTAAGACATGGATATCTTTGCAAGGTCATTGTTCTCCCTACCACAGTCTGCCGTCTGTCTCCCAAAGATTCATATCTGTTCCACATGCAAAATATCTTCCTTCTATCCCAATACCCCAAAAGTCTCAATACACTGCATCATCAATTCAAAATCCAAAATATCATCTGAATCTTATCAGTTCAAAAATCCCAAATCTCAATATCTCCATCATCTAGAGCAGGGCTCAGTGAGGCTCTGGGTATAATCTATTCTGAGGCTCAGTTTCTCTTCATCTATGAATTTGCAAAACTCAGGAAACAAGTTATCTGCTCTTAAAATATATGGTAGGACACTCATTGAATAACAGTTGTAACTGTTGCCTTTCAAAAAACTATGGAGATAATGGAAGAAAAAAAGGAGTCATCGATACTAAGCAAACTTCAATGTTTCCTGGGCAAGCTCTATTTGGTTCCAAGGGCTGGGAATCCCCTAATCTCTTGCAACTCTTTGTTCCACCCTCTGGGTTCTCAATTTCACCCTCTGAATCATACTTCCTTTTTTTTTTTTTATAAAGGTAGCATAAATTTGCAGCTGAGTAATTTTATCAGTCTATTTCTTGCTTATAGAATTGTGAGGGTCCGACATCTTTCTTTCATTTTGTCCTCCTTTTTTGTCCAAGCTGGTGATGTTTCCATCAGGGTTCAACAGAGAAGCAGAGCCAGTAGGATGGATGGATATAGATATAGATAGATATAGATATAGATACAGATACGGATACGGATACAGATACAGATACAGATACAGATACAGATACAGATACAGATATAGATATAGATATAGATATAGATATAGATATAGGAAGAGATTTGTTGTAAGGAATTGTTTTTCACTAGTGTTAGGGCTGGCTAGGAAAGCCCAAAATCCAGGGGACAGGCCATCCAGAAGAGCAGGCTGGAACCCTCAGGCATGAGCCAAAGCTGCTGTCTACAAGTAGGATTTTTTCTTCATCAGGGAAGCCTCAGGCCTGTTCTTAAGACATTTCAACTGAATCAGTCCCACCCAGATTATCTGGGGTCATCTCCCTTAAGACAACTGATTATGGACTTTAATCAGATCTATAAAATACATTTACAGCAACATCTAGAGTACTGTTTGATTGAATAACCGGGGACTTGCCTGTCTAAATTGATACCTCAAAATACTATCACAGTGACTAACATTCAAAATTGTCCTGTTTGTTTCTAAAATCACCGTTCCAATGAAATATGGGGTCCTCTGCCCTTTTTGAATATAGGAGGGGCAAAGGGTATTACTTCTTTTGCAAACATGGCCGAGTGGCAGATTTTAGTGAAAACATCCCAGTCAGGCAAAGATGAATATGACACTGGGCATGGTTTCTATTTGTTTGTTCAAGTTCAGCACAACATTGAAGGGATACCACTGTGTACAGCTCCAAGGAATAGAAATGAGAACTAATGTCTGAAGGGTTATAGGTGGAGACTTCAACTCAGTTAATGAAAGAGCATTCTGACAATCATTTCCTGATTGGCACACCCGAAGCTGAAGTGGATGTGTCTAACCAGTGATTGGGAACATGTGGCATAGTTGCTGCACATGAGATTCAAGCTTTGAGGAGATAGTTGAACTTGAAAAATTTTAGGTTTCCTCTATCCCTGAGAATTCACCATTTTAATACTAGAGAAACTGATGAATGATGAAGTCTTCCAAAATCTACCCTAAAGTTCATGGTCAAAGTGACCTAGGAAATTTGGTTATTTAAATTCCAGGAAATCCTAATGAAAAATTTTCAAGGCCATTTGAAAATAATTAACAGATAAGGATAAGTAGTGACTGTTTTAAAACATGTAACAACTTAACATCTATCTTTATCTCCTATGATTTATTATTTCGACATATTGCATAATCCACCTAAGTCCATGGAACTTGGATATTTCACTCTTCTCTCATTTATTTTTCTTTTCCTCAAAAAAGTTATAATTTTTGGTAGAAGGTAGTGAATTAATTATTTAATAATTAATTTAATATTTCAAACTATTTTTCAAAACAAAATTCAGAAGCCAGTATAGACTTCAATAATTTCAAATTTAAAATATTTGGAGACTAATTTCATAATTATTTTGAAGATTGCACTTTTTCCTAAATTTCCATAAACAATTTGGGTTAAAACAAATGCAATATAATTTGCTTAAGTGGTCATATGTAATTACTCAGATCAAACGAGCATATTAAAATGAGAGATACTTTGTTATTCTATGTTATAGTAGAATATTAACAGAATTATATTTTCAGAAATTATATGATTGGATAACAGTGTGTTCTTTTCTTCTGCAATGAAATTAAAAGTAAGTTATTACAATTATTTAATAATATCTTAAATATGATATATTTTATTATTATTAATTATCCTCCGAGTGATTTCAGTAATGAGAAATTTCCTAGATCATTCTAGAAAAGTATTATCCAAAGCAAATGCCAGGTGCCCTGTTTTCATTACGTATTATGTGAATTATGAAGAAACTTATCTACAGAGTCTTTAAACCAAAGTTGAAATTACTATGAAATTACTATGAAAGGCACCAAATATTTTATTACATGAACACAGTGATAGAAAGTCAGATAGGCTCCAGAAAATTAAAGGCTCCTTTGTTTTTTAAAGTGTCTTAGTTGTCCTGTGTGTCTTTCAGAGTTCGCGTTTCTCCAGCAATCATTTTCTTGTGTTTGTTTGGCAGCTGATGGATCACTTAAAGGCTGGAATCGAAGATGTGTGTGGGCACTGGAGTCACTACCAAGTGAGAGACAAGTAAGGAGGCTGAGGGTTTCACTCCCTGACAAACTTCTAAAGGTTCCATTGGAAGCTGGGCATAAAATCAGAGAGAATTCAGGGAATGGAGACCAAGAAGATAAAGTGCTCCTGAGCCATCCCCTACAGGAAGTGGTTGAAATTCCAGGGCATGCTAAGCCTGGAAAATGAAGAATTGTCAGGTGGAAGACGCAGTTGACTTGGTGTAGGTTGTTTCAGAGAGAACTGGTACAGCTAGTGGGTAGAAATTAGAAAAGTAATATTTAAGTTAAAAACAAGGACAAGGTTCCCAATGATAAGATCAGCTCTACCACGGAATGGCCAGCTTAGAAAAGGAGTTTAGAAAGGGAGCTTGGTGCCTCCTTAGGAATCCTGGCAAGGGATTCCTCCATTGTTGGGGAGGCCATGGTGGAAGATCTTTAAGATTCTCAAATATAGTAATTCTTTTTTAAAATGCCCAAATCCCTCTTCTTCACCATATCTCACCTTTCAGAATGTATTGTTTTACTGGACTTAGTTTCCAGTTCAGGAGGGAGGTTGCGGCTAGAGTTGTCAGTGAGTAGCTGGAAGCTCACTGAGGATGGGGCTCTGAGAAGCTCTCACTCTCGTGGCGCAGGCAAGGAAAAGAAAGTGCGGAAGGAGATTGAGAAGAAGTGGTCAGAGAGGCTGGCAGCGAAGCACGAGCGAGTCAGGGTGTGGAGGGCGCAGAGGGGAGGACCCAGCACGTCAGGAGACACAAAGCATCCAGTATGGGAAGAATGAGGGCAGCCTCTGGAGTTGAACAGGGCAAGGTCAAGGCGAGCTCAGTGAGAAGAAAGTCAGGGAGGGTGTTATGGTTGGGGAGGTGATTACCGTGGGCTGAGAATACACAGGAACCGCGGCTTCTCATGAGGGCAGAAAACTAGAAGACAGAAGATCGACCCAGTTGGAATAAGAGGAGGCCTGGTCTGAGCCGAGCTGGGACAGCAAAGCTCAGGAAGCCAGCCCCTAACCCTGGAGGGGCTTAGCACCTCACAGACCAGGAAACCAATTGCCAGATAATAAACCAGCAGCCCGGAAAGCTATGTGCCCCTCTGGAAAATAAAGCAGGCGGGCAAACTACTCTTTGAATGTAAAATGATTGAAAGTGTTGAAAATTCCAACTCCAAACAAATGGCTGACTCTGAAGGCACCATATGCATAGCGCAGCTCAGTCGAATGGGCTGGCCAGAGGTTCCTTACAATAGTCAGCGGCCATCAGTCTCGCCTATTCAGAATCTCCATCATTCAGGCTATTGGGACATACGTAGGGTTTTTTTCTTCCCCTTAATTGGTAGGATTCAAAATGATCTGCAGCATAATGGGGCAAAACTACTGTAACTACCGGGCCATTTAAACTTATTGGGTTCTGGTTGAATAGGCCAGTATTACTGTAAGTGCAGCTGCCGCTGTTATGCGCTATTAGAATGGAACACTTATTCAAAAGCTTCAGCCCCCTCATTTCTTCTCTTACAATTGGAGCTGAGCTGGGCTGGGCCTCCCCCGCGCCTCACTTATGCACACTTTTTGCCCTGATTGCAGCTTGTCCCTTCCTTTTGTTTAGCTGATTTTCAATGTATTCAGGCCAGTAGGCCATTCTTTTTTTTTATTTTAAAAAATGCATAAATGCTATGAATTTTTTTAAAAAATGTGTTCAAATGCTATGAATTCCAGGCACTGTCCTGATGTTTCTTCAGAATAAAGTTAAGTAGTAAGTAGTTTGTTTCAAGAGAAATGCATACTTAATGTAACACATACAGACGTTCAAGATTTCCAAAATGTTGGTTTTCATTTTTAGGTTTAAGAAGTTTGATCATAGATACTTACGGAAAATCCTCATCAGAAAGAACCTACCCAAATCAAGCATTGTTTCTTTGTACAAGAAGCTGGAAATGAAGCAAGCCATCGAGATGGTGGAGACTGGGATACTGAGCTCTACAGCTTTCTCCATACCCCATCAGTGAGTCATATCTGTTCTTTGTTCTAAACTTTCACTGTCAGAATTCCAAGGGGCGCTGACTCATTGCCTCATTTAAAGGTATACGAGGAGTAAAGAGGCAGAAATATAAAGAAGAAATTATTTTTAAAATATGTAATCTAAGTCTTGGCATTTTTATGGCTTGGCCCAAGCTCACATATTTTACCTAGTTTCTGAAAATTACTTTCTAGCAAATGTTGCTTCCTTAGAGTTGTATGACATCTTTCTTTGGGAGGGAAGGGCAAGCGAATGTGTAGAATTGCAGCATATTTTACAAGACTGTCTCATTTTCCTCTTGACATGACCCCCGTGCATGTGATTCTGTCCTTCCTACCATTATGTTTCTTCCCATAAGCCATTTCTCTTCCTCTTTTACATGAGAGATGAGTTAACTTTCTGAGATGATAACTTGGATTTGGGAAGGAGTGATGAGAGCAAGAGGTGTGGTCATTGGTGGTCTATGTAAAGAGAAAGTTGTGTTTGTAATTGCATCTAAGGCGAAGGTCTACATGAGATTGTGAAATTTGTCTTGAGTCTATGTGAGACCAGCTTGGAGTAGAAGCAGGGAGTTGCCTGGATTCCTGGGGAACAGGGAGTTGTGGAAGCAGGACATAGGGAGGGGTGATACTGGAATATAAACCCATCATTACAAGACGATTTTCTATGCAACGTGGTAGAGCCTCTGGTAGCCACTTGTCCCAAGAGCTGGCTAAATACTTCTTAAAGCTGTTTTAACTCTGACATTTAATGAGAGCCCCTTCAATGTCAAAAGAACTCATTAATTTCCCAAAGATGCCCAGTTTTTCTCCAACAACTGATTTATTGGGAAAATTAATCACAACATATATTTAGGATAAGGAACATGGGCCCCCTCCATCCTGTTGTCTTCAGCAGGTAAAAACACTTGATCATATGCTTCAATTATGTCTTCACATTTAAAAAGGAAGTTGGAAGAAGAGCTAAGAATAGGTAGCAATAAATTTGTCTCTATTGCCTGAGTGTTATTTCTGAGATAACACCTTCATCCCTTGCCTGCTAATAAATCAGAAACACCCTTGCATTTCTTACATGGCCTGAGAAGAATCCTAACTAAAAGTCACTAAGAAATAAGGCAGAAAGCTTTGTATTATACTGAGATAATCCCTGAGGATATCTCAGTATAATACAAAGCTTTCTGCCTTATTTCTTAGTGACTTTTCTTTGAGGGTGGTGGAGGGGTTGTCGGTTTGTTTTGATGCTGCTCATCACATGGCTTTAAGGAAACTTCTGATATTAAAATGGAAAAGTGTTGACAGATATATACTGGCAGTGCTCTGCTGCATCATGGTGGAGCCCCAGGCAAAGGAAACATCAGGCATATCGATCCTCTATTATTTAAAATGTTGATATTATATTCATCAGTAATTTTTTGCATTGACCTTTATATCTATAAATATTGCATTTAAATCTGACTTACCTTAGTTACTGAGTTTTTTGCAACCCCCTTGCATTTGACACCTTTGATCCAATCCTGTCTGTTAAGACACCTCCTATGTGCCAGCCACCTTGAAGCAGACACAGGCCTTGCCCTCATGGACACCATACTCTGGTAGGGTCATGACGTTAACAAAAAAGGCCACACAAACATAATCATAAAGAATAGAGAGCTACGCAAGTCTATGAGAGGTGCACCTCACCTGGGCTCCTTGCCTTTGACCTGCTCACTGAAGGATGAATGCTGATTAATGCAGTTTAGACCATTTCACTTATGTGAGCCCTTGGTTTCGGAAGGTATGGGTGCTTATCTAAATGAGAATCAGTCTGCCGGGTGGCAAAGCATATTTTGAATTTTTGTATTACATTGCATCAGTCATAAGCATTTGCCTTAATTTCTGATCTCAAGGCAATCTTTAAACCAGTTTTATTTGGAGTGGGGGCCTGCCGGTTAAGTCAATTATTTCTTTAGAAATGAATTTAAGATTAGTGAGACAGCCTTATAGGTACGAGATAATTTTTTTTTCCTCGTACACCCCAAGCAGTTAGTTAACTGGGGTGGGAGAGATTTTTTAAAGTTGATATTTAATACATATTTAGTATTTAAATTGCCTTTATTTGATCTCATCAGAAATCTGTAGGACGTCAAGCAAAAAGGAATTCCTCTCCTGAGATCAAAGCAGCTAATTTCTTACCAAACAAACCTTCATACAATAATAGGAAAAAGAAGTGTGTACTCAGCTCGCTTTTTATTATTCTGTATGAGATGATAACAACAAAATGCACAGGTATTTTTTTCTTTAGAAGTTCAAGCAATTGTTCTACAAAAGGTTTAGATTTTCAAATTCTATGACCTTCAGGAGAACACTGCCACTATGGTTGTCTATTTGCACAGTTTGGATGATGTTGATTTTTTGGAATCCCATTGCTTTTACATACATTATCTTATTTGAAACTCAAAGCAATCCTGTGAATAAGTAGAATATGCACTTTGATTACTATCTCAAATATGAAGCAGCTCATCTCACCAGTGAGTGGTAAGCTGTTAGAAATTATCAGAGATAGAGACCCAAGCTGATTAAAAGTGTTGAAGCCTTACACATTTTTTAATTAAAGTGATATTAAAATATAAAATATTTATATATTTATAGGCATAACAAACGTAACAACCATGCAACTTCAAAATGCATTTTAAAACTCCCAGATAATTTTAATGTGTCATTTTTTCAAAAGAGGCCTAAAGTAACTTCATTGTAGTCTAAGAATTTTCTAATGGATTGCACATTGACAGGTATAAATTCACATTTCCACATTCTCACACAGAAGACTAGGATGCAGGTTCTGATGCCATTTTTCACTTCCACAATGGAACACTGTATTTTGAGGAGCAGCATCATCTCAGCCACTCATCACTCATTCCAAATGTTGTTCATCTTGGTGACCTCTGTAAAAACATGCTAAGCAGCTGCACACAGGGCTGCTGGTGGGTTCCACTGTGTGCACCGCAGGCAAGTCTTCTTGTCTTCTGAGCCCACTTTTCCTACAGACTTCACATCTTAGCTGCTTAAAAAAAGATGTGTTCTTCTAAATAAATTCCCAAGTCATATTTGATATCTTGGAACTTCATCCTATGATATGTGTATTCTACTAGATGTTATAGTAGAATTGAAGCTTCTTTTTACATTATTATAGCAACTGACCAAAAGAGAAAAAGAATGAGGGCAGACTGAAGAGAGGTTGATTGATGAGAACAAATATACACTTGGAGAGAAGAAATAAGCTCTGGTGGTTGATAGGACTGTAGGGTAACTATAGTTAACACTAATTGTACATTTCAAAATAGCTAGAAGAGAATGATTTGAATGTTTCTAACATAAAGAAAAGACAAAAATGTAAGGTGATGGATATCCCAATTACCCTAATTTAATTATATGAATGTATCAAATTATCACATACACCCCAAAACTATGTACAACTACTATGTATCAATATAAAAGATAAGTAAGAAGAGTTATGGGAAAGATGAACGTTATATTCAATATACGTAGGTTCAGATTTTTCCAGTTTGATTGAAATTATTGCAGAACTTTTATTTAAGGTGATGAAGATCTCCTTTATGGATAATGAATGAATGGTCCAGTGACAAGAGTCTTTTGGTTTATAAGTTGACTTGATATAGAAATGATCACTCATTCAGTTTTTCTAAAGCTGTATCTCCTGTGTTTGTGCTGTGAGTATTTCAGGGACGATTTTGCTAATGAAGTGGCATGAAGAAAACTCCAGGTATCACCTTGCCCAAGGGAATCAATTCTGTAGCTGTAGAATGATAGCTGATATAATTCCATAGCTGCGGCTTCTCAGTGTGGCTCCATGAAGGGAAATGCCTTTGGGATACCTGGAGCACCCATTCCAGCCAGAGCTTGAATGGATTTTAACTAAGTTCGTCCCCCCCAAAGTGGTCAGTTATAAACTGGGAAGAGTGCCAAGTTACAGCTACTGCTATATCAAGTGTAACTTTACCATTTCCTTTATCAATGGTTTTCCCTATTAGGTTGTTTCATAATGAACACATAAATGGAACTATTTGACTAGCTGTTGTTTCTGCTTAGCAGTACATCACATTCACCACATTAAAGGAATGTGTTCAGATTGTGGAAGTGTGTGGGCATATCTAAATCAGAATAAATGTTATGTGAAGGACATTTAAACAGTTAGGTTTAAATGCCCTGATAATAATGTTTAGATCACCAAGGGTGGTAACTGTATATCAATAGAGGTGGCATTTGCAGCTTTACGATATGGAAACTGATTTCGATCAGTTTATAGAGAGGACATTAGTCAGTCTACAGATAGCATTGCTAAACAAAATCCAGGCTTGCTGTGATATTCAGTATCCAAGTCCTTTAATATCTTTTATCAAATGTACATTACTTTTAAAATGTCTTCACTATTTATGGCTGTATTGCTACTAATGTTTTGAAAAATACTTAAAAGGTGGCCTGTATTAAAACTAATAAATACTCATGTCTGTGGCCAATTATCTTAAGAGCATATGCAAGCAGATATCAAAGGCTTCAGTGCCCTTATGCGTTCAAAATTCAAAAGAGCTGAGGCTAGAAACAAACAAACAAACAAACAAACCCATTAAGGTTTATATCAAGATGTTAAGGAAGGTGATAGTATTAAAAAGGGAGTTAATTATTTTTAGTTCTCTCCTTTTTGTTCTTATGTTCCACATGGAATATATATTATTCATGTAATACAAAGTTTTTTAAAATTACTGCCACTAGATTGTAATCAAATACATTTGTCACATGATCATTCTTCCCCCAGCAATGTCAGGACTTTATAATCCCCAGAGGACAATTGTGCATTGACTACTAACCTGGGCACAGGCATAACCCGTTTTTTAATCCCTTTCAGAGGTGGGAAGGGGTCACAGTGTATAATATCTTAGAGCTGGGCTGGCTTTCATGGTATAAATGGTCTAATTGCCCTTGTAAAATGTGATTCTGGTTTCTTCAATTATTTCTTAACCAAAGATAAAATCCCTACAGATACAATTCCAATATAAATGTACTCATGAAACTAATATTCTATTAGATAAATGCTAATCAAAATGTGGTGTGTAGATGGTATTAATCTGTGAATTGCTTGTCACCTGTCCTCAATGAGATAGGTAAGTACAAAACTAGCAAAGAGTTTGTCTTTGAATGAATCATTTTTTTTCTGTTGCATTTAACGGTAAAATATTTGGATTGCATGGTATGGTATCATTTTCTAACAATTGATTTTTATTGTGTTGTACAAACATTTCAGTCTATAACAGATTTGGAGGAAAAAAATAACTTGTTACCACTTTAGACCTTTTTAAAAAAATGGGTTGGAATAATTACCATATATAAGCTATAGCCAAGGGAACAGTATTTTCAAAACCTGAAGTCAAGACATGTGTTTTGACATCAAACCAACTTACTAGAACAATAGGAAAAATTATATGTAGGATTCTGGAACTTAGGATTCCCCTCAGTACAGAGCAAGGCCCACTGATAGTTTTGTGGCACCTCTTGCCAAATGAAAGAATAATGTTTGTCTCTTCTCCAATAATGATTCCAGGGCCCAGAGGATACAAGGAATCAAAAGACTTTCCCCTGAAGATGTGGAGTCCATAAGGGACATTCTGACATCCAACATGTACCAAGTTCGGCAAAGGGTGTGTATGAGCCACCTGTGTTGTCCCCATTTTCTGTCCTTGAAAACAGTCTCTGAAGGGGGAGTCTGTTGATGTTCAAGTCTCCTGATGTTCACGTCACCCTCTGTAAGGTGGTAACTTGCTGAATATTTTCTCTCTGCTTAGTTTGGAGAATAGAAAGTTAATTGTCATGTTTCTGCTGCAAAATTGGTACCTGTGACATAAAAAGAAATGCAAATCTAGTTACCGTCTCTAGGGGGCAGGCTGCCCTAGCCCTGCAGCCTGGTGCTGTCCAGAACTAGCAGGTCTCTGTAGAGAAGCACACACACCACACCACAGAACAAAGATGGCACCAGGATGCTGATCACAGTGCAGTTGTCCCAATTGTATTGACTATAGTAAAGATGAGAAAGTTGAGATAGTTTAGGTTACAATATTGAAACTCTAATTTATAATGAATAAATGCCTGAATAAAAGGAGACATCTTATTTCTCAATTTTGGAACTAGGTATGAAATCTCTACTAGTCCTTGGGACCTGGTCCAAAGTGCATACTAAGAAGATTTCTGAGGACACTGGATGAATCTTTCTGAAACTTTGACTTAGTTAAATAATATTCCATTTAATTAGTCATCTAACGAAGTCATATAATGACAAGTTTTTTCAAGTTTGAGGATTTGATCATCCATTTTAATCCTAATACTTGGGTGTGATTGGAAATGAATTCATTTTGAGGGCCTTTGGTTTTGTGACTGTGTCGTTGATCATAGTCTTAATGAAACTAAAACAAAATCACCTAGGCAAAGCTCCCCATTTTCAAAGAGAAGATGCTGAGGTCAGTGGAGTTGGTTATCTGACTTGTTCAAGGTTACAAAACAAATCCAGGTTAAGAACACAGGTTTTCTACCCACCCACCCAGTGCTCTTTTCATGACTCTGGACTTATATAATCCAATGAAAGTGATTGTTTTCTGGTCTCCTGTTTCAACTCAAAGGTCAATGATTAAGAGGAATGTGTCAGTGAAAGGCTCTGCACCAGCTGGAGGAATACAGGTCAGCACTAATGGTAGTGCGCTTAGAGTAAATTCCATGGCTTTCAAATCATTCCAAGTGAAACTGTTTCAGTAAGACTATCACATCCTGCCTTAGATAAATAATAGATAACAACTTCCTGGTTTGAAAAATGTGGCTAGCTTAGTGAGAGCCAGAACCCATAGGGTACCTGGTACTCAGCCTTTTCCCTATGTGGATGAAGGCCAAGTTTAGGGAAAGGTCTAGAAACGGAGATGGAGATCCTAGGACTCTAATCCAGTCTCAAATAAGGTCAACTGCTCATCCTTTCTTTTCTTCCTTGGATGCAGTTTCCAAGATAGCATCCTTTGGTCTTTTTTAGTAAGTATCCTACTCATTCTGCTTTCCAGTGTTCTACTTTCTAAGCCATACAGCACCTCCCTTCCTCATTGCCCTCGAATTAAAGCACAAAGGCCTCTTTCCATTTAATAAGTTTATTGCTGATGACCTTGGGAGCCAAATGGGGAGAACACAATTGATAAACAGAGGGCAGTTACAAGCCTATGAGGTGGCTTTTTGACTCTGCTTTGCTTACTCCGTAAGTCAAACTCACCAGTCCTACCCCTTCCCGTCTTCCTTTCCTTACTCAGCTTTACAAAGGTCATAAGAATTCTCTCTTCCACCATGGTCCTCTTGATCTCTTGAAGGAAAAGTCTACCTGAAAATGCAACTCAGGACAATTATACATTTACTCTGTTTCTAGCAGACAATCTACATTTTTGAGGAATGTCACAAAGGGTGTACATTAGCCATCCTGCACTCTCTAGCCTGGGTGATAGATGCAGGCCTGGTAGCCAGGGCATTTCTCATTGTTCACATCTTGAAAGAGGCCATCTTGGGCGTCGGGATTTACCTCAGAGCAGGACCAGGATGAATGCAGAGTTTGACTCTGGGCGACCCTAATGCACAGTTGATCCGAAACTGAGCTGGCCCTGCTGGGTCTGTTGCTCCTAGGAGGACTCCAGCCAATTCTGTTTGAAGTCCTTCGACTCAGTACACCCAGGACAGAATCTTCATGGGTGGAAAACTTAAGGGACTCACCTCTGGAGGTTCCCGGTAGGACAACCACAGAAGAAGCTCTCTGAAACACAGTGGGGATGGAGATTGAGAAACACTGTTACTAATCTTACAAGAGAAGAAACTGGCTTCAGCCCAGACCTCCAGGATAGGTCACAGATTGATGGGTGATTCCCGAGTAGCCTGGATAATCAGATCACTCTCAGAATTTCTACATACTTTCAAAGGAAAAGAGCAATTTCAGTTTCCTTTAGCAAATAGTTAATACACATCTAGAATGCACCGGGCATCAGGAACACTGCACTGAAAAAGACAAAGTTCATTCTCCTTTAAGGCTCAAGGTCCAGTGGGAAATGCAAGCTCCACTATAACACAGAAATGGAGGGAGAGGAGCGAAGACACTTGCATGGACATTATATGCATAGAGCCTTCTATGCTCCCTGCAGATAGGCAAAATAGAGAAGCACGTGGGTCATGGGAGGTTATGGGAGGTGAAATGGAAGCCAAATGTCCAAGTGTTCCTTATAAAGTGCAGCCTCCTCCCAAGTCTAGGTGTAGGAAATCCTACTAGCAATACATTGTATGTATACAAACATGCACACACACACACACACTGAATTCAGTTTTGCATGATTTTAAAACTGATAAACAATTGTAAAAGTTTGTCTCTATATTCTTAATTCTTGTGTTATTTTTCACGACAGTGTCATGTTACCATTTTTTAATATTTCAATGTATAAAATGCACATAGGTTGAGGTGTATCATTACTAATGATAGACAAGAATTCATATTTCAAAATGTCTTCAAAATTCAACTTCTTGGGGCAAATTCTTGTCAGATCTGTTAATTTGCCAAAAGTGGATGATAAAGAGCTTCCATTGGGAGAAGGAGAAAGTTGGATTTACCCCTCCCTCACTGTTCCCTTGGCCTTCAGTTTATGCCTTCTTTTCTTTTCCCTTGGAGACAGTTGTCAGTCTCACTCTGTCACCCAGGCTAGAGTGCGGTGGCATGATCATGGCTCACTGGGGCTTTGACCTCCTAGACTCAAGCGACTCTCCCACCTCAGCTTCCTGAGTAGCTAGGACCGCAGGTTCACACCACCACACCCAGCATTTTTTTTTTTTTGTATTTTTTGTAGAGATAGGGTTTAGTCATATTACTCAGGTTGGTCTCAAACTCCTGGGCTCAGTGATCCACTTGTCTTGGCCTCCTGAAGTGCTAGGATTACCAGTGTGAGCCACCTTGGCAGTCCAGTTTACACCTTCTTTACAACACTATTTTTATACAATTATCTATTTTGTGAGGGTTACTTTAGTTAATAGCTAATGGAAACCATAAATCTACTTAACTGGATGCACATATACTGAAACACAAACAATGAACTGCAAGCCGATGAAACCGATGAGGATGCCATTGTCAATCCCTTGTTGACTTGACCGTCTCATGTATGGACTCAGTGAGGGCCCATTATAAATTCATACATTAAGTACTAATAGAGCTTAATCTGTTTTGTATTTGTTTGGATAAAAATCAATAGAAATAGAAGTATCAGTATTTTCTTTCTCACCCTGTGGGGCATCTTGTGGCACTTTTTGGAGTGTGTGCACCCTCCTAAAAAGCACATGACCTGGAAAATGGAGCCTCTACTCCTTGGCAGGCTGCCTGTGGCCTGGCCGCAGCCCCTCCATGCCCCTCCAGTCTCACCTCTCACACACTTTGAATGAAGCACCCCATTCTTTTATGGTAACAGACTCATTCCTGGCTCTTTTCCAGCACATCCTCTGACTGTTCTCTCACCTCTAAGGTGGTTACCAGCTGATGTCTTAGCTCATGTGTTTTCTCTTCCTGGAATTTATTCCCAGGATAACACTCACTCATCTTTCAAGACTCATCTCAGTACACTGAACCTTTCCCATCCAAGACTGGATGAAGTGCCTTTTGCCTGTACTCTATGACCCCCGATGATCCCAGAATCTTATCACTTAGCTGCACGCATAGCATCTTATCCCTATTGATTTGACTTCTCCAGGAAACTGTAAGCCTTTTGAAGACTGTAATTCTAATTTACTCACTTATGTAATCCTGTGCCTTCCACAGCACCTGGCACATAGAACATTTTCTCTATTGAAGTGAAACTGACTATCCCTATTACAGCATCCGTCACTTGGGAGGGAGAGCCCCTGCTGTCCCAATCCTATCATCCTCCAGGACTTTGTGGTTTATCAGTGCATACAGTGTGTCACCTACTGACCCCTGGCAAACTGAGCATTTGCTGGTGGACCTTTAGTGAGCACCAGGAGGGAGAAGAAATTTCAGTTAAGCATTTTGCAAACATCTGTCTGAGGACTGACTAATGTTGGCCTAGGGTCCATGACAAGTTTCCACTGGTCTGGGGTAAAGGACAAGGAAGACATTCTCATAAAGCTAAATTGATTCAGTTTGAAGGACTGTTTTTTTTAAATCTCAAATTATGTTCTTCCTGTGACTTTGGTTAAGAGACTTTCTTCCTGAATTGATGATAATGGTGATAGGAATTGTGTGTGTGTGTGTGTGTGTGTGTGTGTTTGTGTGCTTGCGTGTGTAGGTATCCTTAATTGGCAAAATTAAAAACCAAGAGCCTTATGGAAATTCCCAAAGTAGTTTAGATATTTTCCTTTCTTATTAAATTCACTGGCCTGGCATCAAAAACATGACCTGGAAAGGAAAGTGTATGTAAGGGGCAGGCCAAGTCTGTGGGTAACTAAGAGAAAGACCTCTGTAAGGGTTAGAGCAGAAGGCAGAGGCTCTAGCCACAGCTCCGCCCTGAAAGCAGTGACCTGGGGTCATAGACTTTTCTTCTTGGCGCTGAGGCTTGTTCATTCGTAATCAAGGCAAATGCTTAGCTGACCTCCAAGGTGCTCACCTGTTCTCCTGGTCTTAGGTTCCTGATGTTTCCATGGCTTCCTTGGCTGAAAGTTGTATGGAGGAGTCCTTACGTATTTGACATTCCATTTTCTCTGCAGACCCTGTCCTACAACAAATACAACCTCAAACCCCAAACAAGTGAGAAGCAGGCTAAAGAGATTCTGATCCGCCGCCAGAACACCTTAAGGGAGAGCATGAGGAAAGGTCACAGCCTGCCCTGGGGAAAGCCGGTACATTGGGGCTGGGGACTGGGACATTCCTTCAGTGTGCAAGTGTTTGTCATCTGCTGAGCCTGTTCCTGTACAGGATCTCACATGCATGACCATCGATGCTTAAACAAACAAAACCCCACCTTGTTACCTGAGAGATACTAAAGCAAGAGTGCAGGACACCAGAGCAACCTTTTTCTCTGGGTTCAGGGCCCCAAGGCATCTGCCCATAGGGTGCTTCCCTCCACAGTGGGTCAGGGACTGCCACACACTTGGTGTGCTATGAGTCCAGACACAGACCTTATGGTGACCAGGTACTGACCATGCCCTTCAGTCCTCATGGTCAGTACCTGGTCACCATGGGGTCTGGGTCTGGACCAGACCCTCTGATCCCAGGATGCTTACTTCTCTCCCAAGAAGGTATAGGAAGGGATTGGTTGTTACCAAGACTCCTGGGTCACCTTCACATCAGCCACTGTGTTCCTGCACTCTTCCCATTGGAGGCCATAACAAACCAGTCTTACTGGCAATTTGAATGGAGGCTGGGTGAGAAGCAGACCTTAATCTCAAGCCTAACCTCAGTGGGGATACGAGAGTAACTTTGAAAGGTTGCTAATGGTCTATTTTATCATGAGAGGGGAAGGAAATACATGTTGGAGACTGGCGTGTTCTGCTTTCTCAAAACAAAAAAACTAAAAGCCAGTAATCCAAACAAGATGCCACAGAACAGGTCTGTGTTCTTCCCCTTATTTTATTATATTAGTTTTGAGACAGAGTCTCGCTCTGTCACCCAGACTGGAGTGCAGTGAGTGGCGCGATCTCAGCTCACTGAAACCTCTGTCTCCCGGGTTCATGCGATTCTCCTGCCTCAGCCTCCTGAGTAGCTGGGATTACAGGTGCCCGTCTCCACGCCCTGCTAATTTTTGTATTTTTAGTAGAGACGGGGTTTCACCATGTTGGCCAGGCTGGTCTTGAACCCCTGACCTCAGGTGATCCGCCCTCTTCTGCCTCCCAAAGTGCTGGGATTACAGGCGTGAGCCACAGTGTCTGGCCCTTTATTTGCCATGTGAAGCTCTTAATTGAGACAGCTTATTCTGCTTTTTCTTTCTACTTGCTACCCACAGGCTGGCACCAAGAATATCCGCTACCTCTCCTACCCCTACGGGAATCCTCAGTCTGCAGGAAGAGACACAAGGGCTGCTGGGTTCTCAGGTAAGCTGCCCACCTGGCTGCTCTGCTGCTTTTCTGTAGAGTCAGGTGGTAAATATCTGGGGGTGTGGGCCAAGAGGCAACATTAAGAACATTATGTAGGTTACTTACATGATAAGAAAAAGAAGAAAACAACTTCTTTTATAGTTGAAACTCGGAACTTTGTTTATGAACACTGAAATTTGAATTTCGTATAATTTTTACTTTTCATGAAATATTATCTTCTTTTAATTTTTTTCAGCCCCTTAAAAATGTACTAACCATTTGTAGTTGACATGCCATACACAAAGAGGAAGTAGGCCAGATAGAGACCAAGGGTCATAATTTGATCTCATCTTGAAGAAATGTGAAAGGAGTGTTTCATTGAAGTTCTAATATTCACCCACTATTTAAATATGAGCAGAGTTCTCCAAAGCTGGTTTAATTTCACTAAAATGATTTCACCAGATTTACTGATTAAATGTTTTCCATTTAATATTTAATTATTAAGTGGAATTCTTAGAATTATTGAAACTTTATTATTCTAATAAAAGCAGTTACTATTTTTATATGTGTATAAAATGATTTGCTATTAGCAAAAGGTGACATAATATATGTAATATGCCGTGTTATCTATTTTTATTTTCCTAATTTTTAAGTGTTAAAATCATGTTGGAAATTCACGTAAACTAAACATAAAGGATTTTAGTATTTAACCTTTAAGGAGTATATGTAATTACCTCAAAATGAAACTTTTTTTCTGATTTAAAAACATACTTGATACAAAGTCAAAATCATTCAGTAGAGAAAAGCATAAAAAAAGTTAAAAGCATTTGCAACCCTAATGCCAAGGTATGATCACCATAGAATGTTTTGGTGAGCACCCTTCTAGAATTCTTCCTATACCTGCCTGATCCCACACTACCCATACTGACACCTCCCTCCACAAAAAAATCACAAAAACATTGCATCATATGATACATAAAAGCAAAGTATAGTCATTGTTTTGCAATCTTTATAAATTGCCTAGTTCACTGAACAAATGTTGTACCTAGGTTTCCATGTCAATAGATGTGGATCTAATACTCATTTTTAATGAGTTAATAATAATTATATGCATGTACCAAAGCTTATTAAGCTAATTCCTAATTAATAAATACTTAAGGTATTATCAACTTTTAATAAATATAAACAATGATACATATTAAGGGCTCTGGACCACTTGTGATTGGTATTTTAACAAATAAGCAATTACTCCCTTAGTATATTTTCCTAGAAGTAAAATTTTGAGGTCAAATTCATATAGATTTAAATTTTTACATATATTGTCAAAACACCATCACAAAAGATTATATCACTAATTTGCCCTCACAACAACAGTCTGTAAGAATGATCTTTTCCTAATACCACTGGGATGTTGTCAAACTTTTGAGTAATCTGTGATATCGTAGCATAAAATTTATATGTCAGATTTAATTTTCATATGAATCTCTTTGATTTTTAGTGAAGTTGAACATCTTTCACATTTTGGAAACAATGATATTTCTTGGGGTGAAGTTTTCTGTTCCTGCCTTTGCTCGTTTTTTGTTTTGTTTTTTTCTATTTGGTTGTTGATTTTCTTGAGATGAATTTGAAGAACCCTATATAACAAGGATATCATCCATTTTATCTCCTATATGTTGCCAACGATTTTTTTATTTTTTTGAGATGAGTCTCTCTCTGTCACCCCGGCTGGAATGCAGTGGAGCGATCTTGGCTCACTGTAACCTCTGCCTCTTGAGTTCAAGCGATTCTCCTGGCTCAGCCTCCCGAGTAGCTGGAATTACAGGCATGTGCCACCACACCCGGCCAATTTTTGTATTTTCAGTGGAGACGGGGTTTCACCATGTTGGCCAGGCTAGTCTTGAACTCCTGACCTCAGGTGATCCCCCTGACTCAGCCTCCCAAAGTGCTGGGATTACAGGCGTGAGCCACCGAGTCTGGTCGATAGTTTAATTTTTTTAAACCATCTTCCTGGTACAAATAACCTGGCACTATTTTTGTTATTTGAGTGAGAAAACAAGAAAGTGTCACAGTTCTTTCTTTTTTTTTTTTAATTTAAATTTTTTTAGAAAAAAATCTTAAAAAGGGACAGGGTCTCCCTATGTTGCCCAGGCTGATCTCTAACTCCCGGGCACAAGGGATCCTCCTGCCTCGCCTCCTAACATGCTAGGATTATAGGTGTGAGCCACCATGCCTGGACGACAGTTATTTCTTAAGAGATGAGCATCAATACTGCATGCCTATGGTAGCAGGAGATGACCACGGAGCAGATTCATTTGAACAAATCTTAAATAAGCATTATAAACAAAATACAGCAAAACACTAAAGTACAATACACCTTGCAAAGTGGGGTTTATTCCAGAATTTGAGAGTTGTTTAACATTTGGAAACATACATATATTATTCACTAGACTGATAAATAGGTCACAGGATCCTAACCTTTTAATGGATGTCCTCACTAAAGGATATCTCAGTCACACTTTCAGTCAAAGCCATAAAATGCCAGGAAGAAATAGACAGGATATATATGAAGGAAAAATAAAATTCTACTTCTCCACACTGTCATTTCCGGTCTATAAAGAGGATGATATTGGTTCCCTCCATATGCAATTGTATTGTCCTGATGTGAAGCCAGTCTCATACATGCAGGATACGCATATGAACAGGTACATAAAGCTGCTAGAGCAGAGTCTGGAACCAAGTAGATGTGCAAGAAATATTAGTCATTATTACTATTACTACTTAGGGACTTAAAGAAGCCTTGACATGGGTAAATACAGATGTTCTTGGAAAGAAAGACAACACTTCACCATGTCAGTTCTACATGAATTACTTCAGACTTGGAATGAACTGTTAGTCCCAATGATTTCTTTTCTTTCAAATATACTCGACTGGTTCTAAGTTTCATCCAGGTGAACAAAGACAGTGGTTAAACTAGAAATCTGAGGGAAAAGTAATGAAATAGCACTTATGTTAGCAGTTTTCTTTAATAAGTTTTAAAGATGGGAAATCAGTGCTCTGCAATATGTTATGGGTCATATGTCTGCAGGATTTTAAATACTTGTTCTTATTTGTCATGGAAACTTATGCCTATTTATGCAGACTCATTTCTGGCTTGCTTGGAATTAACTCTACTGTGAATAATTTGTCATTTCTGTGGTTACGATTTATGAAAAATAATAAACCATGATACATTTAAAAAGGATTATAATAGTGATCAGGATAAGGCTGAGATAGTCCTCAATGTGTAATCAAGCACAATTGATCATTGGAATCCTTCTCTCCAAACCCAAAGTCTTTCTGCACCAGGAGAATGGCTGGAGGGGATCTAGGGGAGACAGTGGAGAGTCATGTTCTGCAGGCAAGCAGTCCCTGGCTAACCCACCTGAAACTTGGAGAATGCTTCCCTTCCTAGCTCTCCCCTTGCCCTCCAGGGTCAGGACTTTTCTTGTTCTGGATGTCTTGGAGCTCCATGCTGGTTTGGGGGACTTCACATGCTTTTCCAGGGCTCTTTTGCCTTTAGGGCTCACTTGGTGTTATAACTAGAGAGGTCTTGACTGGAAACCTCTTATATGACCTGAGGCTGCTTAGAATCCATGTGCATCAAGGCAGATGAAAAAGCTCTGGAGATGAATGGTGGCAATGGTAACACGACAATGTGAATGCACTTCATGCAATGAACTGTACACTTATTTATAGTTAGATGAAAAAAATGGTTAAAATGGTCAATTTTATGTTACGTATATTTTACCACAAGTTTAAAAAATGTGGAGGTGGGGAGTGTTGCACTCCGAGTCTGGGTGTCTGAACAGTGTATCCTGCATCAGGTAGTTCATCCTCTGTGTGTTGGGGCCCGCCCTGCGCTGAGCAGAAGCACCTTCCTTATTTCTCCTTTCATGCCAGGGTGCCCATGTCCAGAAGTTAAGGCTTTTGGTCAGGTGGGAGGTAAAAGAACACATACTCAGATTTTGTTGCCAAAGTATCCACTGCTCTGCCTGGAACTGCACTACCTGGGTGCCCATGTGGAGGAGAGTTATGCGAAAAGGACAAAACACAGTCCTCACTCTTCCTTTTTCTGCCTTCTGCTTTCCAGCCAACTTATTCCTTCAATTTTGGGCAGCTCTCAGCCGAGTGAAACTTTGCAAGTCACATACCCATGCCTCTTCCTAGAGCTTGGAGTCCACTGTAAAATAACCCAGAGGGTGATCAGGAAACCAAAACAGTGACCAGGGTCTGTCCACTGATGGAGCACTCAACAGGAAAGGTTGGAGTGAAAGAACAGGGTTTGGGGGCAGAAGCCTCCAGGCCATTGTTTCCTTAGCTAGTGCTTCAAGCACCAAGGATCCAGAGGAACTGGTCCCAGGCCTTGTTGTAGAGAACATGTTAAAGGAGAGTCAGGGAAAAAAAATGGACAGATATATAGATATATTAATTAATGTTTTCTTTATTGAAAGAAGTTGGTCTCCTTTGGCCAATTTCCAAGTTAGCTTCTTAGTATAATTTGGTCACATTTTAGAAAAACATTATTGAACAGGATATTTTAAGATTTTCAGGTGTCCCACATTCTAAATACATTTTTTCAAGTGTAAATCTTTGGGCATATTCATTCTAGATATGGAGTTTTTGTTTTGTTTTTTTAGGAGGGAGAATGAGAGAAAGAACATGGCTTTCAGATTTAAATATAAAATACCTAAATTCTTTTTTTTTTTTTTTTTTGAGACGGAGTCTTGCTCTGTCGCCAAATCTGGAGTGCAGTGGCGTGATCTCGGCTCACTGCAAGCTCTGCCTCCCAGGTTCACGTCATTCTCCTGCCTCAGCCTCCCGAGTAGCTGGGACTACAGGTGCCCACCACCACGCCCAGCTAATTTTTTCTAGAAAATACCTAAATTCTTAGGAGAATTTTTAAAGGGAAAATAAATTTATAAGGCTAAGACTTTGAAGAAGTGAGAGTAAATGATATATGTGAGAAATATTCCTTTGAAGATGTGTGCACATTGAAGTGGGGACAAGACAATGTCCCAGGCATCGGTTAGGGGTCTGGAAGAGAATCCAAGAGGGGACATTGCATAGACAGCTGCTGGCTCCCCTCTCATGAGGTAGCCCTCCCTCTTACACGTGGATACACCAAGGAGACAGCAAGGAGACCTGATGGTAAGAAGTGGATTTGAAGCTGGATAGGCTCTGCTCAAACTCTGGTCCCATATTCACCAGCTTATGATATTGAGTATTGCTTAAGTTCGTGAAACCTCAGCCACTTTACCTGTGAGATTCATAACTTTACTCACCCGAAAGGGCCGCTATGAGGATTCAATGGCATGATATATTTAAAAGGATTAGCACAGTGACAGGCATATAGTAAATTATCAGGAAAGGGAAGTTCCCATCAAGTGCCATTCACAGTCTGTCACCTGCTTAGTCCTCTGAAAGGAGGGCATCCGGTCACGCCCTGGTCTCTGCTGTGGCTCCCTTCTATCCCCCTTTCTCCAGGATTGACTTTTTCTATATCAAAGATTGGAACTCAGATGTAATGCTTTCTGGTAACCACTGATTAAAAAGCAAACCAAGATAAAAGCAACCACTTTCAGATGGCTGCACCACATAACCTGTGTGTAGCATTGGCTTTGGACAAGACCAAGCATCTTTGTGTCCCATGGTTTATGTCTATGGCCAACTGATCTGATTCTGTAAAAAGACACTACCTTACTTACCTGGGGAGACTGGCTTGATACAGCATTTTGCATGCATTTCTATTTATTTATGACACTGCACTTATAGCTTCTGTCCTCCCATCTGCTTGGGGCAGTGTCCTTGAGAAGGAAAAATTGTGCTGATAAGAAAGTTGAGTGTAGAGCTGAAACCTCAGGAAGAGCTTTGCTTCACTCTGAGTTCCTGCCATGTGGATATTAAGTCTTAACTCTGATCTTAAGTCTTGTTCTTTCCCCTTCTTGCCATGATGTTTTCCTAGATGATGACAGCAGTGATCCAGGATCCCCATCCATCACGTTCAGCGCATGCTCTCGGATAGGGTCACTTCAGAAGCAAGAGGCACAAGAAATAATACCAATGAAGAGCCTACACAGAGGAAGGAAGGCATTCAGCTTTGGTTATCAAAGAAACACAAGCCAAGAAGAGTACTTGGGTGGAGTAAGGAGGGTGGCCTTAAGACCCAAACCTCTGTTTCATGCAGTGGATGAGGAGGGTGAGTCTGGAGGGGAGAGTGAGGGCAAGGCCTCTTTGGTTGAGGTTCGGTCGAGGTGGACAGCTGACCATGGACACGGCAGGGACCATCACAGGTCCCATAGTCCTTTGCTCCAAAAAAAATAGTGTTATTGTCCACAAGATTGTTTTGGTGTTTCTCAAGAGTCTGTCTTCCTATAACTGTGAAAGGAGGATTTCTGGAATTCAGAAGAGAGCTATTGAGTTTGCTGTGTTGAAGCTATTAAACATGGATCTATAAGCAGCAGGAAGATTTTTTCCAAGGACTGGGAGCAAACTTGCAGGCTCTGCCATGTACTTATTGTGGGGTACCTTTAGATGAATTCCCTGTGAGTGAGAGAAGTTGATCACCCCAGGAATTAGTCACTAAGAATTCCTAAGAACTTTCTATCAAAAGCATTGGATCCAAGCCATATATTGAAATACAAGCGTGATTAATCAGTAATTCACATTGCCGATATGCATATGCAACTTATAATCAAATAGAACTAGAAGAGACTTTGAAGTCACCTGACTCAGCCCCTTGTGTTTACAGACAAGGACATGTAGTCCAAGGTTGCATGGTGAGTTCACAGTCGGATTGTCCTCCCTCCAAACTGAAACTAATTTGATTTTGATTTCATATTCAATATGCAATAATTATGTTCTATCAGAGATAAAATTTGTTATGAATTTGCTTTATTTAATCAGTAGCAATGATAGATGTGATGCATACTATAGGATTAATCTGTGAACAATGGGTTTACGGTCTATTTCATAATTGAAATATTTATTTTAAAAATGAATATTAGAAACAAAACAGCCATAAACAGAGTTTAATAGCAATGATGTTAACAACAAGTATTTATAAGGGGTGCATTTGTAGGGTGTGACATTTTACCCTAGGGTATAAAACTATTTTTCTTTTATTATTATTATTATTATTATTATACTTTAAGTTTTAGGGTACATGTGCACATTGTGCAGGTTAGTTACATATGTATACATGTGCCATGCTGGTGTGCTGCACCCGCTAACTCGTCATCTAGCATTAGGTGTATCTCCCAATGCTATCCCTCCCCCCTCCCCCCACCCCACAACAGTCCCCAGAGTGTGATGTTCCCCTTCCTGTGTCCATGTGATCTCATTGTTCAATTCCCACCTATGAGTGAGAATATGCGGTGTTTGGTTTTTTGTTCTTGGGATAGTTTACTGAGAATGATGATTTCCAATTTCATCCATGTCCCTACAAAGGACATGAACTCATCATTTTTTATGGCTGCATGGTATTCCATGGTGTATATGTGCCACATTTTCTTAATCCAGTCTATCATTGTTGGACATTTGGGTTGGTTCCAAGTCTTTGCTATTGTGAATAATGCCGCAATAAACATACGTGTGCATGTGTCTTTATAGCAGCATGATTTATAGTCCTTTGGGTATATACCTAGTAATGGGATGGCTGGGTCAAATGGTATTTCTAGTTCTAGATCCCTGAGGAACCGCCACACTGACTTCCACAATGGTTGAACTAGTTTACAGTCCCACCAACAGTGTAAAAGTGTTCCTGTTTCTCCACATCCTCTCCAGCACCTGTTGTTTCCTGACTTTTTAATGATTGCCTAAAACCATAAAAACCCTAGAAGAAAACCTAGGCATTACCATTCAGGACTTAGGCATGGGCAAGGACTTCATGTCTAAAATATCAAAAGCAATGGCAATAAAAGACAAAATTGACAAATGGGATCTAATTAAACTAAAGAGCTTCTGCACAGCAAAAGACACTACCATCAGAGTGAACAGGCAGCCTACAAAATGGGAGAAAATTTTCGCAACCTACTCATCTGACAAAGGGCTAATATCCAGAATCTACAATGAACTCAAACAAATTTACAAGAAAAAAACAAACAACCCCATCAACAAGTGGACGAAGGACATGAACAGACACTTCTCAAAAGAAGACATTTATGCAGCCAAAAAACACATGAAAAAATGCTCATCATCACTGGCCATCAGAGAAATGCAAATCAAAACCACAATGAGATACCATCTCACACCAGTTAGAATGGTGATCATTAAAACTATTTTTCGATTTCATTTTCCATCCCCATCTCCCCAAATTTGACCTTGAATCTCAAATTCCAGCTCTTCAATTTTACTAGATCACTTTATCTTTCCTCGCTTTTTGTCTTCTCTTCCAACTTCCCTTTCTTCTTCTGGCCACCAGTAGGTTAACAAACATTTATTGGGCCAAATAACTAACCTACGATATGCAACTAACCAAATACCCTTTTGCCATCACTGGCATCTGTACCATCCTCAGCTGATTTAATCTTATATGTCATTAAAGGCCATGACCAAGGGCATCCTGCTCCCTAGACCAGCCTTTACCTTCTCCCTTGGTGCCCCCACACCCCTTCGGGTATGCTATGTACCTTATCTGTGAATTATGTCTATGCATGCACACATAGGTCTGTTCTGGTGGTCAGTGGGCTGAAGGACAGGGAGGACAGTTTGTTCATTTTAAATTTTATCCATTTATCTGTTGTGTTTTTTATCTCACCCCTTTACCTATTTTGTATTTTTTGGCTTTTTTTCATCTTTTTCTGTTATCGGTTATCATAGTGCCTCACGCATGGTAGATTGTAAATGTTAAACTGACAGTAGCATTTTAGAGCTGTAATGGACATTAGAAAAGGTGCTGTCAGGCATTTTTATTTTGTAGATGATAAAAATGAGATCTTGAGATGGTCTCTGATGCCAACTCAGAGTTTGTTTTTCCTTGAAGGATGCTTGCTTGTCCTCTAGTATAACCCATGGGTGCTAGTTACTGACTAAAGACACGTGTTTTCTCCTGAATGTATCTTTTTTTTAATGACTTGAACTCATTTTCCTGCTGCAGTGGTAGAAATGCCATCAAAGAAGCCCATTTGTCTTTCTCCTTCCGAACCTGAAATATAAAGCTGCTTCTAAATTGTCTAAATATCTTGATTTTAATAAAAATTATGCACTATCAAATAACAGCAATCAGCCTAAAGGGACAGAAGCACACATAAAACTCAGGAATCTTTGGTTTTGTCCTCATTTTTTTTGTTTGTTTGCTTTGTTTTGTTTTTGTTGTTGTTGTTTGTTTGTTTTATGTCACCCAGGCCGGAGTGCAGTGGCATGATCTCTGCTCACTGCAACCCCTGCCTCCCAGGTTCCAGCAATTCTCCTGCCTCAACCTCCCAAGTAGCTGGGACTACAGGTGCATACCACCACACCCGGCTAATTTTGGTATTTTTAGTAGAGACGGGGTTTCACCGTATTGGCCCGGCTCGTCTCCAACTCCTGACCTCAAGTGATCCGCCTACCTTGGCCTCCCAAAGTACTGGGATTAGAGGCGTGAGCCACTGCACCCAGCCAGATTTTGTTCTCTTTGTTTAAAGAAACAAGCAACAAACAACAACAGAAAAAAACTGTGTCCCATGAAAGAAAGGCAGTGGGCCATTATCCTTGAACTATAGATGGAGATATAGCAGCGGAGAGAAGTCATCAGAATTAACCTTTCCAGTGCCATTAAGAAAATGAACTCTTCAGACCTGAAGCGTCCCCACATCCCTTACTGGACTCTATCCATACAACAACAGAAATCCATTGCAAAGGGCCCTTCCCGGAGCAGCCAGCAAGGTCTAAGAATCAGTGGACTCTATCTAAACTATCCTGTTTTACTCTGAGATGCTGGTGCCATTAAGGTGAGGCGTGGTATGACTTAGTAGAGTAGAACTTTACCTTTTAGTTGGTAGAGGTCATAACGGAGTTGTTTTCCCCAAGGGCATTTGTTCATCTAGACAGACAGACATGGCTGTTCAAGCCTGGAAAGAGGCCCTGAAGCTACTTCCTAAAACTTGTGGCAAGTTGAGGGCCCCCTTGATGCTGTGATGCTGCTGGCTCTGTCAGACATGGAGAGCGCACGGCCAAAATGGCCTCTGTATTTCATCATCCACTATTGTCTGAAAATGCAGTGTGATCTGATCTTCCCTCCATACTCTCTGGAAGGACAGTGCACTTTGGAGATTGGTTGAGTGTACAGCAGCTAGCCCAGGAATGCTCTGATTATCAATTTCACATGATGAGTTTTTCCAGGAGGCATCCAGTAGTGCAGCAGAGGGGATATTCTCTTGAGTGTCAAGGACACCTGGTGCTTCTTCCCTACTTCCCTCTGAAAGGAAATTAAATTGCATTAAGTTTCCTATTTTGAGCCTGGCTTCTGGTACACTAAGCAGTCAAACATTCTCTGCCAATGGACCCAAAGAATTTGTCCTTTTATTTTCAATCTAAAAAAAAATATGCACAACACACACAATCCTAATTTTCCTCTGAGAGTTTTTGTTTTGTTTTGTTTGTCTTTAACTTTCTAAAACCTAGTTGTATTATTAGCCTGAAGGGTCTTGGGTTTCAGTGAATTTCTGAAGTTGAGTAAAATATCATTTCCTTTTATTTTTCCTATATAGTAGCCTTCCACTTTAAAGATTGTCCACACATTTCTGGTGTTTGGGATATGATAAGTGTTCTTATTCATCCTCCTCAAGTCTGACATGATGCCATGGGCACCTCTCCTGTCTTTAACCTACCTGCTAGAACAGAAACATTGGCCTATAAGGGAATCCGCTATGACAAAGTAAAGAATGAGATTCTGGACACTTTACTACATTTCGTTTCCTTTATTCTTTTCTTTCTCTCACAAAGGCTCTCTACTGTGCTTCTCTGAAAAAGTTGAAGGGTCATGGGAGGCAGAGCTGGAATTACTACCCAAATTTCATGATAAAATTACTTTTCCTGTATAAGAGGTGACTACTAAGGCAGAATTCAAGTCTTCAGCCTGGAATGTTGATTTCAGCTTGCAGAGAAGCCCCGTGAATACGGCCTCACCTGTCAAGAAGCCTGCCACTATGATCATTTAGATTTTCAGTAATATAGTTATTTCAAAGCCCAGGCTATGAAATCAGACCGCTTGTAGCTGTGAGACTTTGGGGAAGTTAATTATCATACTTAAGCTGAAATTTATCAATGGATAAAATAGGGTAATAATTTTATCTACCTCATAGAATGATTGTGAGGATTAAATGAAATAATACATGTAAAATTCTAAGCTTAGTTTTTTTTAATAGAAGAGTTTGATCACTATTAGCTATAATTAGGCTAAAGTACATGTGCTTATGAAAGAGGACATAGATTGTTTTAATTATGTGAAGAGGTATAAATAATTGATACTGAGACTTCTGAAAGGTAGCTAGATTGGCAGAAGAGAGGATATTTGAGGGAGCTAGGGAGAAGACGTGACAGAAATAGAGAACATCACCACCTTGATCCCAGCTCTACCTGGACACATCTCTACTCAGCATCCATCAGTCAAGAGCAGACCAAAGATGGGGCCTGAATATGGAGTCACATCTTTCAACTAAAACACAACTTCGTCTTGATTGTTTTTTTTTAGGTCATTACCTCAAATATCAGCAATATTGCTTTTTTATTTGTTTGCTTGCTTGCTTTTCGTATAGATACCCTGGTGTATGGTTCTAATCTTGATTCACTCCCAGAATGACCATGGCATTGCTTCTGTATACTGTGATGGGCACACAATGAGGAAAAGGGAAACCTCTTTTGTTGAGAAAAAACTCAATGGAGTTTAATTCCTCAGTTTGGAATTTCATTTCTATAAGAGACCTTCCCTCCAAAAAAGTGATTCTGTTAACTTGTGAATATTAACTAAAGAGATAAGTGTTTAAGCACTTTTAGTATGGAACAAAATAGTTTCTGGTACATTTCATAATGTTCCAAAATTAGGCAAAGTAAAATATTCTTAATAAATGAAGTCAATGAGTGTGTTGAGGCTGTTTAAGGTTTTTGCAAGTATATTTTATCCACAAATAAAACAGGTGGTTTCTTGTAGTTTTAAATTTTTTTTATTTTATTTTTCTGGCTAAACTCTGTCAAGTATCTCATTTCTAATTCCTCCTGAGAAAACCCAGCAGGGCAGACAGAACACTTCCTTTCAGGACATCAGTCACCGTTAATTGCTAATGGGGCCATAAGCTAAGGAGAATAAAAGAGATGCCTGCATCAGTGCTAGCCACTGCTGTAATTAGCAAGTGATGTGCCCTTTCATCTGTGCGCAATAATTGATTTAATAAATTCTTTTTCTTTCTGAGGCTCTAATGAGCTTCCAAGCCAGGGGTACCCAAGTAAGTGTGGCAGGCTAGAAACACAATTTCCATTGCCTAGTCTTCCTCAAGTTGGGGTTTATTCAACAAATTAACTAAAAACCATGTTGTGGACTGAACCAAAACTATTTCCTTAGTAATACAGATCTCAAATTGAAATAGGTGGTCCTAAAATCAAGGTATATCCTCTGTGTTCTAAGAAATCAATCTTGAATAGAGAAGTGATAGCCAACATTTTTAGAGTGCTTACTATGTGCCAGACACTATTAAAATGCTTTACATACTAGTTTCAGTACATCTGAAATGAAGGGAAATGAGTTTAGAGAGATTAAGTAACAGATCCAAGGTCTCCCTAATTTTAAGGAAGACCTTAGACACCAGGTCTGTCTTGGCTCATAACCACTGACCTAAATTTCCTCCTTGAGCAGAATTGGGAATTTAATAAGTGACTCAGATCTGCACAAAATTCTTTCTTGCTTGGGAAAGATCCAATAGGAAAAAACAGACGCTCCATCTTGCCAAAAAAGAACTTTGCTTTAAAGTGGACATGTAAATACAGTGGAAACTGTTGTCGTTTTGAAAATTTGTTTTTATAAACTTAATGAATGATGTAAAAATTAGATGATAAGCAAGATTGCTAATTTGAGCCATTATGTTTTTGTTTTTGAGGACTTATAAAATGTTCTGGTCTGATTTTAATTGAGTTTCTTTTTGAATTTCAATTATATGTTGTTTCCAAAGAACTTTTTCATGGTTTCCAAATGAGTCCCTGACCAGACAATATCCACAGTTCTTGGCAACGTTGAAACATGAACTATGTTGTTTACTTAGAATGGACACATAAACCAACATTTCCACTGAAGAAAATGGGAGGGGATAAGAAGAATGACTTCAACTTTTTTTTTTTTTTTTTTGTGAGACGGAGTCTTGCTCTGTCGCCCAGGCTGGAGTGCGGTGGTGCGATCTTGGCTCACTGCAAGCTCTGCCTCCCGGGTTCACGCCATTCTCCTGCCTCAGCCTGCCGAGTAGCTGGGACTACAGGAGCCTGCCACCATGCCCGGCTAATTTTTTGTATTTTTAGTAGAGACGGGGTTTCACCGTGTTAGCCAGGATGGTCTCGATCTCCTGATCTTGTGATCCGCCCGTCTCGGCCTCCCGAAGTGCTGGGATTACAGGCGTGAGCCACCGCGCCCGGCCGACTTCAACTATTGAAGCATTCATATAATATTTGCAAAAGAACTTATATTCTTGGCAAGTACTTTGTCAGTAATTGAACATATACTATATGCTCATTTTACTAAGTACTCTATATATACACTTTAAAAATTTAATTCTGATAGCAATCTTATAGAGTAGTTATTATGTTTTTTCTCCCCACTGTACAGAAGAGGAAACTGAGTCTCAGTTAAGTTATCACAAAGGACATACAGCTAGTAAATGGCAGTATCATTTAGAGCAGTCTGACTCCAATGTCACTAACTCTATCCACTAAGCTGTAGTTACCCTCATAACTGTTGTAGAGAATACACTGAAAAAAAGAATATGCTTTTTGCCACCATCATTTGAATTTTAAAGGTTACTTTACCAAACCAGGTAAAATTTAGGTCTTGTTTGACTGCTGCTGCCACAGCTCCAAGGTTCCTTTCCATTTTACCTGATGCTGAAGTGCTAATTCATGCTCACAGAGGGTGTGACCAAATCATTCATTCAGGAGTCTGCGTCTTTGGACAAATATAGTGAAGTGAGGCTATGAGTTATGCTTGAATTAAATTATTTTTATTCAATATTTTTTTTCATTGGATTTTATCTTTGAACTAGTGAAAATACTAGAAATTGGGCCAGTTAGAAACTTTTAAAATAAGGGGTCGCCTAGCACCATGGCCCTGAGCCAGTCTAAAAGGAAAGAAGGACCCATAGTGTTTCATTTATTTTGTTTTCTTACAGCAATTTTTCTGGGTAACTAAGAGTGAGTGAAACTCCGACCCTGGGTTTCACTGGTGTACTCTTTCACCCGTGAAGGCGGCCCTTGTTTTGAGTTTGTGCTTGTCCTGGACCTGGTTCAGGAGGCAGCTCTATTATCTAACTGTGCCATCTTTAAAAGGGGTCGTGTAGATGAGGTTTCGGGGAGGGCGGGTGGTGGGAGGATATCACTAAAGTTCTAAATGAAGTTAAAAAAACAACCAGTCAGAAAGGAGGATAAATGTTTTGTCCTCCAAAAAAGGATATTCTTAAAAGGAGAGGACAAAAGGACAGGTCCTCACCCAAGGACACGCCCATGGAAAGTCACACAGAGCCGGGCAGTACAGACCAGCCCAACACAGGGTTTAGCAAACAATGCTTGCCCTACCCCACCCACATCCCTGGAGCTGAATTTCAAGTTCTGATTTTAGACAATACAGCTGGAATGTCTGCACTTTCACTCCACAACACATGCAGTTTCAGGCAGCTCTCTGGTAAAAAAAAAAACAAAACAAAACATTTGGACAAATATTATAAGAATGAAAATGAAAATTTGAAAAGTAAACTACATCTATGGTGAATTTGGCAATTAAATTCTTCCAGGCAGAATGAACAGAAAATAAGACATTTTGGGGTACCTCACAAGAGGTTTAGTTTCATAATGACTTGAGGAAGTAGGGTGAATTTATTGGAGGAGAAAAGGTACTATCGTGATTAAATCACAACACTAAGCCTTTTTGGTATTTAAGGGAGGCTCAGGAAACTTCCATACACAGGAAGATAATTTTACATTTGATAAATTATTTGCAAGGCTTAGAGTCCTGTCCAGTGTTCTCTATAAGACTATAAATGCTTTGGATGCCAGACATAAAGAAAGCTCTGGGAAAATGTTGCTTCATTAATGTGTCCTGTTTAGTCCTAAGATCTAAATACCTTAGAGCAATGGTTAAACCTTGGTTTAGCACTACAGGGTCAGTTCTTCCAGACTTCTGAACTATCTCCAGGATTACAGTAAATGTAGTTTACCTTGCAGTAGATGTCTTTCCAATAGGCATTAGCCTCACCTGTCTGGGGACAACCCTATAGCCTCTTCCTTCAACAAGGCAATATTTCTGAATCAGCAGATGTGGGGTGGAGTATTAGCTCTATTACTTAGCAGTTGTGTGATATTGACCAAAGAAGTCGGTTCCATGTCACTGAACTGGGGATAACGACATCTACTCCATCTAACTCATGAAGTGGTTGTGAGACTTGGATGAGGTCAAGAGTTTATAAACTCTGGAGTATGGAGCCCTCTTTCTGTCTTGAGCAACCAGAAACATTTTTGTGCCTATGAAAGAACTTAAAGAGGAAATACAAGTGGTTAAGAGCTGGAGTACAGGAGTAAAACAGACCTGAATTTGAATGCTGTTTTGCCGTTTTGTAAAACCTTACTCAGACAATTTGCTTAACCCTTCCAAGCATTAGCAGAGTGTTTGACACATAGTTTAGTGCACAGTAAATGTTAGTATTACCATATTGATGGTTTTAGATAGTTTTGTAGTTAAAGGTGTGTTAAAGAAAAAATTATTCAATTACACTTGTTAAGGCACAGTAAGGAAGACTTCATTTGGGAGAATCAAGATAGATATAGAGACCACTGTAATGAGATTTTGCAGTGAGAAACAGAGATTGAGTCCACTCTGATTACAGCACTGGCAGAGTGGGAGTAATTGAATGGGAAATTACTAAGAGGAAACATCAGGGGTAAGGGGGATTCTGGCCAAACCAACCTAACAGTACTCTTGCTGAAGACAGGCCAGGGTAATCAGTCATCACCTGGGGGATGGTGGAGGAAAAGACCCCAATGAGATATTGAGGGTAATCAGACATGATGGGGCTGGGGGTGGTGTTTCTTGCTAAACTGACTTAGAAGGGTTCTTTTCTAAAACAGATTTTATAAGGAAGTACACAAACGGGCCTTGGAGAAGGTTCAGCCTCTGCCTAATGTTTGGTCAAGCAAAGAATCTTTGGCACGTGTGGGCTATGGAGTCAGACTGTCTAGATCCTGTGAAAATATATTTTTTAAAAAAGATAAAATCATGACTCTCAAATAGAAGATGAACACTTGTCAAAGATTATATTCAACTCATTAATTGAGAAAACCAATATGATGTTTCAAGCAGTTTGAAGGCAAATTCAAAATACCATTTATAGACAATTGGGAATGCTAAAATTAACTTACAAATAGATGCAAAACAAGCTTTTTGCATGATGGGAGGGGAAATCAAAAATTGTCTCTCCACCTGATAGAACCATTTGTATGTCTATGAACAAGAATTACTTCCAATGCCAACAGTTTTCTATAATTTTCAGAGTTATAATTGGCTGAAAGACAACAAAATAATTCATATAAAATGAAAGACTAAAATGGCAGTGTTTGGAGCAGATTTAAGTTAGTCTAGAAATCAGAGAAAGTGAAATCTTTTGATACCTTAATGTTGTGAACTTAAATTTTACTTTTGTAAAAACTGTGGGGAAATACTACCACCCAGAAAGGGCCAGTTCCTCTGGCAGAGGGGTGAGCCTCATCTGGATTATTGCCTAGTGCTCAATTTTGCATCTCATTCAAATTTGACTCCTTTGTGCTTTCAATACATTTGACCCTTAAGGAATCCACTTAATATACTGATCCAACTATTTCTTAAGAATAAGATCATCAATGGCCTTCATTTAATTATTACTAACTGTATCAACAAATGCCGTGGGATTCAGTTCGTTTAAGTTGTCTATTTAAATATCATTTTTACCACATGAATTGTATTATGTATTTATGTTTGCTTCTAAGATATGCCCGGCTTTTGCAAAGCTGTCTAAAATCAACTGAAAAGTTTTTCTTTTTTGTTGTTCAGATTGTTTGTTTTGATGTATTGGTAATAGAACTCATTAGACTATGGGACCTTAGACAAGTTACCATAGCTCTTTGCATCTTTATTTATTTTATTGATGTATAAAATGGTGACAATAATGTTACCTCTGATGTTAAAAAATAAAATTTATGTAAAACCCCAGGCAAGGAATCTACTGAACACTAATTTTTAAAAAATTGCTGCCCTTCCCTCTATGTCTCTAGGACGTCTGTGTGTGTGTGACTGTGTGTGTGTGTATAAGAGAGAAAGAGAAAGAGAGAGAGGCAGAGGGAGAGAGAAATGAAGGCACTAACAATATTTTCTTTGTGTAACTTGCTCACAGAACTCTGAGATCTTCCTTGAATGAGAGTTCTATGTGTACCTCATGGCCCTGTTGGGATTAGGTGTGGAATAGGAAAGGAAGATAGACATGGACAATTTGCCCCACAGTTCCTAGTGAGAGGGAGCTATTGTTGACAGTATTGACAAAACTTAATCAATGTTGTCCTGATTGTCTTTTATATCTTTCAAGACAAAACACAAATAACATAATAAGGCAACCCACAATGGACACTTAAATGGAATCAATGCCACTAGCTTGGTGTTCTGCCTGAATGCACAGGAGAAAACATTTGAATGAGATGCAAAATTCAACAGTAGGCAATAGTCTGGATGAAGCTTATCCCCTTCGCCAGAAGAAGTGGAATTTTCTGGGGTGGTGCTATTTCCTGTAAGTTTCAACAAAAGCATGTAGGCTGGTGACCTATCTGAGTACTCATAGATCCAGCTATCTGCATGAGTATACATGGAGCTGGTGATCTAAGAGCATGTGGGGCTGGTGATCTGTCAATGCACATGGAGCTGGTGATCTGCCTGCCTGTGTACAGTTGTCCTCTCATGGTCACAAAAGCTCCCATCTGCATTACTTAGCTTCAATTGATCTATGTTTTTTCTATGGTTATTATTTCTTTTGTGGTTGTTGGGTTTAAAGAAACACTTTCTAATATGGGAAATTTTGACTTATACAAAAGTAACAAGATGATGATAATGAGTACCTCTATATCCATCCCTAGCTTCAATAAATATTAACTCATGGCCAATCTTAATTTCAGCCATACCCATACTTGCTACCACATTCAACAAATTATTTTGAGGTGAATTTTCAGACAATACATAAATTTATATGTAAATATTGCAATATTTGTCACTAAAAATAATAATAATATTTTGAAGATCAAGTTAAAACAAAAATCTGTTAGCACATTTCATAAAGATTAACTAAGATTGACCAGAGAATTAACAAAATTTTGAAGATTGAAGTAATAAAAAATTGTTCTTTTTGTAGTATATAACATTTGATACATAAGAATAATATATGGAACCATGTGTATATTACTGATCAAGACACTAAAATAAACACACATGAGCCTACAACCTAGTTGAAGGACTAGAACAATTCCTATGTCAATGAATATGTTCTTTCTCTATCTCATTTTTCTTTCTTTTAGAAGTTAACATGTGTAATTTCATAGTTTAAGTAATTTTCAACGGGAAAATACCTCAAATATCACATTTTCATGCATCACCAACACTCTAAATCTCACATTTATTATTCTATGTTTATGGTTTTATATAGATGTGTTCCTTCCTATAGGACACATTGTTCCATTTTGTTCATTTTCAGACTTTAGAAAAATGGCATTATGCCATATGTAATATTTTGAAACTGACATTTGTTCAGTATATACTGTTTCTAAGATTCATCTCTATTGTTGCAGTTAGCTTTAGAGTTGCTTCATATTTTACCGTTGCATAAAATTTCATTGTGAGAATATACTAGAATTTGTCTATTCTATTTTTGAAAATCCAATGTTCTCTAAGAAAAGTTCCCAAAAAAACAATTGCTGAATCATAGAGTATCTGAATAGTAAAATTCAGAAGATAATGCCAAGTAATATAGGGAAAGGGTATTAGTGTCCTTCTTTTACATTTATACCATTTCTTGGTATTATTGAACTTTTTTCCACTAGGAAATGGTATACCAGTCATTTTAGAGAAAATTATACAACTTTTTTGGAAGGTATTAATGAAGACTCAATTGAAGACAGAAGATGGATATGAAGACTCAATATAATAAAGATATTAATTAATATATCTAGTTAGTATAAATAACCTATTAGTTTCCCTAAGTGGGCTTACATATTTAATGAAATTTCAATAGAAATATCCACAGGTTTAATATGATACTTGTGAAGATAAGTTTTAAATTTATGTAAAATTGCAAAGTCTCAAAAATAGACAAGGCACTTCAGAAGAAGAAGATTTGGGAGACTAATTAAATCAGATCTCAAGTCTTTTAATAAATCTACAGTAATTAAGACAGCATAGTATTGGGAAAGGATAGATACAAAGACCATAGAGAAAAGACTCCATAAATAGACTCACACATATATGGAAACATACTTTTTGATAATTGAATAGACTGCACATCTCTGGGGATTAATCAAGAAATGATGAGACAACTGGCTATCCATTGGGAAAAAAATTGGATTGCCACCTTTCATTATACATAAAAATCAATTCGTGGTGCATTTAATACTTAACTATGAAAATATGGTATTTGAGGTATTTTCCCATTGAAAATTACTGAAACTATGAAATTACACATTTTGTAAGCTTCTAAAAAGCATTGTTGATCAAAAAATGCAAAATACTTGGGCCACAACCTAAATAAAAGTGTGCATCCAGGCCGGGCGCGGTGGTTCACGCCTGTAATCCCAGCACTTTGGGAGGCCGAGGTGGGCGGATCACAAGGTCATGAGATCGAGACCGTCCTGGCTAGCACAGTGAAACTCCGTCTCTACTAAAAATATAAAAAATTAGCCGGGCGTGGTGGCGGGCACCTGTAGTCCCAGCTACTCGGGAGGCTGAGGCAGGAGAATGGCGTGAACCTGGGAGGCGGAGCTTGCAGTGAGCCGAGATGGCGCCACCGCACTCCAGCCTGGGCGACAGAGCGAGACTCCATCTCAAAAAACAACAACAACAACAACAACAAAAAGTGTACATCCAGAGATGTAAGAAGAGCAATGAAAGCAGCTGTCATCTGGAAGATATTTGACAAATCAGGTGAATCTAACTTATTTTTAATGGCCTTATAGTCTCAATTCATCATGCGTTAACAGTTCTTTCCCCCCATAAAACTGGGACTCCATAAGTTACCCTTAGTATAAGGATGAATAAAAAAGGAAATGGACTGACCAATAACCCACCATATTGGACCTTATCATAGGGAGATGAGCCACTGTCATGGAGACGTTGTGTATTTGGATGCCCATGACAGTCCTCATTTTAAACTAACACCTTATGTTTTAAGTCATCAATTCATAAGTCATCTGCTTCTAAGATATTTGTTCTTTCTCAATATGCTAACTCTGGTTTCTGAGGCTACACGGCTACAAACTGACTGACATTAGTTCATGGTAAACTCATCAAGGTTATCAAGTGAAAATATTTTCAATAGTATAATATTTTAATATGTAATAGGAATCAAACAGCAATAGTAGTCAAACAGTTGAAGATCCATCCTTGAAGCCAGGGTATATGTCAAAAATTGTTGACTTGTGATCCCTATTGGAATGGAAAAGTATGTTTGTAAAAATTACCACCAGGAAAGGAACTTCTTACGTTAAACTCATTCGTTGAGAAAATTACGAATACTGTCTTAGTAGCCAAGGCTCTTAATTGCAAATAACAAATACAATTTTTCTAGTTTAATCAGAAAAAGGAATTTACTAATAGATGTTGAAGAGTTTATGGAGGCTTTTGAGAGAACTGTCAAATTATACTGGAAATTAAGTTTTCAGGAAAAATGTATAAAACCAGGCAATGAACTAACACTTGATGAAGAAATTGCCATTGCTGCTACCACTATGATGTCACCAAGCGTAAAATGGAAGAAAATTGACCTTGCTGCAATTACTACTCTTCCTTGCCATTCCACTTACCATGCCACTTCTGACTCAAACAGTTGATTTTGCAAACTCAAAAAACCAGACAGTCTGCTACTATTATCACCTTGACGAGTCTCTTGCCCAAACTGCTCCCATCTGAAACAGTCTTAGTCAGCTATGCCTGCTTGTTGGAACTTAGGTTATATGCCCACATTCTAGTAGTCAAAATTGTGTTTTGCCTATTTTATTGGGAAAACAGCTCTCCTGGAATTTTCATATGCTAGTCTAGGGTCTCCAAGAGAAGATTCCCAGATGAAATTAGGCATGCATGAGATTTATTGGGAGAAACATTCTGAAGGATAAATGGGTAATGAGTGTAGACAGGGAGAAAATTCAGACCATAATGCAGGACTCACACCTATGAAGGGAGAGAGGAAAGAAAGGTTTGGGCCAGGATAAACTCAGATAGCAGCACAGTTCTGAGAAAGTTTAAACCAAGCTGGTGTGTGTGTGTGTGTGTGTGTGTGTGTGTGTGTGTGTGTGTTGGGGAAAATTCCTGAGCCTAAGATGCCACTTAAATAAATTCATCATTGAACAGCAGCGGCTGTTTAAAATAGCCTTCCAGTGCTCACTCATTGGCTGAGAGCAGCTCAGAGTAAGTATGGCCTGGTGTGAACACCAAGCTAGATCCCAAGGTATAGCAGCTGGAGGCAGTCAATGATCCATTTTCCCCATAACAAGTTTTCTTAAAATGGTATCTAAGCACAGCACCTCCATAATCACCATATATCCCAAATATGGAAATATTCAAAGGACAGTGAGCTGCCATAAAAATGAAAAATGGTGCCAACCCTCCCTCTGCCAACCACTCAACATCAATACTGTACAATCCTTCTTCCATAATACAAAAGAGCCACAAGTAATCATTCCTATCAAACAATGTCACTGGTTCTCATGCGACCCAGTTTCATCCTTAAATTGAACTTGAACAAAGATTAACGAGTCAAAAATAGCCAGAGCCATGAGATCAGAAAGAAAAAATATTTTAAAGTATATTAATAGTAAGTGCAAAATATTTTCATTGGCTATGATAGTGACAAGAGCCAATTTTGCTTCTATCCTTTATTCCTGGACCTATGTATTTGGGTTACAATAAACATGGAATCACATATTAGTGATTAGTTCAGCCTACACATCACATCCTGTTAGGACTGTAATCCAAACTCACAAGGCAGTTCCTCCCAGCTGGCTTCATTCATAACTGAGCCTTCAGTTAACTATTCCACTATTTACTTCTGAGTGGTGGGGTATATGGTAAAATCAGTGAATTCTGTCCATTTCAGTGTATTGCATTACTTCTTTTGCTATAAAATATGTTTCTTTGTGGGCAGCAATGCTTTGTGAGCAGCATGTCAGCAGCAATGCTTACTAAGACTTCGTCTAAAGTCTTATTAGACAAAGACTTTAAATCAGCTGTTAGAAATATGCTCAAAAAGTAAAGAAAACTAAGCCTAAAGAATTAAATAAAGTATGGTTATGTTATTCCATTGAACACAAAATGTCAATAAAGCAACAGAGGTTATTTTAAAATAAGAACAAAATAGAAATTCTGAAGCTGAAAAGTATAATAAATGAAATAAAAAATGCACTAGAGAGGGTGAGCAGCAGATTTGAGCTTTCAGATGAAACAACAAACATGCAGATAAGTCACCAGAGTTTTCCAATCTCTTTAACAGTAAGAAAAGATGAAGAAAAATAAACAAACCCTCAGACACCTGTGGGACACATACCAATATATGCATAATGGGAAACCGAGGAAAGGAGAGAGAAAAATAATATGAATAAATAATGGCTGAGAGCTTCCAAATTCTGGTGAAAACATTAAACTACATATTAAATAAGCTCAAATAACTCAAAGTTGGACAAATTAAAAAAGATCCACACCTAGACACATCAGAGTCAAACTGTTGAAAGACAAAGACTGAGAATCTTAGAAACAACAGGGAAAAAATGACCCATTGTAGACATGGGAGCCTTGGTAAGATTAACAGATGATTTCCCATCAGAAACCAGAGTCCAGAAGGCAGTAAGATGACATATTTAAAGTGTCAAAAGAGGCTGGGTGCGGTGGCTTACACCTGTAATCCCAGCAGTTTGGGAGGTCCAGGCAGGCGGATCACCTGAGGTCAGGAGTTTGAGACCAGCCTGACCAACATGGAGAAACACCATCTCTACTAAAAATACAAAATTAGCTTGGCGTGGTGGCGCACGCCTGTAATTCCAGCTACTCAGGAGGCTGAGGCAGGGGAATCGCTTGAACCCAGGAGGTTGCAGTGACCCGAGATTGTGCCATTGCACTCCAGCCTGGGCAACAAGAGCGAAACACCATCTAAAAAAAGAAAACGCCAAAAGAAACACTATCAAGCAAGAATTCTATAGCCATCAAAATTATCCTTGAGAAATGAAGGAGAAAATAAGACATTCTCAGATAAACAAAACTGGAAAAATTCATCATTAGTAAACCTGCCATACAAGAAATGTTAATAGGAGTCTCTCAGGCTGAAATAAAAGGACACTTGGCAATAACTCAGATCCACATGGAGAAATAGAGTAAGTTCCTATTCTAGTGAGAGAAAATCATTGTTTCTTCTGTAGTAAAAGAGATTCAATGTAATGAACTGGCTGATAGTCTGGAGTTGGGTTCTTCCAGTTGGTTACATCATGTCCTGAAAAAGTTAAACACCAGCACTGGGGAAAAGTCAGTTTTGAGGAAGAAAAATTTATCATAATGAGATTATACATAGCTTCTGTTCCTGCTTTCATGACATTTTTCTCATGAAATCACCAACTAATGGCAAAAAAGAGGAATGACTAATATCCTGAATTCTTCTGCATCATATTACTAAGAGCTTCTGTAGAGGTAGACTTTCGCCGACTATTAACATGAGATTCAAATGTTCTCCCAGTCTGCCAGATCCACCTATATTCCTTTTTCTATACCTGCTTGTCACTAATCTTCCAAGTCTCCAGTCTTCCATGCTCCTATTCCTTCCATGACCTCAACTATCTGACCAACAAAAAATGGGTAGTGAGCCATGTTTGCAGCTGAATTCATTGAGTAATCTCCCCTTCTACACATAGGGGAACAGACATGTAAATCACAGTTCTAGCCATTGGTAAAATTTCCTTCCTCTGTTGTAAATACAGGGCCATCACCCTTTGTGATTGTCAGGTTGAAGTAGTTCTTTCCCCAATCATGCCAGCATACATACCAGAGCTCATGCAGAGCTACTTGTAAGGTGGGCTCAACTGGCCATAGGGAACTTTTCATGAGGTCCAATCCATAGAATGAGCAAGAAATAGATATTGGGAGTGTGTGTCACATGTTCATGCATTTCATCTTTTAAATAAAGGACTTCTTCAAACCCAATCCTATATGTGGTAAGTAAAATTCTAAAATAGCTCCTCTGGTAGGTAGGTTGAATTATGACCCCCAAAATACATCCACATGATAATCTTAAGGAACCAGTGAATATATTTGGCAAAAAGGCCTTGCAGTTATTATTAGCTTGAAGACCATGGATGTGGAGATTCTTCTGGATTACCCAGGTGGGCCATATGTAACCACAGGTGACTTTATAAGGGGAGGCAGCAGGGTCAGGAGGCAGAGAAGGTGGTGAGATGAAGGAAGAGTCTGGAGTGATACGGCCATGAGCTATGGAATGCCAGAGACCTGTGCGAGTTGGAAATGAGGAAACTTCTCTAGAGTCCTAGAAACCTCTAGAATAAACCAGCCCTGATAACACCTTAATTTTAGCTTAATAAGATTTATTTCAGACTTTCATCTCAAGAACTGTAACAGAATAAATTTGTGTTGTTTCAAGCCACTGTGTGGTAGTATTTTACTGCAGCAAATGGAAAGTAATACAGCCCCTAAGATTTCCAGTGGGTATACACACCCTGCATAACCCCTGGGGCTCTGAGTATGACAGATTTTACTTCTGTGACTAAGTTATGTTTTATGGCACAGCTGACTTTAAGAAGGGAAGATTATCTGGATGGGGCTTATCTAATCACATGATCCCTTAAAAGCAGAAAATTTTCTCAGGCTGGTCACAAAAGGGAAGCAAGAGAGATATAAAGCATTAGAGGCCTTCAACTACAGAGGAATTCTTCATTGCTGGCTTGAAGATAGAGGTCATGTTGCAAGAAATATGGTGGCATCTAGAAGCTGAGAATGGCCCCTGGCTGACAGCTAACAAACACAAACCCCTGTTCTGCAAATGCAAAGTACTGAACTTTGCCAAAAAGAATGTGCTTGGAAGGAAATTTTCCCCCAAGGCCTCCAGACAAGAACCCAACCCATCTAATGCCAGGATATCAGTCCCGTGACACTCTGAGTAGAGAACCTAGCCACGTCATGCCAGGATTCTGACTTCAGAAAATGTGAGATAATAAATTAGTGTTGTTCTAAGCCACTATATTTGTGGTAATTTGGTAAGCAGTAATTGGAAACTTATACACTATATGAGACACTTTTTTTTTTTTTGAGATGGAGTCTCGCTCTGTCGCCCAGGCTGGAGTGCTGTGGCACAATCTTGGCTCACTGCAACCTCCACCTCCCCGGTCCAAGCAATTCTCTGCCTCAGCCTCCCAAATAGCTGGGATTACATGGACCCACCGCCATGCCTGCCTAATTTTTGTATTTTTAGTAGAGATGGGGTTTCACCATCTTGGCCAGGCTGGTCTTGAACTCCTGACCTTGTGATTTACCTGCCTCAGCCTCCAGAAGTGCTGGGATTACAGGCGTGAGCCACCGTGCCTGGTCTACATGACACCTCTATTTGATAGCTGGGTGTCATTTGGCTTGATGGTTCAGATAACACCCCGTTTATAATGGGCAACTCAGATAGCAGGGGCACCTGATATTCCATAATCAGACAGTCTCCAAAGAAACACAGCTACATGTCAAAAGAAAACCTAGAAGAAAAAATTACTTCCATGGCTTAATGCCAAACACTTAGAGGTTTCTACTGTGACTTCTCTACTGGCACTTGACACAGGCTTCAAAAGGCTTCAGGTCTTTTACAATATTTTAAGCATCAGTGAATCTGTGGTAACATAAAGGCCAAGAAGAGAAGCCACTTGTCTTATGGCCTTAGTTAATTGAAGTTTTCTCCACCTCACTCAAATTTGGCAGTCTTGTGGAAAACTAGGTAAAAAATATCAGAGGAACATCTCCAAATGCAGCATATATTGACTCCAATCTCCTGGGCAAGTATGATGATGAAGCCCTGGGCTTGATTATAATGGTTGTAGAGTTGCACCTCCAATTAGACACTCAACCCTGCCAAGTTACTTATGCTCAGAAAAAGACAAATGTAAAAACCTGAGACCTGGGATGGCAATATCTAGGCAGACAAAGATGATTCTGCAGACTCTGACACTGCAGAGCTTCTGGTCATTCCTTGCCAAAAGTAGTCCTTGTTTTCTTCTCATTAGAAGGAACAAGGTTTTCTTTGTATACAAATATTTCAGTAACTTTACTGTGATAGCTGCTTCTCAAGAAGAAAATTATTCTCTGCCAGGCTTACTTCATCTCCCCTGGATGCCTCTAAAACCGTAGAGTCAGGTCCAGCACATGCTGGAGTGAGTGGTTCAAGGCATGATTCCATACAAAATAACCTATACTAAAATAGTTTCAGAACTCTGCTAATTTGTATTGAGATGTGTCTGGAGACTATGTGTAGGAGTGGGTTCTAAGAGTAGTATTCTATCAAGGAGGATAAAATATAGCTAGATCTGGCCAAATTATGAATCTGGGTATGAGACTCTAGGAGCTGCAGGAGAAGGCTGTTCAAAAGGATCTGTGGCCTTCCATATCTCTATCCACAGTACTACCCAGCCCAATAGTCAGGTAGCTGGGGTAATAAATATGAAAATTTCATCTTCCTCTTGCTCCTGTCTACCTCCTACAAGATGAACACAATCAGAAGCCAAAGGACAAGGACCTCACTGATACAGCCCATAATGGTCATCCATCCAGGGTCAAGAGAAAGGTAGAAAAGTTGGGACTATGTTAAGTTGAAAAGCAGCACATAAGAAAAGGACTCACCATCTGGGTAGGGGTAATTGACTGATGGTGAAGATGTTCTTACACAACGGAGACAGGGAAGAATATGGCTGTCCCCCAGATGATCCAGTGGGACTTCTCTTGCTACTTTCTTAGCCAATTTTGTGGTAAATGAACACAAGCAGCAGCCACAGCCTTTGAAGGGCAAAGTGAGCAGTGACTCAAAGCCCTCAGGGATATGGGTCTAAACTACCCACCAGAAAAACCACCTAGATAAACAGAAGTGATGGATGATGATGAGAGGAATCTAGAAGGCTTAATACAGGAGGGAAATGAGTGTGGTTCATTGCATCCCCAAGACCAGCTGCAGATGTGAGGACCACAGTTTGTCCCATTATTCTTCCTCTTGTATGTTTCCTTCAGAGCTGTTCCCAGATAGTGTCAACTTTTACAAAATAAGTGGAGTCAAGTGGTGTAAAGGATGGACTATACTGGACCCTGTGGTGAACCACCCAGGTTCTCTTTCAGGATTTTGATATCCACTCTCCCAGCTTCCAAAAGCATTGCCTGTCAACAGCTAAGTCTTCCCCAGAGATTGCCCTCAGGTGAAGGGAATTGCATTGCGAAGTTTTCTCCTCCTTCATGGGAGCAGACTAGAACCGGTAACTTATCCATAGGAAGACAAAAAGGGCCATTCTTCCTGCCTCATTTCAGGCATTTCTGAATGGTTCTGATTCAGAATATTCTGTGAAATGAGTTGAGACTATGTTGCAGTATATTACAGCATAACTTCTTTCTTTGCTCTAAATCCTTTCCCTTAGAGCTTCATAAGTGTTGCTAACATCATTCTCAAATAAACTTTCTGCACACAAATTTCTGTATTAAAGATTTTTTTTCATGGAGAATCTGACCAGTTTTTTCCAGATTTGGTAAATTTACTAGAATAAATTAATATAACTCCTGGCACTTAGCAGGCAGCTATTGAACTAGAAAATGTGTTTCTCCCTCTATTTCAATAAGCAGGGAACACCAACAGTAGCTTTTTTTAATTTAGAAGAGGTCGTACTAATTCCATTAATTCTTGAACAATGTGGGGGTCAGGGGCACTGAATCCTCCAAACCCCTGTGGAGTAAAAAAATCTGTGTATAACTTTTGACTTCCAAAATCTTCACTAATGGCCTACTGTTGACTGGAAGCCTTACCTATAACATTAACAGTCAATTAACATATATTTTGCATGTTGTATGTATTACACAATATATTCTTACAATAAAGGAAGTTAAAGAAAATGTTTAAAGATTGTAAGGAAAATAAAATACATTTATAGTTCTATACTATATTTATTGACCTCATCGTTTGTCTGCAAGATGAACCATCTGCCTGAAATGACGGTCAACCGCAGATGCAGACCTCCATTCATGCTAGGTATCAAGCAATTCAGTTTTTTCTTGTAATGTCATGACTTTTCTCTGCTTCGTGGGAGGACTTCCAGCATCACTGGTGGCACTTCATATGGGTCCCATGGTGTTATTAAAGGTTTACAATATCCCACTAAACACAATGAAAAATAAAAGAGAAGCATGAGAGAACCTGATACCCAATTTACTGGAGAAGTGAACTGCTCACATGGACATGATCAGCATCACATTGCATTTTAAGCAGATACTCGCAATATTTGAGCTCACTGTAATAGCAACAGGAGGTGACTATGAAATTATTATAATAGTGCATTTTGTACTACAGTTGATTTTATGCAGTTATTATTTCATACTGCATCTTTACATTTGTTTGCATTTCTCTAAACTGCAAGTGGCACCATGTATAGTTTGTGTTTGTATGCATAAGTTTTGATACACTTTAACTTTTTATAGTAGATTCATGTATATTTTATGGTAGAAAATGATGAAATAGACTAGTATCTATATTTAATGAATTTACCACATACCTAACTTTGCCTTATTCTTTCAACATTTCTAGGCTATGCAGTTCATCTGTAAGTTTTTAAAAATCCTTGCAAATCTCCAACAAGTTTTCCAATATATTTACTGAAAAAATATTACATGTTAAGTAGACACACAGTTCAAACCTATGTTGTTCAAGGCTCAACTGCACTTTTGCCATTTTGTTTTAGGCTGTATCCACTTGAGTTCTGTTCTGTAAATTTGACTACTAGGGCTTTATTTTATCATCCCATAGGACATACTATTCCATGACTTGCTGACAGGCTTAGGTTACCAGGGAACAGCAAGAAATATTGATGCCTTAGCAAGACACACATGTCTTAGAGAAAATGTGATCCATTCAATGAAAATATAACGATTATCCTAACCAGTTAGGTTTCTGTAGGTCACAAATCTGAAGCAATTTATTCTTTCCCATAGTTTCAGAGTTCCGTCAGAAAACCATGCAACCCTATGTAATGATAATTAATAATTATTTAGTGAAGAATCTACTCAGAAAGATGAAGACAAAGTTAGGAATGTCAACAAGGAGTAACAAAAGACCCTTGGGCTAGTGAAGATGGGAAGTCTTTTCCACCCCTAGACTGTAGAGCAGGGTCCTGGTGGAACAGGGTCCAGGCCACCTGGTTGTGCAGGTCACCTGTGCTCTTTGGCCCTGCTCATGCCTGATCCCAGAAATACAAATTTGATATTATTGTTTGTTGGTTGGCCTGACTAAACTTACGGCTCAATGAGGGGGAAGTCTAACAGACTCAGATCATGAGAGGCAATTTGGAAGCATGATCACTTGATGTCCCATGTCATATGCTATAGAATCCCAGTAGCATGCCAACAGCTGTTTTTAAAACAAGTAATCTTTTGCTATTTTTGGCATGGCCTTACTCCAGAATTTTAGACATTGATTTTGTGAGTCTTCTACACAAGCTTGCCATAAACTCCTTATAGTTTCTTTTCCTACTACAAATATCTTGAATGACATAGGGTTTGTTATATGGCTGAAGTAGCGGGACTACTTGAAATATTGCCTGGAGCTGCTGCAGAGATCTTTTCTGAGGAGTCCCAGTCGGTTAGCGGGTGCAAAAACTACAGGTAGCTAGAAGGAATAAGATCTAGTGTTTGGTAGCATAGCAAGGTGACTATAGTTAACATGAATGTATTGTATATTTCAAAATAACCAGAGGGGTGAATCTAAAATGTTCCCAACACAAAGAAAAGATAAATATTTGAGGTGATAGATAGCCTGATTGGCCTAAATGGATCATTATACATTATATGACTATATCAAAATATCACATGCCCCATAAAAATGTACAACTATTGTGTATCTATAATTTTTTTTAAATTGACAGTCTTCTGTGTTACTTGATAAGTGAACTACAGAAATATTCCCAAGTGTGAAATATGCCACCTCTAGAACCCAAAGAAATCTACCAGAACTTGTGCTTGCCTCTTAGCAATGAGAAGTGCAAGACACAACATTCTGACCTTTATTTTAGAAGGAGTGGTCTCAGTAGGCCTCATATTTGGGGCATGAAAAGTTCACTAATGTGGCAGGTCCCTAAATGTTTGTATTGTTTATCTCCAAACTCCTTCTGTGCATGTGTCTTATTAAGGCCTCCAAAACACTTGATACTCCTTGTACATTCAGGTCACTTCTTATGGTATTGCTATGATCTGATGTGTAAACTTTATAAGGACTAGGTAACTTCAGAGAAATGGATCATTAATATAGCCCTGGGGAAAGACCCAATATGCATATTACTGTCTGTTCTGTGAGAATGCGAACTGTTTTTGTTTCTATGTCTTGATAGGGATGAAAATAAATGCATTAAACAGATGAATGGCTGCATAACATAGCATAGGATATACCTGCGTCCATGTTATCAGGTCTAGCAAAGATAATACCACATATAGATAGCAGCTGCAATTGGAGCAACTATTTCTTTTAATTTGCAATAGTCCACTACCAGCCTGTAGGATCCATCTGCTTCTAGGCGGAACCAGACTGGTGAATTAAATGGGAATATTGTTGGCATTGAACCCACTATTTTATCTAAGTCTTTGAAGGTGGAACTAATCTCTGTCATGTAATTTAATATCTTGGCCACAGAAGAGACATGTTAGAGGCTTCAACTTGACTTTGTCATCTTTACCAGCTCTTACCCTAAGAGACAAGAAAAAAATGTGGGGCTCTGTCAATCTCTAAATAAGTCTACTTCAATTATATATTTAGGGTTCAGGAAAATGACCATTGGGTGGGTCTTTGTGGCAAATGAACCCATAGTCAGCTAGACCTCGTTCCTGCTTACTTTCACTTTAACAGTTGGTTCACGATGATCCTTTAGATCTCTGGTATTAATGTCAAGTCAACCCTGTGTCCAACAGCCCCTGAAATGTCTGGGTACTCGCCTTTTCCTAGTTGATGGCTCCCTGAATAAAAAGCTATAGATCCTTTTAGGGAAGGAGTAGGTAATCATACCATATATACTTGTTTTACGGTTATAGGATCTGTGATTTTGGGGATCTGGCCTCTGCTTCAGTCAGTCGGTTCTTGTTCTGAAATCTGACCAGTTTGGAAAACTGGCAAGGAATTGTTGTTTATTTAGGTGGTGTAATGGACAGAGTAGTGCCCTTTAAAAAAATGTCCACATTCCAGGCTGGGCATTGGGAGGCCAAGGCTGGTGGATCACTTGAGGTCAGGAGTTCTAGACCAGCCTGGCCAACATGATGAAACTCCATCTGTACTAAAAATACAAAAAATTAGCCAGGTGTGGTGGCAGGTGCCTGTAATCTCAGCTACTCAGGAGGCTGAGGAAGGAGAATCGCTTGCACCCAGGAGGCGGAGGTTGCAGTGAGCTGAGATTGCACCATTGCACTCCAGCCTGGCAACAGAGCAAGACTCCGTCTCAAAAACAAAGCAGAACAAAAAATCCACATTCCAATCTCTAAAACCTGTGAATATGTTACTTTATATGGCAAAAAGAACTTTGTAAATGTAATCAAGTAAAATATCTTAACATAGGGAGATTATCCTGGATTAACCAAGCAGGCCCAGTGCAATCACAAGGGTTCTTATAGAGCAGGGCAAGAGGGTGAGTCATAAAGAGTTGAGACATGCACACAGAGGGTCAAAGTCAGAGAGAGATTTGAAGATGCTACTCTGCTGGCTTTGAAGATGGAGGAAGGAGCCATAAGCCAAGGAATACAAATAACCTCTAGAAGCTGGAAAAGGCAAGGAATGACTCTCCCTTAGAGCCTCCAGAAGGATTGCAGCCCTGCTGGCACCTTGATTTTGACCCAGTAAAACCCATTTCAGACTTTGGATTTCTAGAACTGTAAGATAATTAATTTGTCTTTGCTTGTTCTACTAACTTTGCGGAGTCTGCCGCTTGTGTTATTAACTTCTAGGGCCAGTCTTTGGTTTTCTCTGCTCTCCAGCTGCAGGATGTGAGTCTCTTTATGTACTTTCAAGGAGGCCTCTGGCTTCACATCTAGGATTAAACTGGTAATTAATCACCATCAGCATTTCACTACCTTTTCCTAGTGCATTCATGGTATTCAGCAGCAGCCATCCAATTCCGTTTTCCATATAATTTGTACTTCCCCAAGCCTCTCAAACACCTTAGTTATTTCACCTGCATGTGTATCTCCTCCCGCTGGCATTCAATCCCAGTATATGACCAGTATATGAAAATTTAATAACTACACAATAACAGCATACCACAGGCTATATATTCTACCTACCATCAGATATAGGGTCCTCATGGCCAATTTGTAGGTGACCTAGCTGCAAAATCTCATTTTGAATTTGATTCCTATGGCCAATGTGGGCACCAATTGACTTGGGTCTGGTTCCTTGGGAAATAGACTCTGAGCAGCAGATTGTTTGCAGGGATTTTTACAGGGAGCATGCCCAGGAACACCTGTGAGTGATGGGGATTGGGCAGAGGGAGAGAGTTAACTGTGATAGAATGGCAACAAAAGTCGTTGCCAAATCTCCAGGGAGCTCTGATGGTGTGGGGACCCTTCAGAGATGACCTGAACTCAGGCAAAGAAGTCAAGCCTTTAACTCTTAATGAGGACTCATCATTAGATGTAGGCTGCCCTGGGGAAGGGTCTTAACTTTGGGCCAGGCCACTCTCTTCAGCTAAGGGCATTTCTGAGGAGGGACTAGGCCTCAAACCTTTAGCAGGCAGCATTCCTGATAGCTGTGTCTCAGTCCTAAGGGGGTATTACTGGGGGACCGCAGCCCTCACCACCTCCAGAAGTCTTCTGCACAGCCTAAACAGACAGTCAAGTGGGGAGGTCATAGAAATCACCTTTCTTGCATCTCTGAAATCTCTGAAAGTAGCACCGACTTGTGTGATTCCCCTAGGAATGTGGTAATACCTTTGGCTTCCTATTTTGTTTAGTAAGAGAAGCTCCAGAGAGTTCTACTTGGTCTTTATGAAATAATGGTCCCCATTAGATGAGTCAGGGAGCCAATTGCTAGGTTTTGATTATACATTCAACATCTAAAACATTAACCACAAATGGATTCATAGATTCAGTGAGTCACCAATAGTTAAAAGTAGGCACAAATTCCCTGTTTTGCTTCATCTATAAACCCCTATTTAGACTCACGCTCCACAATGAAATGTTAGATTTGTAGAAATGAAGTTACCTTGAACCAGTGTCCAATATTCCCCAAGCACCTGGATTTTTTTCTTTTCCTTGGACACAATTATATGTAAAATATCTGCAATAACTCTGGGAAATATTGGGTAGGAAGCTTACTGCATGTCATTTTAATGTTATTATAAGATGCTCAAGAGGACCTGGGGTCCCCGTTATTCAAGAGGCACAGGGTTTGTAACTGACTTAAATCTGAGAAATGGTGAATGGTCATGAATCTACTGTGGTGGTTTAAGTCAGACCTCTGGCTACAGTCCCAGAGTTTCAGGGGATTGAGAAGGATATTATTAAGTTTCCTAGCTATTTCAGTTCTGGAAACCTGGTGATCAATCAATGACTGCTGAAGATCCCTGAAGATAAGACCATTCTCCTAATCACACGAATCAACTTGATGATCACAGAGGCAACAGCTACCTTGTCTATAGTTAACAGAATACTGCTACTTGGTCTCTGCCATATCAAGAGTCTATCTTCCACTGAAATTTGGGAGCCCATCTCAATAGCGGTATCTCCCAAATGCACTCAATGGCCCATGGGAAAAAAACATTACAGTATTTTCACAGATGCTGGTGTTCCCCTTATCATGGTGAAAAGAGGAACGTCAGAGTCTTCTTTGAGGGACAGAGCTATGATGGAGAAAAACATAATGCAGATACGTTCACTACATTTTTCATGTCTTTGGAATCCTCTTATATGTTACCAATGAGTTTCTGGCCTCTGTACTTCATTTAGCATAGACTACCACTGAGTTCAGGTTTCAGCCAACAAAATAAGCAAATAGAGTGTTTCCTACCACCCAAAAATGTACATTAAATCTGAAATGTCTGGTAAGTGCATTGGTATCAAAGTCATCTTGATCTAAAATTGTATTTATTTCTCTCTGCTCTGGAGCCCTGTTAATTCATTGCCACAAATACTTCCCTTGCTTGATCAATATAAACTAGAGAATATCTTACAGTTATTTTAGAGAGTAAATCTTTTCCTCCTGAAATTGGTCCTGGGGCATGCCGGGATGTGATAAGGACCTGTAGTGAGAGGGGTGACTTTACACTGCAAAGTAGCTTCCCTACTGAGGTCAATTTAAGGTCTTCAATAAGGCAGGCATTCATCATGCAGGGTCAAAGGAATGCTTCTTCTGTCTGGGAGGGTCAGTGGAGTTTTAAAATTTGGGGTACTTTGAGTGACTCAAATATTCCTTAATGTACCCACTCAAATGCACTGCATCTCATTCTTTCCTAGGTAGTGACTATGGACGCACATAAGAGATTTTGTGAGCTGGGAATTCAACCTGTATTTTAATTAAGCGACTCATATGATCAAGGAGTGTGATTTTCAGCTACATTAGTTCTATAGGTCTGTAGTTCCCAAACATTCTCTTAGGAGAATCATAGAAACTTCTCTGATTCTGTGGCTATATTGCATTCGGAGAAAAATCTGAAGTATTGGGACTTGTCTTTCTTGACACTGTCAGCACAATTAGGAGCAGCCACCATAGTGCTATGTTCCTCATGCCCTTCCCACTGTCCTAAGGCAGCATACACTATCTCCTTCAAAACCTTATCCCTAATGACACTTAATTCTATATTATGATGATAATTTAAGAAATTATTTCAGCATTACATGAACTGGCCACCAGAATCCTCTCTTCCAATCCTAATTGTTTTTTTTTTTTTTTCTGTTTTCAACCAGGCCAGATAGGCAATATCACCTTCTTATTTCAATGAGGACCTGCTCCTTGCACCCACCCCTGGTAACAATTACTGAATAACATAAGGATCTCAGGTGCTAACAACAGAATTCACTATCTAGTTTATAGGGAAGTTATTATTTGATATTCAGTAGCTCATAGTATCATTGGGAAAGAAGCAGAAATGTGAGCTTGGGGTTAAATGTCCAGAAAAAATGTCTGCAATTGCCGCAGAGATGGCCTGTTACAGAAACCGCTACTGCTGTTCTTTCTGCTGCCATCACAGACAGCAGGCCCTAGATGCCAGGAACTCTACTACAATATCACCACTGTTAGCACTGATGCCACTTTTATATCACTGCCTTGACTTTACAACCCCCAAAAGACAGGCACCTAACCACCACTCTTACCAGCAGATAGAAATTCTACAGAACCAACTTCCTCCCCTTGCACTCTCTGAACTCAAATCCCATGCTAGTGTAGCTGATGAGGGGAGATCAAGTCCGCCTGTATTACTGCTGAAGGAGGTACAGATTGAGTTCTCTCTATGACATAGTAAGGTATATATAACAGCATGGGGTATTACTCTGTTTTCACACTGCTAATAAAGACATACCTGAGACTGGGTAATTTATAAAGAAAAGAGGTTTAATTTTTGACTCACAGTTCCTCAGGGCTAGGGAGGCCTCAGGAAACTTACAGTCATGGTGGAAGGGGAAGTAAACATGTCCCTCTTCACCTAGTGGCAGCAAGAAGAAGTATAAGCAAAGGGTAGGGAAAGCCCCTTACGAAACCATCAGATCTCATGAGAAATCACTCATTATCATGAGAACAGCATGAAGGCAACCACCTCATGATTCAATTACCTCCCACTGGGTCCCTCCCAGGACATGTGGGGATTATGGGAACTACAATTCAAGATGAGAGTTGGGTGGGGACACAGCAAAACCATATCACATGGGAATTTGCTCCAATGTCAAAAGGATTTTCAAAATATGTTTATCTATCTATCTATATCTATCTATAAAAGGGATCTATAACATCTTTGCAATGTTAAAAAAATTACAATATGATGATAGTTGTAAAAAAGCAGAATGTACCATGATAGGTAACCTTAGTCTATTTGTTTATTTATCTATGTATAATTTGTTAATTTTTCTGTTAACAAGTAAGCTTCAGGAGAACTAGGAGTATCATGTTCACAGCCATTTCTGCCTGCCCTACCCTAGCCATTTTCTAAACCATAAAAAATATTTAGTAGATATATATTGAATGGATTCAAAATTAAAAAGCAGCATCTAGTTAGCTTCTTGACATGTGGCTTACCATTTTGCACACCAACAGTTACAATGTTTACTATTGTTTTCTCTAGGGTCTAAAAAAGTGCTTGAAATATGGTAGCACTCAATCAAAAGTAGCCATTATTTTGAAGTAAAATAAGTACTGTTGCATGACTTTTGATAACTTGCCTGAGACTACCCAGTTAGTGGAGACATGTGATTTTGGTGTTAAAAATGCATATTCTGCCGTTGTAATGTTTGTATTTAAAGCATGGTTTCACCTTTTACCTGCTGGGTGATGCTGAGCAAGTTACTCTGCTTCTCCGTGCTTCAGTCTCCTTATCTATAAAATGGGGACAGTAATAATTGTATCTGCTTCATAAATTGTCCTGATTTTTTAAAAATTATACTTAGAGACCCTAAAACAATGTCTGCCACATGGTAGACATTCCGCTGCTATTTATTGCTTTTACAAATGACCAATTCATTAAACCATCATATATGGAGATATGGTTCCTGCACTTCCAGGGCCTCAGTCAGTGCCCTTTTTCCTCTGGCTGAGTTTCCTTCTCTAGCATTTCTCTAAATCCATGGAACATACAAGCATCCATTAGCAAGTCTGCCACCAAATCATTAGCTGCTTGAGAGTAATTACCAAGTCTTACTCATCTTTGCTCCTTTAAAGGCTAGTATTATACATAACACATAGCAGACGCTAGCATTATGTGGTATGTAGCAAAATAATTTTCAATTTTACCTTAAATATGCTTAGATAAAGGAGTTACACATTTCAAGTTCTCACTCCATCAATGTTGGCTAAATATAAGAGTTTTTTATGTTTTCTGAGAGAGTGCCTAGTTTGGTGTAAGATAAGGACATGAGCAAGAGTTTCTCTGAAACTTCAATATATCATACAAAAGAGGACAAAGAAACTGAGAAATGATAAAGATAAATATGACTCAGAAATTACACTCAGAAAATGTAGCAATCCATCTCTGCACAGACTGTGGGAACAAAGAAAGCATGAAGGTTGAGTACAACTGGGAAAGTGTTTGTTAAAGGAGGACGGAAAGAAAGTGAGAATTGCGTTTAATATTAATGATATTAATGTGATGTTTAGAGAGATTGTACCTCATTATATTGCAAATAGTCCAATTACATACACCCTCTGTAAAGTATAAATTAGCAGAGCAGATTTGAACAGAATTTTGTGAGCCCTTCCTCAAGTACATGTATACTCTCCATAAGGCTGCATGAGCTTATCTTAAGGAAATGTAACTAGAATCACAAAGATCAAACATGGAGAAATAAATGCCAAGAAGAGGTGTGAAAATGTTTGCTTTTGGAGAGGAAAATATAGACTAGTCTTTAAGAGTGGGGCTATGAAGTCTGACTACCTGGATTTTTTTATTTTTATTTTTATTTTTTTGAGACGGAGTTTCACTCTTGTTGCCCAGGCTGGAGTGCGATGGCGTGATCTTTGCTCACTGCAACCTCTGCCTCCCGGGTTCAAGCGATTCTCTTGCATCAGCCTCCCGAGTAGCTGGGATAACAGGCATGAGCCATCATGCCCGGCTAATTTTGTATTTTTAGTACAGACAGGGTTGCTCCGTGTTGGTCAGTCCGGTGTCAAACTCCCGACCTCAGGTGATCCACCCGCCTCAGCCTCCCAAAGTCCTGGGATTACAGGTGTGAGCCACTGCACCCGGCCTCTACCTGGGTTTTTATATCCAATCTTTCTTACCTTAATCAGTTTTACGACATTGGGCAAATGACCTTCGTTTTCTCATCTCTAAAATGGTAATGATGGTCATACCATTGCTGGGGAATTTATAGTGCTTAAAAAGCATGTAGGACATGCTTGTCTGTAGTAATTGCTCAACAAATGTTATTCGCTATAATTATTTCCAAACAAAATATGACCGTTTTTCAAACTTCCTTTAGCCTTTAATCATGCTGATCATTGGTACACTGTCATTTTTTAAAAAAGTGTTCTCCAATCTAAAGTGGAACGGAAGTAATTTCTTGTGTCCAGGGGAATTATAGAACCACTTCCCATGAAAGATGTGGTCCACGGAGGTGGGTAGGAGCCTTATGTTCAACCAACTCTAAAAACCCAGGATTTTCTTGGCTCCTTACCCTCCATCCATACCGTGTAAAGATATTATTCTTTGCCAGTAACATATATTTTCACACCTCCAATTGTCCAGTATCCTCAGTTTGGCTGGGGCTGCCACAGCTCAGTAGCTTTGAATTTCTAAGTCCAGCCTTACAGATTCCACACTGACCTAGTCAACATAGAGTAGGTAGTTCTTGGTGACTATGTCAAAAACCACTAACTATATATATATGAGTCTATACCAAAACCCTCTCTTCTGCTGCATTAAATTATTGTCTATCCTTATTGTCAATATCATGGTCTTGATTTCTGTATCTTTATAGCAAATCTTTATATCCAGAAATGTAAGTCCTCAAACTTGTTTTTTTTTTTTTAAAGATAATTATGACTGTCTCTGGCCTTTTGCATTTCCATATGAATTTCAACATAAGCATGTAGTTTCCATAAAAAATATCCACTAGAGTCTTGATTAGTATTGTTGTGAATCTGTGGTGAATCCCATTTTGGTGGGGGGAAATTGCATCTTACAAACAATGAGTCTTCCAATTAATGAACACAGTATATTTCCCCATTATTGGGGTATTTAACTTAGTAATTAATGTCTTATATTCTTTAATGTAGATTTTGTGTACATCTTTCACTAACTTTATCACTCAGCATTTTAATATTTTTAGGCTATGCTATGTGCTTTTAAATTACTGCATTTTGATTTTATTTTTCAATTATTTGTTGCTGGTATATGCAGTTACAATTAAATTTCAAATTAACCTTGTATCCTGTGGCCTTGCTAAATTCACTTATTAAATGTAGTATGTTTTATGTGGATCTATCAACATTTTCTATGTGTACAATCATATCATCTTCAAATAAACATAACTTTGTATCTTTCCAATATTGGTAGTTTGTATTCTTTTTTCCTGCTTTATTGTACTAACTAGCATCTCTAACACAACGTTGAAAAGATGTAGAGAGGGGGAAAATTCATCATTTTTTTTTTTTAATTTTTTTTTTTTATTATACTCTAAGTTTTAGGGTACATGTGCACATTGTGCAGGTTAGTTACATATGTATACATGTGCCATGCTGGTGCGCTGCACCCACTAACGTGTCATCTAGCATTAGGTATATCTCCCAATGCTATCCCTCCCCCCTCCCCCGACCCCACCACAGTCCCCAGAGTGTGATATTCCCCTTCCTGTGTCCAAGTGATCTCATTGTTCAATTCCCACCTATGAGTGAGAATATGCGGTGTTTGGTTTTTTGTTCTTGCGATAGTTTACTGAGAATGATGGTTTCCAATTTCATCCATGTCCCTACAAAGGACATGAACTCATCATTTTTTATGGCTGCATAGTATTCCATGGTGTATATGTGCCACATTTTCTTAATCCAGTCTATCATTGTTGGACATTTGGGTTGGTTCCAAGTCTTTGCTATTGTGAATAGTGCCGCAATAAACATACGTGTGCATGTGTCTTTATAGCAGCATGATTTATAGTCCTTTGGGTATATACCCAGTAATGGGATGGCTGGGTCAAATGGTATTCCTAGTTCTAGATCCCTGAGGAATCGCCACACTGACTTCCACAATGGTTGAACTAGTTTACAGTCCCACCAACAGTGTAAAAGTGTTCCTATTTCTCCACATCCTCTCCAGCACCTGTTGTTTCCTGACTTTTTAATGATTGCCATTCTAACTGGTGTGAGATGATATCTCATAGTGGTTTTGATCTGCATTTCTCTGATGGCCAGTGATGATGAGCATTTCTTCATGTGTTTTTTGGCTGCATAAATGTCTTCTTTTGAGAAGTGTCTGTTCATGTCCTTCGCCCACTTTTTGATGGGGTTGTTTGTTTTTTTCTTGTAAATTTGTTTGAGTTCATTGTAGATTCTGGATATTAGCCCTTTGTCAGATGAGTAGGATGCGAAAATTTTCTCCCATGTTGTAGGTTGCCTGTTCACTCTGATGGTAGTTTCTTTCACTGTGCAGAAGCTCTTTAGTTTAATTAGATCCCATTTGTCAATTTTGGCTTTTGTTGCCATTGCTTTTGGTGTTTTGGACATGAAGTCCTTGCCCACGCCTATGTCCTGAATGGTAATGCCTAGGTTTTCTTCTAGGGTTTTTATGGTTTTAGGTCTAACGTTTAAATCTTTAATCCATCTTGAATTGATTTTTGTATAAGGTGTAAGGAAGGGATCCAGTTTCAGCTTTCTACATATGGCTAGCCAGTTTTCCCAGCACCATTTATTAAATAGGGAATCCTTTCCCCATTGCTTGTTTTTCTCAGGTTTGTCAAAGATCAGATAGTTGTAGATATGTGGCATTATTTCTGAGAGCTCTGTTCTGTTCCATTGATCTATATCTCTGTTTTGGTACCAGTACCATGCTGTTTTGGTTACTGTAGCCTTGTAGTATAGTTTGAAGTCAGGTAGTGTGATGCCTCCAGCTTTGTTCTTTTGGCTTAGGATTGACTTGGCGATGCGGGCTCTTTTTTGGTTCCATATGAACTTTAAAGTAGTTTTTTCCAATTCTGTGAAGAAAGCCATTGGTAGCTTGATGGGGATGGCATTGAATCTGTAAATTACCTTGGGCAGTATGGCCATTTTCACGATATTGATTCTTCCTACCCATGAGCATGGAATGTTCTTCCATTTGTTTGTGTCCTCTTTTATTTCCTTGAGCAGTGGTTTGTAGTTCTCCTTGAAGAGGTCCTTCACATCCCTTGTAAGTTGGATTCCTAGGTATTTTATTCTCTTTGAAGCAATTGTGAATGGGAGTTCACTCATGATTTGGCACTCTGTTTGTCTGTTGTTGGTGTATAAGAATGCTTGTGATTTTTGTACATTGATTTTGTATCCTGAGACTTTGCTGAAGTTGCTTATCAGCTTAAGGAGATTTTGGGCTGAGACGATGGGGTTTTCTAGATAAACAATCATGTCGTCTGCAAACAGGGACAATTTGACTTCCTCTTTTCCTAATTGAATACCCTTTATTTCCTTCTCCTGCCTGATTGCCCTGGCCAGAACTTCCAACACTATGTTGAATAGGAGCGGTGAGAGAGGGCATCCCTGTCTTGTGCCAGTTTTCAAAGGGAATGCTTCCAGTTTTTGCCCATTCAGAATGATATTGGCTGTGGGTTTGTCATAGATAGCTCTTATTATTTTGAAATACGTCCCATCAATACCTAATTTATTGAGAGTTTTTAGCATGAAGGGTTGTTGAATTTTGTCAAAGGCTTTTTCTGCATCTATTGAGATAATCATGTGGTTTTTGTCTTTGGCTCTGTTTATATGCTGGATTACATTTATTGATTTGCGTATATTGAACCAGCCTTGCATCCCAGGGATGAAGCCCACTTGATCATGGTGGATAAGCTTTTTGATGTGCTGCTGGATTCGGTTTGCCAGTATTTTATTGAGGATTTTTGCATCAATGTTCATCAAGGATATTGGTCTAAAATTCTCTTTTTTGGTTGTGTCTCTGCCCGGCTTTGGTATCAGAATGATGCTGGCCTCATAAAATGAGTTAGGGAGGATTCCCTCTTTTTCTATTGATTGGAATAGTTTCAGAAGGAATGGTACCAGTTCCTCCTTGTACCTCTGGTAGAATTCGGCTGTGAATCCATCTGGTCCTGGACTCTTTTTGGTTGGTAAACTATTGATTATTGCCACAATTTCAGAGCCTGTTATTGGTCTATTCAGAGATTCAACTTCTTCCTGGTTTAGTCTTGGGAGAGTGTATGTGTCGAGGAATGTATCCATTTCTTCTAGATTTTCTAGTTTATTTGCGTAGAGGTGTTTGTAGTATTCTCTGATGGTAGTTTGTATTTCTGTGGGATCGGTGGTGATATCCCCTTTATCATTTTTTATTGTGTCTATTTGATTCTTCTCTCTTTTTTTCTTTATTAGTCTTGCTAGCGGTCTATCAATTTTGTTGATCCTTTCAAAAAACCAGCTCCTGGATTCATTGATTTTTTGAAGGGTTTTTTGTGTCTCTATTTCCTTCAGTTCTGCTCTGATTTTAGTTATTTCTTGCCTTCTGTTAGCTTTTGAATGTGTTTGCTCTTGCTTTTCTAGTTCTTTTAATTGTGATGTTAGGGTGTCAATTTTGGATCTTTCCTGCTTTCTCTTGTAGGCATTTAGTGCTATAAATTTCCCTCTACACACTGCTTTGAATGCGTCCCAGAGATTCTGGTATGTGGTGTCTTTGTTCTCGTTGGTTTCAAAGAACATCTTTATTTCTGCCTTCATTTCGTTATGTACCCAGTAGTCATTCAGGAGCAGGTTGTTCAGTTTCCATGTAGTTGAGTGGCTTTGAGTGAGATTCTTAATCCTGAGTTCTAGTTTGATTGCACTGTGGTCTGAGAGATAGTTTGTTATAATTTCTGTTCTTTTACATTTGCTGAGGAGAGCTTTACTTCCAACTATGTGGTCAATTTTGGAATAGGTGTGGTGTGGTGCTGAAAAAAATGTATATTCTGTTGATTTGGGGTGGAGAGTTCTGTAGATGTCTATTAGGTCTGCTTGGTGCAGAGCTGAGTTCAATTCCTGGGTATCCTTGTTGACTTTCTGTCTCGTTGATCTGTCTAATGTTGACAGTGGGGTGTTAAAGTCTCCCATTATTAATGTGTGGGAGTCTAAGTCTCTTTGTAGGTCACTCAGGACTTGCTTTATGAATCTGAGTGCTCCTGTATTGGGTGCATAAATATTTAGGATAGTTAGCTCCTCTTGTTGAATTGATCCCTTTACCATTATGTAATGGCCTTCTTTGTCTCTTTTGATCTTTGTTGGTTTAAAGTCTGTTTTATCAGAGACTAGGATTGCAACCCCTGCCTTTTTTTGTTTTCCATTGGCTTGGTAGATCTTCCTCCATCCTTTTATTTTGAGCCTATGTGTGTCTCTGCACGTGAGATGGGTTTCCTGAATACAGCACACTGATGGGTCTTGACTCTTTATCCAACTTGCCAGTCTGTGTCTTTTAATTGCAGAATTTAGTCCATTTATATTTAAAGTTAATATTGTTATGTGTGAATTTGATCCTGTCATTATGATGTTAGCTGGTGATTTTGCTCATTAGTTGATGCAGTTTCTTCCTAGTCTCGATGGTCTTTACATTTTGGCATGATTTTGCAGCGGCTGGTACCGGTTGTTCCTTTCCATGTTTAGGGCTTCCTTCAGGAGCTCTTTTAGGGCAGGCCTGGTGGTGACAAAATCTCTCAGCATTTGCTTGTCTATAAAGTATTTTATTTCTCCTTCACTTATGAAGCTTAGTTTGGCTGGATATGAAATTCTGGGTTGAAAATTCTTTTCTTTAAGAATGTTGAATATTGGCCCCCACTCTCTTCTGGCTTGTAGGGTTTCTGCCGAGAGATCCGCTGTTAGTCTGATGGGCTTTCCTTTGAGGGTAACCCGACCTTTCTCTCTGGCTGCCCTTAACATTTTTTCCTTCATTTCAACTTTGGTGAATCTGACAATTATGTGTCTTGGAGTTGCTCTTCTCGAGGAGTATCTTTGTGGAGTTCTCTGTATTTCCTGAATCTGAACGTTGGTCTGCCTTGCTAGATTGGGGAAGTTCTCCTGGATAATATCCTGCAGAGTGTTTTCCAACTTGGTTCCATTCTCCACATCACTTTCAGGTACACCAATCAGACGTAGATTTGGTCTTTTCACATAGTCCCATATTTCTTGGAGGCTTTGCTCATTTCTTTTTATTCTTTTTTCTCTAAACTTCCCTTCTCGCTTCATTTCATTCATTTCATCTTCCATTGCTGATACCCTTTCTTCCAGTTGATCGCATCGGCTCCTGAGGCTTCTGCATTCTTCACGTAGTTCTCGAGCCTTGGTTTTCAGCTCCATCAGCTCCTTTAAGCACTTCTCTGTATTGGTTATTCTAGTTATACATTCTTCTAAATTTTTTTCAAAGTTTTCAACTTCTTTGCCTTTGGTTTGAATGTCCTCCCGTAGCTCAGAGTAATTTGATCGTCTGAAGCCTTCTTCTCTCAGCTCGTCAAAATCATTCTCCATCCAGCTTTGTTCTGTTGCTGGTGAGGAACGGCGTTCCTTTGGAGGAGGAGAGGCGCTCTGCGTTTTAGAGTTTCCAGTTTTTCTGTTCTGTTTTTTCCCCATCTTTGTGGTTTTATCTACTTTTGGTCTTTGATGATGGTGATGTACAGATGGGTTTTTGGTGTAGATGTCCTTTCTGGTTGTTAGTTTTCCTTCTAACAGACAGGACCCTCAGCTGCAGGTCTGTTGGAATACCCTGCCGTGTGAGGTGTCAGTGTGCCCCTGCTGGGGGGTGCCTCCCAGTTAGGCTGCTCGGGGGTCAGGGGTCAGGGACCCACTTGAGGAGGCAGTCTGCCCGTTCTCAGATCTCCAGCTGCGTGCTGGGAGAACCACTGCTCTCTTCAAAGCTGTCAGACAGGGACACTTAAGTCTGCAGAGGTTACTGCTGTCTTTTTGTTTGTCTGTGCCCTGCCCCCAGAGGTGGAGCCTACAGAGGCAGGCAGGCCTCCTTGAGCTGTGGTGGGCTCCACCCAGTTCGAGCTTCCCGGCTGCTTTGTTTACCTAAGCAAGCCTGGGCAATGGCGGGCGCCCCTCCCCCAGCCTCGTTGCCGCCTTGCAGTTTGATCTCAGACTGCTGTGCTAGCAATCAGCGAGATTCCGTGGGCGTAGGACCCTCTGAGCCAGGTGTGGGATATAGTCTCGTGGTGCGCCGTTTCTTAAGCCGGTCTGAAAAGCGCAATATTCGGGTGGGAGTGACCCGATTTTCCAGGTGCGTCCGTCACCCCTTTCTTTGACTCGGAAAGGGAACTCCCTGACCCCTTGCGCTTCCCAGGTGAGGCAATGCTCGCCCTGCTTCGGCTCGCGCACGGTGCGCACACACACTGGCCTGCGCCCACTGTCTGGCACTCCCTAGTGAGATGAACCCGGTACCTCAGATGGAAATGCAGAAATCACCTGTCTTCTGCGTCACTCACGCTGGGAGCTGTAGACCGGAGCTGTTCCTATTCGGCCATCTTGGCTCCTCCCTCTCCCCCGAAAATTCATCATTAATTAACCAGTAAGCATTAAGTTAACTGTGGAGGGGGATTAATAGACACCTGTTATCAGAGTAAGTTCTCTTCTATTTCTAATTTAAGAATTTTTACATTAATGGATTGTATATTACATCAAATGCTTTATCAGAATCTAATACAGTAATCAAATCATTTTTATTTTTTATTTTGTTAATGTAGTAAACAAATTAACTTTTTTATTAATTTTAAAATGTTGAACTACCCTTTCATTCCTGAGATAAACCCAACTTGATCATCATGTAGTAGTTTTTAATATATTCCTGGATCCTATCGCTAATATTTTTGTTGAAGATTGATGTATCTTTGTTCATGAATAATATTGGTCTACCATTATCTCTGCTTGGTAATGCCCTTAACATGTTTTGATACTAAGCTTATACTGGCTTCATAAAATGAGATGTGATGTATTTCCCTGTATCTTTTCAAAGAGTTCACATAGGTTTGGTGTTATCTCCTCATTAAATATTTGATAGGACTTGTGTGTAAAACCATCTAAACTTATAGTTTATTTGTGGTAAGGTTTTTAAACAATAAACTCAATTTCTCTAGCAGATATTAAGCCATTTGACTATTTCTTCTGAAATCACTTTTAGTGATTTGCGTATTTCAATACCTTTTTCTATTTTGTCTAAGTTGGCAAATTTATTGGCATGAGGCTGTTCATAATACCATCTTATTATACTTTTATGTCCTTTACAATCTCTAGTATGTAATAATTGTGTTTCGTCTTTCATTTCAATTTTAGTTGAAATGTAGTAATTGTACATATTTATGGATATTTGTATACAATGTGTAATAATCAAATTAGGGTAATTAGCATATCCATCAACTCAAACATTTAGCATTTCTTTGTGTTGAGAACATTCAAAAACCTCTTTTCACTATTTTGAAATATACAACAACTATGGTTAACCACAGTCACCTTGCTGTGCTATAGAAAACTGAGCTTGTTTCTCCTATCTAACTGTAATCTTGTACCCATTAACCAACCTCTCCTTATTTCCCCCTCCCCACTACACTTCCCAGTATCTGGTAACCATTATTTTACTCTCTACTTGTATGTGATTTACATTTTTAGCTCCCACATATGAGTAAAAACAGGTAGTATTTGTCTTTCTGTGCCTAGGTTCACTTAACATAATGTCTTCCAGGCTCATTTATGTTGCCCCAAATAATAGGATTTCTTTTTTATGGCTAAATAGTATTCTATTATGTACCTATACCGCATTTTCTTTATCTGTTTATCCATTGATGAACACTTAAGTTGATTCTGTATCTTGACTATTGTGAATAGTGTTGCAATAAACATGAGAATGGAGATATTGCTTTGACATACTGATTTCCTTTCCTTTGGATATGTTCCAAGTAGTGGATTGCTAAATTACATGGTATTTCTATTTTTAGGTATTTTAAATTTTATTTTTAACTGACAAATAATAATTGTACATATTCATGGGATACATAGGGATGTTTTGATATGTGTGGCGTAAAGGGATCAGGTCAGGTTCAGTAGCAAATCCATCATCTCAAACATTTATCATTTCTTTTCATAATGGCAGTACTAATTTACATTCCCACCAATAGTGTATGAGTCCCTTTTTGTCTAAATCATTGCCAGCATTTGTTATTTTTATATCTCAATGTGATTTTGATTCACATTTCTCTGATAATTAGTGAAGCTCAGTATTTTTTCATATACATACTGGACATTTGTATCTATTCAGATTATTTGCCCATTTTTAATTAGAATTTTTTGCTTTTTTGTTGTTGGGTTGTTTGAGTTTCTTATGTATTCTGGAGGTTAATCACTTTTAGGTGGATAATTTGAAAATATTTTCTCCCATTTAGATTGTCTCTTCATTCTGTTTTTTCCTTTGCTGTGCAGAAGGTTTTTAGTTTGATATAATCCTGTTTGCCTATTTTTGCTTTCATTTCCTATGCCTTTGAGGTATTATCCAAAAATTCTTTGCCCAAATCAATATTCTGAAGTATTTCTCCTATGTTCTTTTCTAGAAGCTTCATAGGTTTCAGCCTTACATTTAAGTCTTAAGTCCATTTTGAATTGATTTTTTTATATGGTGAGAGATATGGGTCTAGTTTTGTTCTTCTTTATGTGTATATCCAGTTTTCCCATCACTATTTATTGAAGAGACTGTCCTTTCCCCACTTTACATTCCTGATGCCTTGGTTGAAATCAGTTGGCTATAAATATGTGAATTTATTTCTGGGTTATCTATTCTGTTCCATTGGTCTGTGTGTATGTTTTTATGCCAGTACTATGCGGTTTTGGTTACTATAGCTTTGTAGTATATTTTGAAGTCAGGTAAAGTGATATTTCCAACTTTGCTTTTCTGCTCAAAATTGCTTTGGTCATTTGGAGTCTTTTGTGGTTCCATATAAATCTTAAGGTTTTTTTCTCTGTTTCTGTGAAGAATGTCTTTGGTATTTTTATAACAATTGCATTGAATCAGTAGATCCCTATGGATATTATAAAAATATTCTTCTAATCCATGAACATGGGATATCTTTGCATTTTTTGCTCTTTTTGATAATTTTTATAAGTGTTTTATAGTTTTCATTGTAGAGGTCTTTAACCTATTTGGTAAAATTTATTTCCAGGATTTTATTATTTTTTAGCTATCATAAATGGGATTTCTTTTTCAGATTGTTAGCTATTGGCATAGAGAAGTGCCACTGGTTTTGCATGTTGATTTTATATCCTGTGTCTTTACTGAATTCATTTATCAGTTCTAAGTTTTTTTAGTGGAGTCATTAGGTTTTGCTACATATAAGATTTTGCAGTAGACTCCCAGGATGACATTGAATAAAAGTGGTAAAAGTGGGCATTCCTATCTTGTTTTAGATATTAGTGGAAAGTTTTTCAACTTTTTCCCATTCAGTATGAAAATATTGTCATGTTAGCTGTAGGTTTGTCATATAAGGCCATTATTGTTTTGAGATATATTGCTTTGATACTTAATTTGTTGAGAGTTTCTATCATGAAAGAATATTGAATTTTATCAAATGCTTTCTCTGCATTTATTAAGATGATTATATGGTTTTTGTCCTTAATTCTGTTTATATGATGTATCATGTTTATTGAATTGTATTTGTTGAACCATCCTTACATCTCTGGGATAAATCCGACTTAATCATGGTATATAATCTTTCTGATGTTCTATTGAATTTGGTTTCCTAGTATTTTGTTGAGGACTTTTGCATGTATGTTTATTAGGGATATTGGTCTGTAGTTTTCTCTTTTTATTGTGTTTTTGTCTAATTTTGGTGTCAGGGTATACTGGCCTCATAGAATGAGTTTTAAAGAATCCTCTTTAATTGTCTGAAATTATTACAGAAGAATCAGTATTAGTTCTTCTTTAAAAGTTTGGTATAATTCAACAGTGAAGCCATCCAGTCTTGGACTTCTATTTGTTGGGAAATATTTCATTACTGATTCAATAACCTTACTCATTATTCATCTGTTTAAGTTTTCTATTTCTTCATGGTTCAGTCTTAGTAGGTTGTATGTATGCAAGAACTTGTCCATTTCTTCCAAGTTTTCTGATTTGTTGACATATAGCTGTTCATAATAGACTCTCGTGATCCTTTGTATTTTTGTGGAATCAGTTGTAATGTTTCCTTTTTCATCTCTGATTGTATTTATTTTATTATTTTATTTTATATGTTGTTTTATTTTAATCTGATTAAAATTATTTTAATTATTTAAATTTTATTTTAATCTGATTTAATTATTTATTTTCCCTTTATTTTCTTAATCTAGTTAATGGTATTTTTATTTTTGCTTATCTTATCAAAAACCAACTTTTGTTTTTGTTATTTTTATAAATTATTTTATTTTAATCTGATTAAAATTATTTTAATTATTTAAATTTTATTTTAATTATTTAAATTTATTTTATTTTAATCTGATTTTATTATTTTATTTTCCCTTTTTTTCTTAACCTAGCTAATGGTATTTTTATTTTTGTCTATCTTGTCAAAACCAACCTTTGTTAATATTTTCTATTTTTTAGTCTCATTTTCATTTGTTTCTGTTCTGATCTTTATTCCCTTCTATTAATTAATTTTTATTCTTTTTTTTTCCTGCTTTTCTAGTGCCTTGAGCTCCATTTTTATATTGTTTATTTGAAGTTGTCCTGCTTTTTTTTTGAGACGACATCTCACTGTGTTGCCCAGGCTGGAGTGCAGTGGTACGATCTCAGCTCATTGCAACCTCTGCCTCCCAGGTTCAAGAGATTCTCCTGCCTCAGCCTCCCAAGTAGCTGGGATTACAGGTGCACATCACCACACCTGGCCAATTTTTCTATTTTTAGTAGATTGGGGGTTTCACCATGTTGGCCAGGCTGGTCTCAAACTCCCGACCTCAAATGATCTGCTTGTCTTGGTCCCCCAAACTGTTGGGATTAGAGGTGTGAGCCACTGTGCCTGGCCTGAAGTTGTTCCACTTTTTTGATGTAAGCATTTATTGCTATAAAATTCCTTCTTAGTAATGCTGTTGCTTTATCTCATAGGTTTGGATATGTTGTGTTTTCATTTTCATTTGTTTCAAGACATTTTAAAATTTGCTTCTTAATTTCTTCATTTACCCATTGATCACTAAGGAGCATGCTATTTTATTTCTGTGCATTTTTAGAGTTTTCAAAGTTCCTCTTGTTATTTATTTTTAGTTTTATTCCATTGTCATCACAAAAAATATTTAACAGAATTTTGACTTTTAAAAATTTGTCAAGATTTGTTTTATGACCTAACATATGGGTCAATCCTGGAGAATGTTCTGTGTGCTGTTGGGAAGAATATGTATTCTGCAGCTGTTGGATGAAAAGTTCAGCAAATGTCAGGCCAATTTGGTCTAGAGTCTAGTTTAACTTCAACATTTCTTTGTTGCTTTTCTGTCTGGACTATCTGTCCATTGAGGAAAACAAGATTTGAAGTCTTCTACTACTATATTATTGTTGTCAATCTCTCTCTTTAGATCTATTAATATTTGTTTTATTTATTTAGTTGCCCTCATATTGAGTGCATATGTATTTACAATTGGTATATCCCTCTGCTAAATTGACTCTGTCATTATAAAATGACCTTCTTTGCCTCTTTTTTATAGTTTTTCTTTTTTACTCAAAGTCTATTTTATCTGATATAAAAATAGTTACTCTTGCTCTCTTTTGGTTTCCATTTGGATGGAATTTCTTTTTCCATCCCTTTATTTTCAGTCTGTGTGTGTCCTTATAGGTAAGATGAGTCTCCGGTAGGCAGAATATAGTTGGGTGGTGTTGTAGTTTAAATCTATTCACCCACTCTATGTCATTTAATTGGAGAATTAAATTCATTTAGAATTAAGGTTATTGATAAGTAAGAACTTGCTGCTGCCATTTTGTTAATTGTTTTCTGTTTGTTTTGTAGATTTTTTGTTCCTTTCTTGTCTTACTTTCTTCCTTGTGGTTTTATGGCTTTCTACAATGGTATGATTTTTTTCTTTTCATCTTTTGTGTATCTGTTACAGGCTGTTGTTTTGTGTTTACTCTTAGGCTTAAAAAACATCTTATATTTATGACAGGTAAATTTAAGCTGATAATAGCTTAATTTTGATCACATATACAAACTCTCCACTTTTACTCTTCCCCTTCCCATGTTTTGTTTTTGATGTTACACTTTATATATTTTTATGATAAAGATCTCTTAGGAAATTATTGTAGCTTTCATTGTTTTTAATAGTTTTGCCTTTCACCTTTATACTGTAAATATATATGTTTTATCCACTGCCATTACACTATTAGACTGTTTGAATTTGACAGTGTACTTACTTTTACCAGTGCATTTTATACTTTCATATGTTTTTATGATACAAATCAGTGTCTTCTTCCTTCAGCTTAAAGTACTTTTAACATTTTTTGTAATGCAGATATAGTGGTGATAAATTCTCTCAGCTTTTTTTCTGTCTGAGAAAGCCTTTATTACTCCTGCATTTTTGAAAGAGAGAATTGGTGAGTTTAATACTCTGGGTTGGCAATTTTTTCAGGGTTTTGAATATATCATTCTGCTCCCTTCTGACTTGCAAGCTTTCTGCGAGAAGTTCATTGATAGTCATGTGGGGGTTCCTGTATTTGGGATGAATCACTTTTGTCTTGCTGCTTTCAACACTCTTTGTCTCTAACTTTTGACGATTTGACTATGATGCATCATGTTCTAAGTGTCTTTGGATTTATTCTGTTTAGTATCTCCTGTACTTCCTGGATATGTCTTTCTAATTTCCTCTCCAAATTTAGAAAGCTTTCTGCTATTTTTTTAATGTGTTTTCTGCTCCTTTCTTTCTTTTCTCCTCCTTCAGTGTACCAATAATGCATATGTTGTTCTGCTGACAGTGTCCCTTAAGTCTCTTAAGCTATCTTTACTTTTAAAATTCTTTTTGCTTCTCAGATTGAATGCTTTCTAGTGATCTGTCGTCAAGTCCACTGATCCTTTTCTCTGCCTGATCTATTCTCTTGTTGAATTACTCTAGCGGATTTTTCAATTCAGTGTTAGCATTCTTCAGATCTATGATTTACATTTGGCACTTTTTAAAATACTTTCCAACTCTTTGTTGAAGTTCTCAGCTGGTTCTTGTATTGCTGTCTTGACCTCTATGAGCACGTTGATGACTATCATATTGAATTCACTGGTGGGTAAATCACAAAACTTCACTTCATTTGGGTTTCTGCAGATTTATTTTGTTCTTTCCTTTAAATTGACATATAAAATGTTATATATTTATGAGGGTACATGTGACTTTTTTACATGCATAAAATGTGTAATGATCAAGTCAGGGTATTTGTTCTTTATTTGGAATATATTTTCCTGTTTCTCCATTTTCTTTTACCCTCTATGCTGGTTTCTGCACATTAGGTAAGACAACTTTCTCTATAGCTCTCCCACACTGGCCTTGTGTGGCAGAAGGTTTTCACTAATTTGTCTTACCAGGGATTTTAAGGTGCCCCTGGAACTTAGAATGTGCCATGTCTTGGCAGTACACCAATATTAGTGTGATAGGAGCCTGGCTTCTTAGATGTAGCTAGAAAGTTTGGGGTGTTTGAGGTATGTTCTAGTTCTTGCTATCTTCATCGTGGTGCTACATGCAGGTGTTGTCTTCCACTCTCTCTGCACTAAGCTGAAGAGAGGATCTTGGCAAATCCCTATACTCATATTCAGGCTGCACCTTCTGATTCTGGAGGAATAGCTGCTGGCTGCAGGCCTGTTATGTGTCTGCCTGATTATTTTCTACGGCCATGGGTCACTCAGGATTGCAAAAGCCCTTTGACTTTCAGAGCTAGGTTAAGAAGAGAGTCCCTTAGGTGGTAGTTATGAAAGTTGTGGTGCTTGGTGCATGACCCAGTTCTTTCCAGAAAGAATGGATAGCCCTGGATTTGTCTCTCGGACAAGCTTGGGTGGGTCTAATGAAGTGCCAAGCCCTGGCTCTGGCTAATGAAGCGCTATTGTTTTTTGACCCATTAGCTCCCTCATGCAAGTTAATTAGAAACCAGGCTATCAAATAGCCACTGGGGGTGTGTGTGTCTCAAGCCCCTTTTGGAGAGAAAGTGAGAGCTGCATGTTCTTATCCCTTTTTGGCACCTTTCCAAGGGGATGTAGTTCCTGGAAATGTTTGGACAACTGTTTAAGGCCACCTCTTTGCTCAGTGATCAAGGGAGGCTCACATATGCCTAGTCCCTTTTGTTCCCAAAGCTACTATATTTAAAATGGAGTCCTTTGGGAGGTGGCGGGTAGCTTTAAATACTGGGGCTCTTAATATGTGTCCTAAACTTCTGGCGTTAAAAAGGTAGTTGCATTTTTTAAGCCCTTTCTCTGCACTGCTCCAGAGGGATGAAGTCCTTGGAGGTGCAGAAAAATGTGTATGTCACTCCCTTTTCCTCCTAGAGCTAGGAGACTTAGGATTCAGTCCTTTGGATAGGCATTGTAAGAGTTAGGGTGTATGGTGTGAGTGCAAACTCCTCCCAGACTGTTGGTGGGTTAATAATTAACTGTCTCTTTAACCCTCCAATGCAAGTTAGTAGCCTAGTTTTAAAACACTGGTATTTCTCCTAATGCTATCCCTCCCCACTCCCCCAACCACACAACAGGCCCCAGTGTGTGATGTTCCCCACCCTGTGTCCAAGTGTTCTCATTGTTCAATTCCCACCTATGAGTGAGAACATGCGGTGTTTGGTTTTCTGTCCTTGCGATAGTTTGCTGAAAATGATGATTTCCAGCTTCATCCATGTCCCTACAGAGGACATGAACTCATACTTTTTTGTGGCTGCATAGTATTCCATGGTGTATATATGCCACATTTTCTTAATCCAGTCTGTCATTGATGGACATTTGGGTTGGTTCCAAGTCTTTGCTATTGTGAATAGCACCGCAATAAACATACGTGTGCATGTGTCTTTATAGTAGTATGATTTATAATCCTTTGGGTATATACCCAGTAATGGGATCGCCAGGTCAAATGGTATTTCTAGTTCTAGATCCTTGGGGAATCACCCCACTGTCTTTCACAATGGTTGAAATGGTTTACAGTCCCACCAACAGTGTAAAAGCGTTCCTATTTCTCCACATCCTCTCCAGGACCTGTTGTTTCCTGACTTTTTAATGATGGCCATTCTAACTGGTGTGGCGTGGTATCTCATTGCGGTTTTGATTTGCGTTTCTCTGATGGCCAGTGATGATGAGCATTTTTTCATGTGTCTGTTGTCTTCATAAATGTCTTCTTTTGAGAAGTGTCTGTTCATATCCTTTGCCCACTTTTTGATGGGGTTGTTTTTTTTCTTGTAAATTTGTTTAAGTTCTTTGTAGATTCTGGATATTAGCCCTTTGTCAGATGAGTAGATTGAAAAAAATGTTCTCCCATTCTGTAGGTTGCCTGTTCACTCTGATGGTAGTTTCTTTTGCTATGCAGAAGCTCTTTAGTTTAATTAGATCCCATTTATCAATTATGGCTTTTGTTGCCATTGCTTTCAGTGTTTTAGTCATGAAGTCCTTGCCCATGCCTATGTCCTGACCTAATGTAAATGATGAGTTAATGGGTGCAACACACCAACATGGCACATTTATACATATGTAACAAACCTGCACGTTGTGCACATGTACCCCAGAACTTAAAGTATAATTAAAAAAAAAAAGTGAGTTATGCCTGAAAAAACCAAAAACAAAAAAACAAAAAACACTGGATGAGTGTTCTCTAAGCCCCTTGGAGAAAGAAGCAGAGAGCTGTGTTTCTTTAAGCACCTTCTCTGCATACTCCCAGAGGGAGAAACTCACTGGAAATGTTTGTACATCTGTATAAAACCACCACTTTTTTCTTATGGTTTAAAGAGACAACACTTTTGTCTAATCTGTGCTCCAGTAATTTAATTAGTGAATTAAGAGTCAACCCATGGGATAGGGTTAGGGTCCTACACGTGAGGTCTAGACCCTCTTCCCCACCGGGATTCCTTTTCCAATTATATGCTGCAGTGCCTGGGTGGGGTCCATACCCAAGTTTTCCTTGGCTTTTCCTACCTATTTGATATGGATGTTTTCTCAATTGCCTAGTGGGTAGGAGTCTCTGAATTGGTCTATGACTTCCTCTTGGAGGGAACTGATTCATGAATAGATTTGTATTTGGTGTATCTGTGGGTGGAAGAAAAGTTAGGAGTTCCTGTTCTGCTACATTGATGATGTCACTTCCACTTTCATTTTCTTTTCTTGATTAATCTTGCTAAGGGTTTCTCAATTGTATTAATCTCTTCAAAAAACCAATTTTTGCTTTGTTGACTTTGCCTATTGTTGGAATGTTTTCTCTTTTAGTTCATTTCTTCTTTTATTCCCACTATTTCCTTCCTTAATTTAAGGTTAAGTTGTGCTTCTATTTGAGAACTTAAGATGAAAGTTTAGACCTTTTAGTCTTCTTTTCTAATACAAGCGCTTAATTTTCCTCTAAGGACTGTTTTACCCACATCCCACAAATTTTCCATTATCATGCAGTTCAAAATGTTGTCTATTTTCTTTGTTATTTTTCCTTTGAACTATATCTTTTTAAGGAATGTGTTACTTTATTTTGAAATATTTAGAGATTTTCTAGATATTTTGTCATTAATTTCTATTTAATTTTGTTAACTTCATAGAACATACTCTAAATATTTCAATATTTTATAATTTATTGAGGCTCTTTTAATGGTTTATCAGATGATCAATCTTGGTGCAATGTCCATGTTCACTTGAAAATAATGCATATTTTGCATTTATTGGGTGTTTCCTTCTATAAATATCAATTAGTTCATGTTGGATATTGTTGTTCAAATTTTTTATATCTTTTTTGTCTTCTTGTTCTATCAATTACTGAAGGATGTTAACATTTTAAATTATGATTAGAGATTTTTCTATTTATTTCTGCCAATTTTATTCATTTATTTTGTAGGTCTGTTATTAAATACATACACGTTTCAGATTATTATGTTTTCTTGAAGAACTGACCCTTTTATCATTATAAAATATCCATTGTTATCTCTATTAATGTTCTTTGTCGTGAAGTCTACTTTCTCTGACATTAATATAGCTAAAGCAATTTTCTTATGCTTACTGATGACATCATATATCTTTTTACTTATCCTTGTACTTTTAAACTTTCTCTGTCTTTATATTTAAATTAATCATGAATATCATATAGTTGGTTCTTTCCTTTTTGCCCTGTGTGATTATCTCTGGCTTTTAATGGAAGGGTATAGTTGATATACTGTTAATGTAATTATGGATGAGTTTAAGTGTATGTTTTATTGGTCTCATGGATATGTTGTTTTGTTTTTCCCTTTTTGCCTTCTTTAGGGCTGCATACTTTTGAGCACATTTGAGCACTGCATATTATCTCCTGTATTGGATTTCCCTATTTTTAAGGGATTACACTGAGAATCATGATATGTATCCTTATCTTAGTCTACTTGAATTAACTTCAATTCTACTTGAATGTTAATCCAACATAATTTGGAATTCGACTTGATATAATATTACAAGAACACACATACACATACACACACACACCAGTATGTTTTAACAGTATAATTCATTTTACCCCTTCTCCTATCTTTTGTGCTATTAATTCATACATTCACTGGACATAGAATTTTTGATTGGCCATCTTTTTTTCAGCACTTTGAAAACATAATTCAACTGTTTTCTGATTGCCATTGTTTCTGATGAGAATTCAGCCATAATTTTACGCTTTCCTCTCTACTTAATGTCTTTTTTTCTGCCTCCTCTTAAGAATTTATCTTTACCATTAATTTTCAGCAGTTTACTATGGTGTGTTCACTTATCTTTCTCTTGTTGTTTTATCCTGCTTGAGTTTCACTGAGATTCTTGGATTTGTATCTCGATGTTTTTACCCAAATTGAAGAAAAATTTTAGCTATTCCTTCAAATATTCTTCTGCATTTTTTTTTCTCTTCTTGTTCTTCTGTGACTTTAATCACATAAATGTTAAACTGCCTGATACTGCCCCACAGATCACTGAAGGGCTGTTTATATATATATGCATTTTATACAGCAGGAGGCATAACAGTGGGATATATCTGTCATCACAGAGCTCAAGTTGTGACCTTTCCCTTAGCTATAGCAACCTAAATTTAATTTATACCTCAAAGTTTACTATAACTTTTCTATCTCTTTCATGAAGCTGGTCCCTAATTCTTCTAGTCAAAATGGGTCATTTCCTCCTGTACATAACAGTTGAATTGTGTTGTTTTTTTTTTAAATAATATGACACTTCCTATTATGTCCAGTGTTTTATTTTTATTTATTTTTTGCTAGGATTTTTGTTGGTTGGTTGATTGATAGTGTTCACTTTCATTTTATAGTTCCAGCACCTGGAACTCATGTTACCTTCCAGTTCTGCCTTATTGTTGGGCATCTTCCAAACTCTACTTCTCTGTAGAGTTGTACAGGCAGCAAATTCTTGTCCCCAAGGAACACTTGCCATTATATACCAGGCCCTTCAGAATGTGGCAAATCCTCCCTGGGAAGCCTCACAAGTGGCTCTTCTGTTTCTTGAGCTCCGGATTAACATGGTCCCCTGCATTCATTTCTGGCAATAACAAGGCTTGTGGAAAATAACAATGGCAAGGATATCAGGGGAAGAATGAGGGCTGAAATGACCAGTTGAAGTAGCATGGAGAACTTGCTCAGCTTATAGCAACGGACTTCTCTAGCTTATTGCCCACGTATGTTCGGATGAATCAGGCCCAGATAGCTGTCTAGGTGGCCTTGCAGCATATTCTCAATGTAATGGTAATGTTAGCAGAAGGACTGTGAAAACTGCGATCCAGTACTCAGATAAAGCCATAAGAGGAGAGTCAACATTTAAGCAGATATAATTTAATATCAGTGAGAGAGATGACATATTTGAAACAGAGTAGAGGATTATATCAGATCCACAGTTCTTTAGAGTTAAATGGAAAAAAAAAATGTATCTTAAGAACCAAAGGAATGCAAAATCTAATTAACCCTCTGGGTTATTGTATAACTTCTGGAGGTCTTTCCCATGTAATTAGTCATTGTATAATTAATTCTGAGATTGGACTACCTGATGACCTCCTATGAGTATTGGAGTAATTGACTTAGCCAACACAAATAGGTGCGATATAGCCCATTTGACTCAAACCAAACATCAGTCATGTCCTGCCTGAAATCTCTGGTTATTAAGACACTTGCCAAGTTGAGAAGCTGTCCCCTAAAACTGCACAGGACAATAATCATCAAGTGGTGTAGAATGCAATAATTGTTTACTTAATGGGAAAATATCTTTCAATGGCAGAAAGACTTAAAACTAAATATAGAAAATATTTGAGAGAATCAAATGTATGGTATTAATATCTTTGAAATAAGAAATCTGTGCATGATTCTTTACATATATATGTATAACTCAAAATTTTAACTTGATAGAAACAACAGATTGGCCTCATAATTCCAATTTGAAGTATATTTTTAAGCAATTGAAAGACTCATGATTTTTAAGTAGACATCTTAGTAAAATTAAAAATATCAATGAAAAGCTTAAGATAATTCAAATTTCTGAATAATTATAAGTTTGATTCATCAAAATTTTAAGAGTTTTTTTTTTAATTATGGAGGTTTTAACCTAAACGTATGTATATTAACCTTAAAATATCGGTTTGAGGTGTTAAGAGGAGTTTTCCTGTTTGTAAAGTAGATAGAACATTAGCCAAAGGCCCTTTTAAAGGTGATTGTTAAAATTTGCTAGATAATAATAATAATACATTTATGATTAACTTTTAAAAACCAAAGTAAACCTCCACAATGCTTTCCCATGCACAAGGCAGCCCTGCAAAACACACATTATTTAATGTGAACTAATCTCTTTGCTAAGCTTTCTGCTTGTTTGCCTTTCCATTTGGCTTTTTTTCAAACCTCCTCGAAGATGCCTTCAGGCCTGGGGGTGGCAGGACAGAATCACTAGGTGACACCCAAAGACCATGAAAAGAGTTGCCAGATGGATGAGCACTGTGAGGTTGGAGAGAGACAGGGAAGCTAGGAGAGAGGCAGGGAAGGCTTCGGAAGTCATCAGAAGCTTTTCAAGAGACTACAGACGACCCCTGGCTACAACTGGGGAAGGCCAAGTTTTATCCCTAAGTACACACTGTACCCGTCCACCTTTGGATCCAGCTCCTGATGTTTGGTCTTATTATCTTCAATGATAAGGAATGAGGAGTCAGAGCGTGTTTCTCCCTGAAAGCCAGTGTGACTCCTTGTTTCTGAGATTCTTTTGTTAGTCTTTGCTTGTTGAGGTTTTGTCTTTCCCTAAGGGTGAATTCCCTGGCACAATGGACCACTCCCAGCTCTATGCGGGTGCTTTAGCTGGCAAAAGAACTGAGGTTGAAATATGAGATTGACTTTCTGGGTGAGGTTCCTGTTTGTTCAAAGCCACCTCCTATCTTTCTCCTCTGAAGCCACCAAAGAAAACTCTGAAGATCCCGGAGTGACCCTTAATTAGCTCAGGAAGGAGGTACAGGGTAGCTGAAATAGAACTCCTTTCTTTTCTCTATAGCAAATACAGTCAGGGCCAAAAGCCTTTTATGGACTAATCATTTTTCCCTGGTTTGATCTATTATCTGGGTACATTGCAACAACTTTGCCTCTGTTCCTTTTAGACAAACAGCTAGGTTTTGAGTGAGTGATTTCTTTAGCTCCAGCAGCTACGATTTTGGGAGTGCCCAGCCATTATCTTCAAATGGCTATTCTCTTTCGTTTGGGGAAATGCAGTGGTAAAACATCAGAGCTGGTCCTGCGGAAATAACGAAGTGGCCAAGGTCATCGAAAGGATCTGGCCTGTTGTTCCTCTGCTTGCCCCTGCCCACCTCCAGGCCTCAACACCAACCTCCGCTTATCAAAATATGTTCGTAGGAAAATTCAGAACAAGCACGTTCCATTTTGGTATGTTAGATGTCTCAGAACACCAGCATCTGAGCCAAGTTTGAGAAAAGTGAATTTCAGGCAGGAAAGTGGCTTAAAAGGGTTTTTTGGGGAAAGAGGGACTTCCCTCTCATACTAAGGACAGCCTTCCTAAAAGGAAATGCACAGATTAGCATACAAATTCAAACTAAAACAAAAATTGGTCTAAACTAGTATTTTGGCTGAACTTGAACTAACTCAGAGTGGTTACTTTAAGTCCAAACTAAACACTAGAAAGCATTCTCTCAACAGTCTAGAATGTATCTTTAACCAAAGTTGAAAGAAATATGAGATTATGCCATCTTAGATTTGCCACATGATTTTAAATTGCTTTTTTTTCGAGGCTTTCAATTGAAGCAATTGGACAAGTAGAAAGATTTAAAAAGTTTTTTTCTGGACATTTGGACATATGAAATATTTTCTCGGGATTAAGGGTAATCACACTTAAAATAATACTTACTTGTTACACTAACATTTTATCTTAATGATTCTCAACCTTCATTGTGGGTAGAAGAATCACTCACCTGGGGAGAGAGTAGAATGATGGTTACCAGAGTCTGGGAAGGATAGTGAGGGAGAGGGGGAAGTAGCGATGGTTAATGGATACAAAAACAATGGAAAGAATACGATCGAGTATTTGATAGCACAACAGGGTGACTTTAATCAGTAATAATTAAATTGTACATTTAAAAAAGCTAAAAAGGGCCGGGCGCAGTGGCTCATGCCTGTAATTCCAATACTTTGGGAGGCCGAGGCAGGCGGTTCACTTGAGTCCAGGAGTTCGAGACCAGCCTGGCCAACGTGGCGAAATCCCATCTCTACTAGAAATGCAAAAATTAGCTGGGTGTAGTGGCACATGCCTGTAATCCTAGCTATTCAGGAGGCTGAAGCAGCAGTATCACTTGAACCTGGGAGGTGGAGGCTACAGTGAGCCGAGATCATGCCACTGCACTCCAACCCGGGTGACGGAATGAGATTCTGTTTCAAAATAAATACATAAATAAATACATAAATAAATAAGTATAGCTGGATTGTTTGTAACACAAAGGATAAGTGCTGGAGGTGATAGCTACTCCATTAACCTTGATATGATTATGACACATTGCACATCTGTATCAAAATATCTCATGTAACCCACAAATATATACACTATGTAACCACAAAAAATAAAAATTAAAAAAAATTAAAAAGGATCACCTGGGGAATTTAAAAGCTCAGATGTCTATACACCCTTCCGCCTTTCTCCTTCAAGTGATCTAGTTGATCTGTGCTGGAGCCCAGGAATCTACATTTTTGAGAACTACATCAAGTGTTTGATCTTGGGTAAACCAGAGTGTTTCATTTAGACTGCAGCACTCTGTAACCAATTCTAGTGTAAAGGCTCTTTTTCTGGGCCGGACCTGCGCTGCGTGACCCAGCCTCTGTTTCTCCCCTTGCCTGCCCTGCTTCCTCCCCGAGGAGCTAAGCCCTGTTGTGCTTGTTTCCTTGGTGTCTAATTTAATCCCTGGTTATGATTTATGTCCTTTGGGCAGGTGCTAATCACATGGGAAACAAATTCTCCCTTGCTGAGGCTTCAATGCTCCCAGAATAAGCTTTATACCCTTAAGAAAATGATCCATCTGAAACTGTCATGTGGATTTGATTATCACACTTCACACAAAAAAAGGCACATCTAAAAAAGCAATGGTATGATTAAAGTGTTATAGAAGGTTTCATAGGAGGTAGAATAAATAGGTTAGAATCTGTATATCTGGAAAGTTGAAAATTCCCTAGAGGTAAAACCACGGAGACCGACCAGTAGAACCAGGTGGTGCCGTGGAGATCATGAAGTGCTGGCACCTCACTCCAGAGACATTGCAAACACGTAGGTAAGAGCAAAACCAGCCTGGCCTTCTCTTCTTAAAAAACTCAAAAGACCTATTCCAGATTGGAAGAGATAGTTTTGGGAAGATAAAAGCAATACATTGCCCAACAAATTATGGATTAAATATAGGCAACTTATTACTAGCAATAAATCACCTAAAAGATTTTAAGAATATTCTTGAGACTTTAATGTATGTTGCACACATGATGAAATAATTAAGAAAAAATAAATGTATTCAGACTCATCTCTAACATTTGAAAGAGACCAGGATTATGTCTTGCAAAGGGTTGTGTTTTTTTTTTGGTTTTTAATTGCTGATTTGCTAAAACCAGACTTTTCCTCTTGAAGTGGCTGGTAACACAAAGCCTCAGCACATCTGTAAAGCAGCATGCATCATAGAAGAAGCACAGTGTGGGGCTCTCTGGAAATTTCCAGTACAGTTGAGAGATAAAATACATCCATGAACAGAAAATAACACAACACAGCACAGCCAATAGAATGAGCTGTAGTTTGAGAGAGGAGCCCAACACCAGGAGAGGTCAATATTCTTGTTAGCTTCCAGTGATAAAAATTAGCCTCCAGAGCCACATTTTGAACAGTTTTGTGCCTCAGTTCACTATAAAATACATATGATGATGACAGGAGTCACACCTACTTCATAAGGCTAAGATTCGATGTTAAGATTTGATTAATGTATGTAAAATGCATGACATCCAGTATAACAGCATAATGAATAATGAGATCTTTGTTATCATTGTGCTTTTCCTTTTGAATTTTTTTTTACCACTCCACACACCTTTCTTTTAACTTTTGAACTCTTATTCACGCCTCAAAACCTTACTCAAATCACACCTCTCTCAGGAAGCTGGCCTTGATTGCCCAATTTGGTTTTGAAGTACAAGACTATCAGCTTTGATCACATAGTTTTTGGCCACCTCCTCTACAGTCAATGCTCTTTGAGGACAGAGAGCAAGAATCGTCTGTGTCCCCAGGCCCTAACAGTGTGCTTAACACGTAGTAGGTACCAAGCACATATTTCTTCATTAAATGAAATGTCTTATCTTGAATAGGGAAGGTGGATTTTATACTAAATCTCAAAGTCCAGGCAGAATCTTAAAGGACAAAAATTGGAGGAGAACAAAGTCTGATGAGTGAAAAACTATGGTTTCCGCTTCTTTGGTAAAGTTGTGATTTCCTCCTCCTGCTAGTCCTTATTCTTCTGTTGGAAAATTTATTTCAGGAGTGCATTTTTGGTTTGGGTGTTGATGTCATGATTGTTACTCCCTCACCAAACTAATTTAAAGGGTCCCAACACAGAATTTCTACTTCATAGGTTACTATTGTCATGAAATCCAATAATGAATGTTTGGGAGCATCACCACCCCATATGAATTCTCTGCATAGCACTTTCGTCAATTCAACACTTAACTCCTTTTCTGTCTTATGCTTTGGATTTTGAGCCCCTTGAGTACAGAGACAGGATCTTATTCGCCACTAAATTGCACACCCAGAAGTGTGTAGTCAAAGTAGCTGCTGAGTAGATCCTGACTGATGGATTGAACGAATGGATGAATTGCTGGATAAGAGTGTATAATTTTATCAACAAAATAATTTATTTTCACTTCCCCAGCATGCCTTCTGCAAACACATATTTCTCTCTTTGATTAGTCTGCTTTCTATAGCTGGTTAACCAACTGTACACAAATATCTGCCTGCTGATATTGTCCTCCCAAATTTTGTTTCAGGTGGTTCCTCCTTCACTTCAAAAGCTGACTAAATACCCAATATTGTCTCTCCACCTTACGTCACACAATAATTAGATAAACCTCTATTATAGCAAAGATTGCACGTTGCTTGACTTTTTTTTTTTTTATCTTTCCTGAGGTCTTAAGGAACTCATGATTTTATTCCTGAGCTTTGAATGGACTCATTCTTGATCACATGTATGGCATAAACCTTTTCTATGTTGCTTCACTGATAATTTTAAATTATTAAACTAATATTTTTGGCATATTCAACATACCTGAATAATATCTTATATGTAGATATAATTGCATAATGTATTGTGAGACATTTAGATTCAATTATGTTCCAAATAATTGAATTCAAAAGTATTTGGAAAATAATGTATATTCAAATAAATCTATGTTCTTGTTCTATTTTCTGATTTTAATTTTTAAAAAGGATATTACACTCTGGAATTTTTCTTGACTTACAAATTGTCCTATAATTTTTTAAAATATGTTTTCCTCTTATAGCCTATAATATTAATATTAACAACACTGAGTATTATATTAATAGTGCTAGGTTGCTATTACTTAGAGTTTGAATGTTTTAAAGCTCTTATAACTGTTGTCAAATTATTTTTCAAACATTATCTGCCAGTTTATGTGCTTCTCAGCAATGGGTAGATTTACTAGTTTCATTTTTATATTTCCCAATATTAGGCACCATGATATACTTTTTAAAATAATTTAGTAGAGGAAATAACATTTATTTTTGCTTTCATTTGCAACCTTTCACTATAAATGAACAATTTTCATCTTGCTTATACATTTTTATTTTCTTTTAGGTAAATTATCTTTTTTATATACTTTGTCCATAATGTAGTCAACTAATTTAGCAATTTTGGGTCATTAAAAATAATCACCAGATTTCAATAAACTAAGTTTTTATAAGAATATTTTAAATTATACCAATTCTCATCATGCAGCTACTGTTTACCTAGCTTAAAGCTCATGTCAATTAAAAGAGTAGCCATTTCATTTAAGAAGGAAGTTGTAAAACTCAAATCATGGACCTATACTCGTTGTGATGAGAACCAGTGAATATGGTGGATATTAATGTCCCTGTATCAATCAGCACCTGCTATCAATTACAATCCAGGGCCGGGGAGGCCGGAGAGGTAGTTTCTGTTCTAGACTAAACCTAAGAGAAAGGGAGGCCACTTATCTCAGGTGAACACAAGGCTAATCAAACTCTGCTCTTTTCCCTATTTCACTTTTGTTTGCTTATTTAACCAGGCAAAAGTAGTTAACCACTCAGAGAAAACAGCTTCAACTCTGTTGACATAAAACTCATTTCACATGACCCACAGATAATTGTTGGCAGCCTTCAAAAGGGTACAAGCTCCTGCAACTACACCATTTCCTCAAATCCAACTGCAGTAGCAGCCCTGCTTTCAGTCCATGCAATTTTTTTAAAGAGCAAAATGACCTTTTATTTGTCAGGCACTTTCCAATCATTCATAAAATATCAGTTTTGGAGCCTAAGTTGATGACCACAGCTGAAGACATGCTAGAGCAATGGCGCTGTATCTTAGCTGCATATTGGACTCTTGTGGGAGCTTTAGAAGATATTGATGGCTACCTGTACCCCCACTTCCTTCAGGACTCTGATGTAATCGGCCTGGCATAAAGCCTAGGCATGGGGATTTGTAAAAGACCTCCTAAGCTAGGTTGAGAAACACTCACTGCTCTAGGGGAAGATAATGGATAGGGTTTGACTACTACCTGCTGCAGGTAGTTGCAATGATGAAAGATGAATGATAACACATATTAGTTTATTTCTCAAAGGAAAAGATTCATGAGGATGTTCTTGTCTATTTGTTTGTTTGAAGAAATGCCTGCAAAATATCTAGAAATATAGAATAGATTCAAATGATGCAAGTTAATCAGATTTAGGGGAGAAAAATAGTTCATGCTTGATACTTTACATAAATGCTGCTAAATTCTATTTGTGCATATCAGCATGCCAAATCTAAATAGGATATTTAGATACTTTTGCCAACAATCTGATCCGTATTTATTGTTTTAGCATGTTTAACTCTATCCTTGTTTTATACTCCTTTTCATTGATGCCTAGACTGCCTCCTTTATACACTTTCTTATCCCCAATGCCTGGCAGTAGTGTCTGATAACATTCAGTAAATGGTTATTGACTGAATGAATGAATTTTTCTTTATTGTTTTGCTGGCTGGATAGGCTGTTAGTAGTAGTAGTGCCACAGTGACCTCTGTTGATGAAACCAGGAAGTGCAGAGAGAAACTCCTGAAAGAAAGGAGTTATTTCAATGACAGTCAAGTTGAGGTTGAAATGCGAACTGTGCCCAGTCTCAGAACTGAAGAGAAAATGATATGAAATGCGAATGTGTTCACAGCATATGGAGAGAGCAATAGCACCATTGGTCTTCCCAGCAAGTAGGCCAGCTCAGCATTTTTCTTAACAGCTTGTATGATTCTTTCTCCCCATGGTCATATGCCAGGGGCCCAAGCTTCAATTTGCTCTTTTAAATAATTTTACTAGCTTGTCATCATTAAAAACTTAAATATTTCATACCGTGCATTGATTTTCACTTTTTGTAGAGCCTGAGTTTTGCCATGTTGCTCAGGCTGGTCTTCAATTCCTGGTCTCAAGCAATCCTCCTGCCTGGGCCTCCCAAAGTGCTGGAGTTACAGGTGTGAGCCACTGTACCTGGCCAAGGTGAATTGATTTTTTTTTAATAAATTACTCAAGGTGTTCTAATTAAGATATCTAAAAAAACTGCACTCCATTTTAAAAGAAAAAATCATGGTGCTTTAGGGTAGGTTTTTAAAAACTGTTCTTGCTTTTTATTTTTATTCATACTTATTGTTTGCGTACTGATACATGGAGCCATTGAGCTGGTACCTATCTCTCCAGTTCCCTGTCTCCTCTCATACTCCTAGTACTTGGTGTAAAATTTCGGGGGAAGAGACAATAAAAGAGGCAGACTTTGATAACTACTTAAGAAATTAAGTGCAAGAATACTTGATCCTATGAAAGAAGTAAAAACAGGAATATTGCCACCAAATAATAAGCACTGATAATATAGGGGACCAGCCAGCTAAGAGTTAACTTTGAGACTCTATCACTAAACTGGGTGTTCCAGTTTCGAGACCTTTGCACCGACTGAATCAGTTAACTTTCTGCCTAATTAACTCAAGCTTCAGATGGGACTATATATACAACATCCCATATGGACTGTGAGCCTACTTCCCCATCTAATCAGAAGGTAGAAAACTGCTTATCGGCATACAACTGATAACTTAGAGTTTAAAGAAAAAAAAAGCAGGTGAGGTATGTATTTGAATAGAAATGTCCTATTGATACAAATGTTACCTGAACAAAACAATGATGATTTTAGAGGTGGTAAGAAAGAAAGGAGTATATAACATGCCAGTTAAATCATTAAACCATCATCTCCTCTGAATGAAGAATAAAAACACACTGGATCCTCACTTCATTGCCATCTTTGGGGCTTTGGTCCTGTGACCACTTTCACGGTGGGCCTGTGTTGTAGGCCTCCAAATAGCAATAAATGAACCTTTAGCCATCAGTCCATGTTAGATGGAATTCAAAACAAAGAGTTCCATATCAAATTATCCAACTATTTTTATAAGACTCCAGGTTTAGTCTGTTTATTTTTCTTTACACACCCTGTCCCCAAAACTTTTGAAGAGTGCTAAAAATGATACAAAACCCAAGAAGATAACAATAATAAAGTAGAAGGAAGGAAACCAAAGATGGGGCCATAAAATGCAGCCAGTAAAGAGGTTAAGAATATGCATAACCATGGTACCTATGTGCATGCTTACACACGTAAGGACCACATATACTAAAAGCCACACTGCAGAGTAGCCTGGTCAAGAACTCCTTCACTAAGATAAAAACAAATAAATTTCACGGAAGACAACCAACTCTTCCTGGTATTAGACCAGAAAAAAGAAAAACATGCTTGTGTTCTTTGTGAAAAGAGAAACTATGCAGTACAATAAACAACGTCCTTAACAATATCATGATGTGAAGTTTCATGAGGCTTTTCCTGAAACTGCTCCTCTTGAGGAGGAGCCCAGTTAAATTTGAATTTCAGACAAACAAAGGAGACATACTTACAGTAAACAATTATTCATGGTTTATCTACGATTCAAATTTCAGTGGGCACTTGTAATTATATTTGCTAAATCTGCAACCAAGGATGAAAGCTTCGTATCAAAATGCAGATCCCTGCATCTGTGCATACATATATCCCTGTTGAACATATACGACACCATGCAGGGACCAGCCCAGATCAGAGCTACAGCTTAGTGAGTTTAAGTACCTAGGGTAAAAAAAAATTCACCCACACTCAAAAATTAAAACACTTGATGAGAAAGCACTTTTGGGAGAGTTGAGGGCTGGTGGAAGTTCTATTTAAAAGTGCACGGAAATTGACTATTTTGTCAGGTCATTACTGCTTACCTACAAACAATTTGTGGAACACTAGTGTTTTAGCTTGTTTACTTTTGTTTTTTTGGTGCCATATAAATGATGGGTCACTGACATAATTTAATACCTTAAATTATATATATAGTTAATATCTTAAAATAGAGCTTCTAACCAATATAATGGATTATGAGAACCTAGCAAGATATTCCAAATGCATTTTAAAGCATTAATTATTGATTTAAAAAAGGACAAAAATGACACTGCAAAAATTTTTACGTTTTTACTTTGAATGCTTTTGACTTGGCTGTATAATAATCAATATCTCAAAGCTCATGAATATTTGTAAATGATTTAACTATTTAATAATTAGTTAATATTATTTATATTTACTAATATTAATTATCTAATTATCTAATATTAGACATTAATATTAGATGACTGTTTATCTAACTAAACTATTTAGTAAAACATTTTCAAACTACATGTGGATACTTAGAAAATGTATTATCAAAGCCATTTAATTTCCTTCCCCTTTGTAGACGAATTGCTCCTATCATGGTTAATTGTTAACATTAGGAAGAAAAATATAGCTACTTAGATCATCTAATAACTTATTCTGTTAATTTTAGTATGAAGCAGTTAAACTTTGCATTTTCTCAATGTAGTTACTTAAATACAAAATCAAGATTTAGGACTTAATTTTCTCTTTCCTCACATCCAACTCAATACGTATTCTAAAGACAGTTTTAAAAATCTGAATCCCAAAATTTTGCATCTGTAATAAAATTGACTCCCTATACATTCAAAGTCAAAATTATTCCCTGATTTGATGTTCAAGAATTTTATAGAATTTGCTAAACAAAACAAAATATTTGATCATTCCTCACAGAACATAAATCCTGGCCATAACTTACTTGACAATGTCCCTGTTGATGAACACACTTATTTTGTTTCTCACCTTTTGTTTTATAAATGATGAAGCCCAGCTCATCCCTGAAAATCTATTTTGCACATGTGTATTGGTATAGCTGTACATGGAGTCCTAGAAAGTCAATCCTGGGCTCAAATAGATTCCCCAGTTTTACGTTTAATAGAAATTGCCAAATTGCCCCCTAAATACATTAGATCAATTTTCTGTCTAGCCACAGAATAAGAGAATGCTGTCCAGCATCCTTAGTAACAACATGGTTAGTAACTGAAGGTTTTAAATTTTTCCAGTTTTATAGGTAAAAGAAACAATATCTCCATCTTTTTTTTTTTTCTCCAGATAGTGTTTCTCTTTGTTGCTCAGGCTGGAGTGCAGTGGCACGATCTCGGCTCACTGCAACCTCCTCCTCCCAGTTCAAGTGAGTCTCTCGCCTCAGCCTCCCAAGTAGCTGGGATGACAGGCATGCTCCACCACACCTGGCTAATTTTTTATATTTTTGGTAGAGACGGGGTTCATGTTGGCCAGGCTGGTCTCGAACTCCGAACCTCAAGTGATCTCTCTGCCTCAGCCTCCCAAAGTGCTGGGATTACAGGTGTGAGCCACCATGCCTGGCCTTCTCCATCTTATATCAATTTGGAATTCATCAATTATGAATGCAGTTGCAGTTGATATTTGTCAATTTTCAGCTCCTGGCATTCATCCCCCTTGCTCAGCTCCCTCTCACACTTCCCACTGCTATGGGATCATCTTTCAAGGATGGCTGCATTGTGTGTTAGTGGGTAGGAGGTAGAGTCCAGCAAGACAGTGGATGCAATGTGGCTTACCCTTGGACAATATGACCCTCTTGTGGACACTGATTCTTTAAAGAGTGACCCAAGGGCGATGGCACAAGTTGGAGTCACAGTTGCTGCAGTGGCAGCTGCTGTGTAAGTGTGTGATGGCTGCTACATGAGTGTGTGGAGGCTACAGTGTGATGCTGTCTGTGGTCCTTGCAGCACAGTGCTCTAGAGCTCTGTGGCCCTGGTCTAGTTTGGAACATAATAAGCTGGTGTGCTCTGAGCCCCGGATACTTTTCCAATGCATTCAGTTCCTCTTTAAGATAATCAATGCATTCCTTCTCCTTGCAACCACAAATGCTGCCACGATTATATAGAAGTTCATTATAATATTCCTCTAAATTGCAAAACCTTTAAATAGTGACTCCTTCCAGTGCATGAAGATGATCTGATAATTGGTTTATCAAATTCCCAGGAATTCATCTATGGTAATAAGCAAAGTGAATCTAAATTTTAAAAGAACCATTAGAGTGAATGCAACTAGAGAACAGTCATATCAGCTCTCAGTAAGACTGGACATTTTTTAACAAAAAATGTTACACCATGACATACATTGGGAGGGACACACACAATACACAAATGGTGTTCAAGATTTCAAATACAGGACAGGGTCATGAGAACTAACATTTGTTGATCTCTGGCTTCCAAGACTAGAAAAAATAAAGATGGCCAGGCGCAGTGGCTCATGCCTGTAATCCCAGCACTTGGGAGGCCAAGGTAGGTAGGTGGATCACGAGGTCAGGAGTTCAAGACCAGCCTGGCAAAGATGGTGAAACCCCATCTCTACTAAAAATACAAAAATTAGCTGGGCGCAGTGGCAGTCACCTGTAATCCCAGCTACTTGGGAGGTTGAGGTAGGAGAATTGCTTGAATGCCAGTGGCAGAGGTTGCAGTGAGCTGAGATTGCACCACTGCACTCCAGCCTGGGTGACAGAGTGAGACTCTGTCTCAAAAAAGAAAAAGAAAGAAAGAAAAAATAAAGACTTGAGCCTAAGTAAAAATACTTTCATTTCAATTTAGTAACCAGCTAGCAAAAAGCAAAGTATTTGCTTCATTTGTATTTGGACTGTACCAAATACCAATACCTATGCTGAGTAAGTAGACGGCGCTCCCCATGGTCTGCTGTTCTGCCAGGTATAGAGCCCAGGCAGGAGCCATCCAGTTCAAGGAAACCTGGAGTCCCATGAGTGCTGCTATTGTGCCATTAGTCAGGGGAGCGCCTTGTCAGCCTCTAGGGGCTCCCGACTACAGCGGACCACGTTGAGCAACGTCTTGTTAGGTCACAGTTGTAGCCTCTTGTGTTCTACGTGCACTTCAGTATTCTTCACAAGGTAGCCCCAGGTCTTTGGAAGATTTCGCTGTGTCTACCTCAGGAACATTTGTAGCATTCATTGCACAAATTCCTTATGTATGCTATATAAGGGACTGTTCCTGTTTGTTATTGAGTTGTGTATAGGGAAAACCTATGCACACCTGTGTATAGGTTTTCCCTATACACAACTTAATAACCTTCCCTTATTACATGGTTGCATACATAACACAGCAGTTGCTGTATTATGTTGAAGTGTAGTTTTGAACTTTGATTATTTCTCCCTTTCTCTCTGTCTCTCTCTCTCTCTCTTTCTCTCTCTCATCTATCTGTCTCTATATATGCATCCCTCCCTTTGGCCAAAGCAATCTTTTAGTGATATATAATTTACCTAAAATAAAATGCATAGATGTTAAGATTTTGAGTATTTAGCCTGATTAGTTTTGTCAATTGTATACACTCATTTAATCACCACCCACAAGCAAATAGTGAGCATTTCCCAAACCCCAGAAAAACCTCTCATGCTCCTTTCTAGTCAATTCTGCAACCTTCTCCCAAGAGAAAAACAGTATTTTAATTTCTGTCACATAGATGTGTTCTGGCTATACTGACCTTCATATGAATTGAATCATATGACTTTTCTGTTATGTTTCTGAAGTTTATCCAAATTGGTGTGTGTGTCAGCAGATTGTTTCTTTTCACCGAGAAGTATTTTACTTTGACTCAGTGTGTATGAATGAACACACCACAATTCATTGATCCACTCTCCTGTTGATGGGCATTTGAGTTGTCTCCAGTTTGAGACAATTATGAATGAGGCTGCCATGACATTTTTCTCTAAGCCTTTTTGTGGACATAGAGTCTTTCCTTCTCTTGAGTAATACCTAGGAGTGAAATCTCTGGGTCATGGAGTAAGTTTAACTTTATAAGAAATTGCAAAAGGCTTCTCCAATGTGGTTGGACATTGTTACCCTCCTACCAGCAATAGATGAGAGTTCCAGTTGCTTCACTTACAAACATTTAGCTTTGTCAGATATTTCTATAAGAGTCACAATACTGTATGTAAAACAGTATCTCACTGAGGTTTTAATTGGCATTTCCTGATGGTTAATGATGTTGAGCATCTTTTCATATGTTATTGGCTATTTGTATACCTTCTTTTGGGAAATATTTATCCAAGTCTAATAGTGTGGCCATTCTTAATTGGGTTTTTGTGTTTTTATTATTGTTTTCTCTGAGTTATGTATTTTGGATTCAAGTCTTTAGCCAGATATGTGTATTGCAATTTTTTTTTTCAAAATGTCATTATCTCCTAAGGAAAAATGGCAAGTAAATGTCATAACCATTTTCTAGGGTAGCTAGGCCCAAATGATTAAAGTGACAGACCTATATGTCCGGGAATTGATTGACACAAGCTTTCTGTATAATAAACTACCCCAATCTTCAGTGGCTTAAAACAATAAGCGTTTATTTAGCCACCAGAGCGTGATTTGGTTGGGCTCAGCCAAAGCATCTTGGCTGGTGTAGCTCTGCTCCACGGTTTCACTCTCCTCCTGGGGGCAGCAGGTTACCACAGGCATAGTCTTCTCATGGCGTGGCTGAGGCACAAGAGAGCTAGCAGAAACATGCAAGTCCCCTTGAGTCCTAGACTCAGAATGTCACAGTGTTACTTTCACATCAATCTATTGCCTCAAGCATGCCTCGAGGTTGAAACCAGGGTTAAGAGGTAGAGAAATATATCCTGCCCACGGTGAGAGAGCTTTGCTAACTTACTTGAAAAATGGCATAGATACAGAAAGAAATGAAGAATGGGCAGTAATTAATGAAGTCTATCACAGACATGTAAAAGTCGTGTTTACAAGTGAATTTTTTCAATAATTGATGACACAAAATAGACATTATGAATAATTTAGATAATTTGCACCTTAATTCTCTCAACCTAATTTCTTACTTCTGTTTAGTTTTCAACTAGTTCTAAAACAATTCACTAATTTATGAATTAATTAATTCAACAATTATTTAGAATATTTCTTATATTGCAGGTGCCGTACTAGGTTCTAGCACAACAGCAGTGATCAAGACAACCAGAGTTTCTGTAATTCAGAAGTGGATCCAGACAACTAAGTAGAAACTTTCATTTCGGTGGGATGCTACAGGAGCCAATTAGAAAGGCAGACTTATGGTGCAAAGAAAGGTTTTACAAAGAAAAATGCTACAGGAGCCCATCACCTAGACTCATGGTAAAAAGCAAGGTTTTACAAAGAAAATGACATCTAAGCTATGAGTTAAAAAAGCAAATAAATATGAATTGAAAAGGCAAGGTAGAGAAGAGGTGTGTTAGCATGCTCAAGAGTTACGGAGGGCATGATGGCTTAGAAGTTAAAGCAGTTAGATGTAGCATAGAGTTTGAGTGGAAAGATTATTGTGGCCACACAATGGATCACAGAATTAGAGAAACAGGCGGCAGAGAGGCTATTGAGGTATCCTAGGCTCAAGGTGCTGGTGGAGCAAATAGGATGAAGAGACGTGAATGGATTCCAGTGATATTTGGAAGTCATAGTAAGAAGACTTGGAGTTTGACTTGATGTGGTACGTGAAGAAGACAGAGAAAACAAGTATAATGCCAAAGTTTCTTAAGCAGCCAAATAGATGGTCTTGTATTTAATAAAATGAGGATTTGAGGCAAGGGTCACACTGGATTTAGGAAGAGACAGATGATGCATTTGTTTCTTTTTTGAAAAAAATTATTTTATTCTGGCAAGAACACTTAACATGATCTCTACCCCCTTAACAATTTTCTAAGTGTACAATACGGTATTGTTAACTATAGAAACGATGTGGTACAGTAGACCTCTAGAAGGATTCATCTTGCATAATTGAGACTTTATGCCATATTGATGAGCAGCTCCCCATTTCCCCCTACCCCTACCTCCTAGCAAGCACCATTCTACTCTTGGATTCTGTTTGACTATTTTAGATGCCTTATGCAAGTAAAATCATGCAACACTTGCTCTTCTGTGACAGGCTTATTTTACTTAGCATAATATCCTTAGGATTTATTCAAGTTGCTGCATATTTCAGGATTTCATTTTTTAAGGTTAAATAATATTCTATTGTAGGTTGTATTAGTCTGCTTTCACACTGCTATAAAGACACTACCTGGGACTGAGCAATTTTTAAGGAAAAGAAGTTTAATTGACTCACAGTTCCTCATGGCTGGGGAGGCCTCAGGAAACTTACAATCATGGCAGAAGACAAAGGGGAAGCAAGGCACGTCTTACATGGTGATAGGTGAGAGAGAGAGAGAGAGAGGGAGAGAGAGAGAGGGGGAGAGAGTGAGAGAGAGAGAAGGGAGGAGTGCCAGAGACTTATCAAACAACCAGAACAGCATGGGGGAACCACCCTCATGATCCAATCACCTCCCATCAGGTCCCTCCCTTAACATGTGGGGATTACAATTCGAGATGAGACTTGGATGGGGTGGGTGGGAACACAGCCAAACCATGTCGTAGATATACACCACATTTTCTTTATCTGTTCATTCATCAATGAACATTTAAGTTGTTTCCACATCTTGACCATTGTGAACAGTGCTATAATGAATATGAGAGTGCTAATATTTCTTCGGGATCCTGATTTCAATTCCTCTGGATAAATACCCAGAAGCAATATTGCTGGATAATATGGTAGTTGAATTTTTATCTTTTTGTGGATTCTTCATACTTTTTTTCCACAGTGGCTGCACCATTTTGCATTCTCACCAACAGCTTACAAGGATTTCAATTTCTCCACACCCTCACCAACACTTTCTGTCTTTTCTTTTTTTTTGTAATAATAGGCTAACAGCTGCGAGGTGAGATCTCATTGTGGTTTTGATTTGCATTTCTCTGGTCATTAGTGACCGTAAGCATCTTTTCATAAACTTGTTGACAATTTGTATGTCTTCACTGGAGAAATGTCTAGTTAAGTGTTGAGCTTATTTTTTAAATCAAGTTATATTTCTTTTGCTATTGAGTTGCATGAGTTTCTTTATACAGAATATTTTGAAAATTAACCCCTTAACTGATACAAGGTTTGCAAATATTTTCTCCCGTTCTGTAGGTTGCCTTTTTATTCTATTGATTGTTTCCTTTACTGTGCAGAAGCTTTTTCATAAGATGTAGTTCCACTTGTCTGTTTTTACTTTGGTTGCCTATGCTTTTGACATCATATCCATGAAATTATTTCCAGGACCAATGTTGTGAACCTTTTTTTTCTTGTGATTTCTTCTAGGAGTTTTATAGTTTCAGGCCTTATTCATTAGGTCTTTAATCCATTTTCAGTTGATTTGTGTGTATGGTGTAAGATACAAATTCAGTTTTATATTCTAAACATATTGAGTTACCTGTTACATATCCAGGAGGCACTGTCTTGAAGTTAGCCATAAATATGAATCTGAAGTTCAGTGGAGAGTTTAGGGCTAGTGGTAGATCTGTACATCCCAAGCATGATTGGATATGAATGTCAAGGGAGAAAGCAGAAACACTCACAGAGAATACAAGAAGAGGTCAGAATGGTGAGGAACATCAACCAATAGCTCAACAATCAAAGGTGGGACAGATGAAGGGACCCTGCCATGGAGCCTAAGAAGGTACAGTCAAAGCCATACTAGGAATGCTTTGGAGGAAGTATGGATGCCTTTATGGAGGAAGAAATTGAATAGCAAAGAGTAAGGGAGTAATTAGTGTAGTGTGGTTCTTAACACTATCCAAGAGAGGGAGATTTGGAGCTCATATGGAAGAACAAAATTCCTGTCCTGTTTGGACAGGAAATGAGGTACCCCTTCTATTGTAGCTGAAGGGAAAGAGAAAAATATCAGTATGGAACAAAATAAATAGTTAATCTGGTGTATGGGAGAAAATTCTTGTTGATAGTTTCTCTTTTTTGGAAAATAGAGGGTAGAATAGTGTCACAGAAGAGGTGAAGTATTATGTCTAAGGAAACTAGATAAAGTTAGAAAATCCCCCCCAAAATTGAGAGAAGAAACTAAGAAAACCTGATTTTGTTGTTGTTTTGTTTTTTTGTTTGTTTTTGTTTGTTTGTTTTTTTGGCATCATTGAGCACCCAGGAATGGTGTGATATCATGAATTTATCATGTTCTGAATCTTAACAGCTGTGCTACTTGCCAGTGGTGTTTGGGTGTATGTGCAGAGAAAGCAGATATTTGGCCTGATTCAGGTAGGTGTTTCCCCATGTGTGGAGTGAGAAGAACAATAAAAGAAGAGATTTGAGGATACTGGATTCTATTTTTTGCTCAAAACCAGCTCCTTATTCTGCAATTGTAACACTTTCTCAGAATTGATTGAAAAATTCAGACAATAGTTATTTTTTATGCTTTTCAAAATCGATCAATTCCTTGGTCAATGTTAATAAAAGAAAAATGAGTTTTCCCTTAGCATTTCATGTTTAATTGCTGAATGTCTTGTTGACATTCTTATGTTTGTTTTGATGTGACTTCAATGGAAGTAGTGCATATATTGGTTTTTCTTATTCCTCATATCCAAATAGCTAGGACATATTTATATAATGATCCGCTAATTCACCATGATATTTCCACAATGTTTGAAAATTTTGTATATATTAAGATTTTATATGTTACTACATCTAAGAAGGAAACACATCTCTACATGGGCATCCTGCCTGGCATAGCCCTTTGGATGAAAGTACAACTATGCCTGAGGAAGCAGTTTCCCACTTCCCAGAACGTAAATACATCTCAAGACAGAAAAACATGGAGATGTGGGTGCAAGACATGAGTATGTCATTAGATTTATACATTATAAAAAAGCATCTTGCGAATAGTAAATCATGAGTTGTTTGAATGGGATTTAGTGTACCAGGTGGAACCCAGATATAAGTAGATGAATGTAGGTCTACTTACTGAGACAATTACATAATCTAATAAAAAGATTTAAAGAAGTGGTCTCTTGTCTTCTTGTTACAGCCCAATAGAGGAACTGGTTCCACGGCTTTGTTTGATGTCAGTGAATTATGCAACAGGTTTTAAGAACTGGTTCTTAAATAGTAAGGGCTGGATTGCACTGCGGTCATGTTTTTCAAAAGTCAAAAACAAGTACTTTCTGTTGGATGTACACATGGCAAGACAGCGAGAATATTTTATATGTTTTGATTGTCTTCACAATCTAACCATGACTCAGTCAGGCAGTGAGCCCCATCAGTTGTTAAAAATGATTTAAATATAGTCAAATAATTTGTTCTTGTGAACACAACCTAGCTTCTATTTTCAGGTAAAGGGACATTTTCATTTTTCCCTTGTGGTCTAACTCCAAGTTTTCCTTGTCATCGTTGTAAGCATAAATCTTGTAATATCTTCTCTTTGGAACCAAAGCTAATGGTGTAATGATATGAAGAAGAGAATAATCAGAGAGAGTTTTCAGACAAGGTGAAAATACAGTAAAACCCTGGAATTAGATTTGGATTGGATTATAAAGAAAAGGAAGCATGTGTCCTTGTTTAGATGGGGAAAAATTATGGGAGTGCAAATATTTATATCAAAATCTAAGATAAAAAGATGGATAGAGCTAGGTATATATTAACATCAGATGGAATCCTTTTTTCACTTGTCAGTACACAAGCAACTGAAGTTGGAAAAATAGTAAGAACATCATTGTGTGAGTAAATATAGAACAGGTGAAAAACTCTGTGCTGAGATTTCTTTTCTGATTTTGTTTCTTCTTTATCAACAACTCTGGAGATTCTTATCACAGCCAACGACCTTTGTTGCAGGCCTTACTGCATGGGACTCTGTTTCATCTGCTTTTGTGCTTAGTCACTGTAGCCTCCTGTCTGCAGCTGTTTTCTCTACCAGGGGCAGGCAGGGTTGTGGCGTCTTTAGAAAATAGGGCATGCAAGGCAGCAGGTGCCAGTGTCAGTAAAGGCCCTGCCTGGCTCCCTTGCTGAGAATCCAGGCTATGCCTGAGCTAGGGTGTGCACGTGTGTGTGACTGTGTGTGTGTATTGCAAAACAAAGTTTCTTGGGTTTAGCTAGATTTCATTTTACCTTCTGAGTGAGCTTGTATTTTCCATGGAAAATGGACAATTCTTTCTTTTCCATAGGTCAGGAAGCTGTTCCTGCATTCTTTGGGACCAGAAAAATAATTTTCATTTATCTTCTGTCATTATCTGACTCTTTCCTCCTAAATCTCATTTACACTGATGTAAATGTAATATTTTATAATGACAGTCCAATAGTGTGTAATCTCTTTAATGTCTGAAATTCTGAACATCTGAAATTCTGTTTTATTCACATAATATATTTTTTTTTGAGATGGAGTTTCGCTCTTGTTGCCCAGGCTGGAGTGCAATGGTGTAATCTTGGCACACTGCAACCTCCGCCTCCCAGGTTCAAGCAATTCTTCTGTCTCAGCCTCCCAAGTAGCTGGGATTACAGGTGCCTGCCTGCCACCACGCCCAGCTATTTTTTTGTATTTTTAGTAGAGATGGGGTTTCACCATGTTGGCCAGGCTGGTCTCGAACTCCTCAGCTCCGGTGATCCACCTGCCTTAGCCTCCTAAAGTGCTGGGATTACATGTGTGAAGCACTGTGCCTGGCCCTTCACCAAGCATCTTTTATTGAGGCCATACATTCATATGAAAAACTTCCCAATCAATCTTGGGTAGATACCTGAAAATAAATATTTAAGGCACACTAACCTGTTTGAATGATCAAAGTACCAGTTGTCATTTAGCCAAATGGGAAGAGACCAAGCTGAGAGTCAGAAGGCAAGATTCTTTACTTGGGGTTGGCACTGACCTTTGAGCAAATCAGTGCCTTTTTTTTTTTTGAGACAGTCTCTCTCTGTTGCCCAGGCTGGAGTGCAGTGGCAATCTTGGCTCACTGCAACCTCTGCCTCCCGAGTTCCAGTGATTCCCCTGCCTCAGCCTCCCAAGTAGCTGGGATTAGAGGCATGAGCCACCATGCCCAGCTAATTTTTGTATTTTTAGTAGAGACAGGGTTTCACCATGTTGGCCAGCTGGTCTTGAACTCCTGACCTCAGGTGATCCACCTGCTTCAGCCTCCCAAAGTGCTGGAATTACAGGTGTGAGCCACTGTGCCTGGCAAGTCAGTGCATTCTTGAAGGACCTCATTCTCTACAGATGTAAATGCAGATATTGCAATGGAAAAGACTGGGAGTGTGTGTGTATGTGTGTGTGCACTTTTTTCGTGTGCTTGTATAATCCTGAAGACGCAGCTCTTTCTTCTTCCAGTCAGATATCCAGCTTAGCATAGGAGAGGATAGGAGTTGAAGATACCATTAGTTATAACTAGGATGTGGATGTTGTCTTTTCTTGCTGGCACTGTGGAGGCTGTCACCTCCCTTGTAAGTACTACTAAAAATGCTTCTGAATGCTTTCCATTCAGTGATTCATTTGGCTCCAGTTCATGAGCTTGGATCACCTGGTTTACACTTGTGATGTAACTACTAAACATGAACATCTGGGAAAACAGTGCCTCAGGCCCAGTGAAACTTCTCACAGGCAGCCTCTTTGATGGTTATAGTGTGTGTGTTCCTAATAAAGTGCTGTTGCAACTCTTTTCTGCTAACCTTTAACTTCAAGGACTGCAGGGAATTCTTGGCGAATTGACCTACTAACTTCTGAGCTTGGCAACTTTGCCAAAGTTTTCCAGTAGTTGGAAATGAATCTGAGTGAATTTAATCTAAAACTTAAAACCTAGATAGGCCTGAATTTAAACCTGAGTAGATGTGAAATTAAGTCCAGTGGAATTGAAATTAGTTTCTTATTTTCATATCTGATATGATTTAGCCATTCTTGATGTTCATCATACTTAAAGATCCAAAGGAATATAGTGTTTCCTCTGAATATTGAAACTGAAGAAAGCAATTTTTTTAAAGCAAAGGAGACCGAGTGCAGTGGCTCCCGCCTATAATACTAGCACTTTGGGAGACCGAGGCGGGCGGATCACGAAGTCAGGAGTTCTAGACCAGCCTGACCAACATGGTGAAACCCTGTCTCTACTAAAAATACAAAAATAAGCTGGGTGTGGTAGTGCATGCTTGTAATCCCAGCTACTCAGAAGGCTGAGGTAGGCTAATTGCTTGAACCCAGGAGGCAGAGGTTGCAGTGAGCTGAGATAGCGCCACTGCACTCCAGCCTGGGTGACAGAGAGAGACTCCATTAAAAAAAACAAAGGAAAATAGTGAATTGAGTGCACAGTATAGACTGGTATTCTGGAAAATTACCCCTCCTCATCCATTTTTAAATATCTTTTTGGTTGTTTTCATAAGTACCTACAAGAAGTCATAAAAATAAAAGTAAGATCACAAGTTACTTTTGAATCACTGACAATTGATATGGTTTGGCTCTGTGTCCCCACCCAAATTTCATCTTGAATTGTAATCCCCACATATTGGGGGAGGGACCTGGTGGGAGGTGAGTGGATCATGGGGGTGGTTTTCCCCATGCTGTTTTCATGGTAATGAGTGAGTTCTCACAAGATGCGATTGCTTGTTAAGTGTATGGCAGTTTCCCCTGCTCTCTCCCTCTCTCTCTCTTTCTCTCTCTCTCCACTATGTAAGACCTGCTTGCATCCTCTTCACCTTCTGCCATGATTGTAAGTTTCCTGAGGCCTCCTAGCCATGCTTCCTGTTAAGTCTATGGAACTGTGAGTCAATTAAACCTATTTTGTTTATAAAGTACCCAGTTTCGGGTAGTATCTTTATAGCAGTGTGAAAACGGACTAATACAACAGTTTAAGTCCCTTCAATCCATTCCTAATTACACTTGTGAAGAAGTTACATTACTGTCAGTCCACCCTTTGTGTAAGAAAACTGAGGCCTAGTCTAAATATATATTTTTATGATTCCCTGACATTTATAAAGGATGCAAGCGTTATTGACCAATATTGTTGGCCATTATGCATTGTATTATGTGATACAGGAAGTCTTGGGTCTGGCAGAGAATACCTGGTACCATATAGCGCGGTTAGTTAATATTCATTCAGTGCGTACTCTGTGCAAACCTGTGCTAGGTGCTTATACATACACTTCCACAGTCAATCCTGACAGCGCTGTCTAAAGTAGGCCTTATTACCCTGATTTCATAAATGAAAAAATAAAGGAATTAAAGCCTGAGAAGCTATAGAAATGTGACCATATTGTAAGTTATTCATGATAACTACCATATTTTGTTTACTATTCATTCATTTGTAACATTCATTCGTTTTTTTCCTCTACGAATTCCAGGAGGAAAAAGAAGATATTCAAATATAAAGTCAAAGAATAATTCAAGATAACAATGTGATAAGTATAAAATTTATATTTAAATGTCAAAGAATGGTAAATATAATCCGCACTCATAAACAATCAAGTCTAATATTTGGTCAGTTATTCCAGAAAAGAGGATATTTATAGAAGGACAATTTTACTCTTCGATGGAATTCTCAGTGAGTCTCACTGTAATATGAAATTTCATTTCTAGGGCCATTGATTTTGCATATTTGGTCATTTATCTTGATGATGCCATATTGTCTTCATAAATAAATCTGTTTTTGAATGTTTATAGTTTGTCCATTTTACTGAACACATACTTTTACAATAGGAGAGCATTATAATTATTATTATCATTATTTTTAATACAGGAAAATATATCTCATATCGGTCCATTGGTCTAAGTTAATGGTTTTCTCTTCAAAACTACTGTAATACTTTTCATAAAGTTAAACCTATATTCCAGAAGAGCATAGAATATATTAAATGCATACCAGAAAATATGCATTTACAGTTAGTCTTAAGGAGTAAAACTTTCCTGATATTTGAAACATAAGTTGTGTGGAAGCTAAGTCAGGTATCTTTGCAAATAGCATACCTGAATTATCTCAAATCTCCAAGCCCAGAATATGCAAAATGTTCTCTACCTGGGACCGTGGCAAAAACAGGAAGTATGTACTATTTTCTAAACATCAAAAAATTGAAAATGTAAATAGTAGATTTACTGAATTAGAAGTAATGTATAGAGTTGTTGTGCATTAACTTCCACTTTTTCTTTCAAAAGAGAACACGTAGAACAGGTGAGAGTGTAGAAAATGTCTTTGTCCTGGTTTCCTGTGATCCTGATTTCATATTTATCAGGTTCATCCATTTTGTATATCCCATTGCCAGAATATATTTGAGATCTAATTTTAATATATTTATGATGTAAAATAAAATGGTATAACTCATCTGGAAACACTTAATGAGGACCTGTCATGCTAGAGGGACAGTCCTGGTCACTGAGACTGACAATGCACAGCCCTGGAAATCAGGCAGCTGACATGGAGTTGATTGCAATTAAAGTTTCATTCTAGAAAGATGGGGGAGGTTATATTTTGAATGCAAAATGTCTCATTTTATGAAGGAAGCTTTGCAATTACACTGTGGTAAAGGGTAACATGAGGAAGAGTAAAGACATTGGTCTTCACCTAAACAGTTGTGTGTACTTGCTTTTATACTCTTCATCGAGGTTTTCACATACATGGACCCTTTCCTTTCCTTTTAATTCAGTCAATTGATTCCTTACATTTCAGCTTCCATGTCACCCTTCCTAGGGATGGGAAGAGAGAGAGGGGAACCTTGCTGCTGGGGTGTAAGTGGAGTGGTGCTCTGTTGAGCCAATGGCTCTGGGACCCACAGTGGCCTATTGAGAAGATTAAGACTGTGGTGACCCTGCCTGCATCTATGCTACAGGCTGTAGATTTACTTCTAGAGTCAGAACTTTCTTCAGAGTTTGACTTGAGGCTTGAGCTCCCATGTAAGTTTTATGGCAATCTATAAGAAAATTAACTTCAGTAGTTAATTATGAGTGTCTATTACAAGTCTAAAAAAAACAGTTGAAAGATTTGTTGAATAAATGAATCAATGGCTAACTTTTTGCAGCCCTTTTCTCAAAACCAAAAGTATACATTAAAATAAACAAATATATATATATATGTTCAACGTTAAAACATTCTACTGTTGAATCCTCCTATTTTTCCAGTTCATTCCTCCTAATACTCCGACTACATCATTAATTGCCTCCACTGAGGCAGCTGAAAACCATTGATCCTACCATGGGATCCCCACCTCCTATCTCAACTGTGTCTGCTCTTCCTTCATACCTGGCATAAATTCCATGTTCCACCATATACCACTCCTTTGCAGAAGCACTCGCCCCTTCCTATATGCCTGATAAACTGCAATGTAGGTTAAGTCTGATCTCTGCTCACTCCATGTTTACACCTGTGCAAGTGAATACAGGATGCAGAAAACACACAATTGAGCTAACTGGTCCCATTTTAAATTCATGGTTATTAACCTCAAGTGGGTCCTTAATTCTGTTAGGAATCCAGAATTTATTTTCCTACATTTTCTCTTCTATTTTCTTTAATACACATTTTATATTTTCATCTTTCTCCTCAAAATTCCAGTGTCTCTTTCTTCATTCTCACTGTTAATGGAATATTAAAGCAATGACACCAGAACTTTACCAAGCTCTCCTTATCACATCTGCTCACCACCTTGTACTTGTGCCCTCCTTTTCCTGTTGGTGTGGATAACTCATCCTCAGCCAAGCCCAATCCCTCAACAAGCATCTAGGTACTACCCCTCACATCTTAATAAACAGTGCTTCAGTTATTTCCTTTTTTCTCTTCTAAGTCATCCATTTTTGTATTTTCATTAGTTCATTTTCACCACTATGCGAATATGCTGTTATTTCTCCAATTTTTAAACATTTTCTTTTTTTCCTTTGAGACAAGGCGTTGCTTTGTCGCCCAAGCTGGAGTTCAGTGGGGCAACCTCGGCTCACTGCAACCTCCGCCTCCCAGGTTTACGTGATCCTCCTGCCTCAGCCTCCTGAGTAGCTGGAATCACAGGCATGTGCCACCAAGCCCGGCTAATTTTTGTATTTTTAGTAGAAATGAGGTTTTGTCATGTTGGCCAGGCTGGTCTCAAATTCCTGACCTCAGGTGATCCACCTGTCTTGGCCTTCCAAAGTGCTGGGATTACAGATGTGAGCCACTGCGCCCGGCCAAAAATTTTCTTTCTTTAGCTGTGTGTTTCCATCCAGCTAAAAGTCTATTTGTTTCCTTCCCCATACAGTAAAATTCCTTGAACTAGATGTTGATCCTCACTATTTCCAACTTCTCTCCTGCATGGCTTTCTTGAATCTACTCCTGTCAGGATTTTACATCTACTGCTTCACAAAAATTGTTCTTCTCAAGGTCCCCAAACTTCCATGATTTTCAATCAAAGGCCATGTGTTAGTCCTCATCTTACTTAACCCACCAGTGGCATTTAATACTGTTTTTCACTCTCAACTATAGAATACTCTTTATGTTTGGCTCCCTGGACATAGCACTCATGAGTTTCTTCTTATTTCCTAAATGTCTCAGTCTCTTCACGGGTTCTTAATCAGCTCCTTGGCCTCCAAATGTGGGTATGTCCTATGGTTCAGTCCTTGGACCTCTTCATTTTTCCTCCTACACTCACTTCATAGGTGATCTCAGTGCTAGCTATGGAACAGGTGTCCAGGTAACTGCTAAAGACCAGTACTTCCCTTCCTTAGTGTAGAATGGTTGCTTGGGAAAAAAAACTGCTCAGCCAGATACTATATTTCCAAGTTATTCTCACATCTAAATGTGACCACTAGTTTACTTCTTGCCAATGGTGTATGAACAGAAGTGATCTGTACTCCCCAAAATTTCCTATGTGCGTCATTTCTTTGTCCTCCATACCAGCAGAGAGACGATGCCAATTGGCAAGCCTCTGTCAGCCTAGATTCCTGAATGACTTTGTGGAGCAGAACCCCTCCTACAAACCAGTTCCTTTTCTCTATTGTGAATTGGACTTTAACTGAGTAAGATATTTCTATTCATTTCAGTCACTAGGGTTTGGGACTTGAATTTAAGCTCCATCATTTAGGGGCTGAGTTTCTCTGTAATAGCACAGTATTTTCATAACTATTAATAATATGCCAATTGATTGGCTGATGATCCAGAGATTTATATATCCACTCTGATCTTCTCCCCTAAACTCCAAACCTGAATATTCAACTGCCTTTGACATTTCCTCTTAGAGGTCTGACAGGTACCTTAAATTTACCATCTCCAAAATTCCTGACAAATATCTCCCTCACCTACCTCTTCCACAACCTTCCCTGTCTCTGTTAAAAGCAACTTCATTTTTCTAGTCCTCAGAGCAAAACGGCCTACTGTTAATTTAAAAGTTTCCTCTCTTTCTCTCACCCTCCAAATCTGATCTTTTAGTAATAATCTCAGACCTACCTTCAAATATATATTCAGAATTCAAACATCTCTAGAATCTGACCACTTCTTATAACTCCTACTGTCACCAAATTGAGTCGAACTAGCATCATCTCTTGCCTGGATTATTCTAGAAGCCTTCTACCTTCATCTCTGCTTTCCTCCTTGCTCCCATAAAGTCTATTCTCAATGCAAGAACTGAAGAAACCTGTTAAAATAAAAGTCAGATAATCTCACTTGATTCTGCCCAGACCTTCCAAAGATTTCCCATCTTAGTGTAAATACTGATGTCCTTGCCAGGGCCTCCAGGACCCTATGTGCAAAGGCCTCTGTTCCTACCCTAATTCCCAAAACCTTTGATATTTATTTCTCTTGTTGCTTCTCACATTCTAAGCACTCTTGTAGCTATGTATGCATGGCTTAGAAGACAGGAAAGAGACTTGTGTTTTATTATCAGTTTTCTCACTTAGACTGAACAGCTTTTGATCAACTTTCTTCACTTTTCTGAGTCCTACATTTCTTATTTCCTAAACTAGGGCACATAATATTGACCACATAGGATTGTTGTTTACTAGTAAGTAAAAAAATACTAGAATCTCTAAATTCATGGTAACATCATAATTATCAACATTATCATCATCATCACCACCACCACCATCCTCATGATCACCATCGTTGCCATCACCATCATCACCATCCTTATTACCATCATTGCATTTATCATCATTATTCTGTAGCATAGTGTTTAAGAGTGTAACTTCTGGGGTCAAATTACCTATATTCAAGTCTTGACTAGCTGTGTGACCTTGGGCAAGTTACATAATTTTTCTGTCTTTAGCTTTCTTATTTGTGAAATAGATACCCCAATGATAGCTATAATTTTAGGGTATTATAAATATTTAATGAGATGGTGGATACAGCATTTGAAAAAGAGCCTGTCTCATTGTGTGTACTCAGCAAATATTAGCCACTGCTAATGTTGGGGCTCAAAAACTGATACCTGAAAATATAGTACTTTGTACATGCTGAACTGAAGAAGAGGCCCCAAGGTCTCTCTGGCCTTCCTGTTACCCACCATCTCCCCCTAAGTACAGGATAAAGTTTTTCTGTGAAGTTGCCTTATCTGCCTAAAGTCTGGACTTACCAAACAGAAAAAACAATTACCTCCAGTCCCTTCTTCGAGTTTTCATTAACTGAACTTATCTTGGAGGAAGGAAGACTGAAGTCTGTCAACTTACCTGGACAGACTTTTGTTACAAACAATTTTCTGCTCTATGGGCTCAACAGATGTTGCCCCAGACCATTGCATGCTCTTCAAGCTCATTAAATTCCTGTAAAAATAATTTAGTATCCCCCTAAAATCATCCACACTTCCCTATCTCCCTTTTCCCTAAGAAATATAATAGCATTGGTACCCTATTGGGATATTGGCAAACCACTCTGTGATTCTCCCCATGCTCATGGCAGTAATAAATTTGTAAAGCCTCTTCTCTTATTAATCTGCCTTATTGTGAGTTGGTTTTTCAGCAAAACTACTGAGGGTAAAGAAAAACTTACTTTAGCCCCAACAGTATTACTATATTTCTTCTGTCATGTTCTATAGTTCTCGAGGGCAAGATTCATGTGATCCATCTCTGTATCTCCTGCAGGAATGAATGCTTTGCACATAGTTGATTTTCAGAAAGCTAAAAAATACTTAATTTTTGGTTGTACAAATAAAGAAATGAATGGATGGATGGATGGATGGATGAAAAACCTAAGTAAAGATAGGTAAGGCATAATGTAATACCCACTAAGTTTTAAGCTAATGTTGTCCCTTTTAGATGTTTTCAAGTTTTAAGGCTGATAGTAGAACAATATGAGCTCAGGGACTGCAGGGAGTACAGAGATTCAGAGGTATACTCACCAGATTTTCTTCCCCATAAAGAAATTACTAAGAAACCACAGAAACAGTCGTCTGTGAACAATCTGGACCTCATTCAGATTGGAAGCAGCTGAAGAGATTTTCTGAGGTAAACTCTTGTTAGTTAAGATCTACACAAACATGTTTTTTAGAGTGAACTTTGGTTGGATAAATGGAAACTCAAAAGCCTTAGGAAATTACTAAAGATCGTAGAGCAGTGGAAAGTGGAGAAAGGTGCTTGAGTGAAGACTGGCATTTTTTGAAGATAGGCATTTTTGACTCTGCTTTCTCTATTTCCAAGACTGGAAATGGTCAGATTTCTATTTCCAGTATGTTAGCAGTTAAGTAAATTCTAGAATAGTAAACAAAATATACATTTGCAAAAGTAGTCCTTATTTCCCACTCCTATTTCTAGAAAAATCTTTGCCATGATCCCTTGAAGCACTCTCATTTATTGGGTCCCCAAAGGTACAAAGAGGCTTAGTTGCAGGTACCTAGCAACTATATATACTCTACAAATATTTGTTGAATCGATGAGTGAGTGTGCCTTATATGTAACAACAGAATTCTATTTAGAAGTTCCTATGGGAACTGTAAAAGTCATTTACTATCCCTCTAAAATCATCCTTATTTCTGTATCTCTCTTTCCCCTAAGAAGTAGGGTATATAAGCATCAGTACCCAAGACAGACCTCAGTTTTTCTCCCTGCAAGATCAGTTCAGTTTTTGCTTTCTGATTGCATTGCATGTCAGAGTTCAGATGATACACGACAGAGTTGAAAGGACAGGGAGTCTCTCTTCCCACATGTGACATCACAGTATCTGGAGCAGGATGTAGGTGTGTGTCCATTCTACACGGATGTTTTAGATTAATATCTTAAATTTTTAAAACCTTTTATAAAGAAACATAAAGTTACTTGTCCCCAAGTCCCTTATTTTATGGAGGAAAACCAAAGCACTGAAAAACTTGGTGGTTGGATATCTGAAAGCTGACTCTTAGCTTAAATATATTAGGAGGATTCAACATTAAAAGTAGCACTGTTAGCTGGGTGTGGTGGTGTGCCTCTAGTCCCAACTACTTAGGAGGCTGAGAAGGAAGGATCACTTGAGTCCAGGAATTATTAGGAGTTTGAGGCCAGCCTGGGCAACACAGTGAGACTCCATCTCTACAAAACCAAACAACAACAAAAAAGTACCAAGATTATTTATAAGCTTGAATTTGCAGAAAGTACCTTTTCATAAAGCAAAACATTTCTCTGCTGAAACAAATATATTTGGCCAAAAAGAAAGAGAGGAAAGTATTAATTCTGTGGGCATCAGTAAAATGTTCACGCCACTGCATGACTGCTCTCTAAGAAGAAGTCCTTAGATTTTTGCTGAGAATTAAGTCTCTTAAAAAAAGAAAGTAGTTTAAACATTGAGAACTTTCAAATATAATAATAAAATAACCAAATCAACAGTATTATGAGAGTCAACTTTTTATAGGCAAAGATTCTCAATTGATATATTACACAACTAATGGCTAGTGGTTGTGCAATGCACATTTTAAAGAAAGGGGAATATAAAATATGAATATTATAAAAATGTGCAAAGAATAGTATGACATATTAATATCTAACTATTATTAGTAACTATTGCGACTATTACACTGGTATCTGAGGATGGAGCCGTTCCCTGGTCTCTGTCTCTTGATAGAGCATACATTGCTCCTGCATGCTAGCTTCTAAGGGAGGTGCTAACCTCTGGCGCCGCACTGTGGTGCAGAAGAGCTACTGCCACTAATGAGCAGTTCCCTTCCTCTGTGTCAGCTTCCACTCTGCATCTGAAAAAGACAGATAGCACATTAAACCTTTTGGAGTTGTGAAGAATATGTTTGCTGGCATGCAGAGACCTCTACCTGCTCCTTCATACAGAAGTTCCTGAGGTTTCAACATTCTACAACTCTTCAGTAAGCTCTAAGTTCTGTATGGCAAGAGACACAAAGTTAAACCTCAGTTCCTCCTGAAGTTTCCAGTGCAGGAGCGGGGGATTTAAGATCAGTCCTGGGTTAGGTCAGGATCCTAATCTCCTCTGCACAGCTCACAGTTTTATATTTTAAGGTGCATGTCCTCTTAAGCTAACTCAGCTTTATCTTACTAGTTTCTTTCCCTTGTACCAGGAAGTATTCCAAAATCCTTTGTGATTCCTAGTGATGCCAGATCTACTCTCTTGCTTGATGGCTGTATAATTCAGGAGAGTTACTCCTATTAAAGTATTCCATTAAATACAGTAATATTCTAATGGACCACTCTTGAGCAAAGTGCAGAGAAAAGTACGCATTTGCCTTAGAAGGTTCATAAATTCCTAGTAAATATTTCTATGCTATGTGAAAGTCAATCTGAAATCAGGTAACTATAATTTCTAAAAATATTTAGAAATCTTGTAATGTGATTAAATTCACACATCATTTGGGTAGAAGGGGGAAAAAAGACATGAGAGATGCCAAAATGTGAATGAGGGATCACTGGAGAAAACATTTCATGTAAAACTAGGAGAATTCATGTCCATCCTGCAACTGGCCTAACTGTGAGAAAGCCCTGCAGCTCAGATCCGTAGTGTGTGAGAGTTGTTGATTTCACCGTCAATTCATACATTTATTCGTCCAACACATATTTAGCGGGTACTCACTGTCTCCGGGCAATATGCTAGGAGCTAAAGATAAAAGAATGAGTTAAACAGACCAATACCTTCACAGAGATGTTCAGTGGGAGAAAAGCAAAATGATTAAGTGCTGAAAAGTTATGGGAGATCAAAGGGCATAAAAGAAGACCCCCCAATTAGTCCAGAAATTCAGCTACCAGGTGAGACGTCCAAAGGTCGCTAAGAAACCACTAAAGGATTTTAAATGTGTACACACGTTTCGCTTCTTGCTTCAGTCATCCCATGGGTGGTGTTATCACTTTCACGGCTGAGCTCCTAGTCAGAGGGCACTTTGAAGAAATAGCCAGGCCAAGTCGCTCTCAGCATAGGGGCATAATTTAACTCTTTTTAAATTTGCTTTAAGGGAAAGATGAAAAGAATGTCTTTTTAGACTAATTTCTTCGCCTCCCATTTACAAGAATAAATAAAACGACTTTTTTTTCAAATGTAAAAAAAAGTGGATAGCCTTTAACTGCAGTAGCATAGATGTATAAAGTTGAAGTGATACCACATAAGGTTTACAGGCAGTGAGGGCCCGGAAACAGATTTGTCATTCATTTTCTTGTTCATGATACACAATTATTCTTAAAAGTGTTGTGTGACAAACTCCTAGAAAGTATTGTCTAAATGTGCCCTCTCCCTATTACTATGTCACTAAGTTTGTAGAACTGCCTGATTCACTTACCAAAACTTTATCCTGCTGTAACTTTTTTGAACAATCCCTGTAATATTCTCCACTGCTTATTTTAAAGTAGCTGAGAATATAGCGTGCTGTTTATGGGCAACTAGTCATGGGGTAGAGGGTGAGATGATACCAGTGTTAGCCTGGGCAGGCCTGGGTGTGAATTCCATCCAGACACTTACTTAATATGTAAACTTGATTAAGTCTATTTGTTTATTTTTACACATTTCTACACTATATTTCTTCACTTATAAAATGGGTAAAAAATATCTGCCTCTTTGGATTTTTACGATTGACAAAAAAATGCAAGTAAAGTGCCTTGTATTGAGCTTCCCATGTAGAGACAGATACTCAAAAAATTTAAAAATCTCTTATTTGCTGCCTTTTCACAGGGGTATGTTAGGCACATACCTTTAATAAACGTTTCCAGTGAAAGGAGAAGGGGAGGCTGAGTTTTGGATGCCCAATGATTCTTCTCAAGATAATATCTTTAGTTTCAATTCTGTAGCGCTTTTGAAAAACTGATGCTTTGTGAAATATCAAATGAAGTAGTGCTCTGTAACATCTCCCAGAATTCTTCTCTCTTTTTAGCCTGGACTTGTCCCTCCATTACTTTGAAGACCCAAAGAGGACTGTTCCTTATTTTCTTCTATGCAGGTGGAGGATTTTTTTTTCTTGTACCCTCTGCTGACATCTCACTGATTTTCTATGTTAGAACTTTGAAAGAAAAAAAAAAAAAAAACGGCTTTGAAGGTCGAACTGCCTGGTGTTTGTTTAATAGTAGAAGCCACGTGTTTTGACACATCAAAGATTAAGAAAAGAGAAGGATTTTATTTCATAAATATCAAAGGGAAAACTTTCAGTTAATTGAATGGCAACTAGTCCCCTTTGTGCTCATTTCGGTTTCTGGCGATAAAGATGCTCAAACAGTGAGATCGCAACCAGTGAAGGAGGCGCTCTGAAGGACAGGAAAGGTTGGCTCTGCATGAGAAAGCCCTTTTAGATCCAGAAGAAGAATCACGCTTCCTTTCTTTTCCTGACCACAGCCTGTCCTGTAATTAGCGGAGCAAGTCAATCTGAGCGAGGCAAATCACTGGTTTTCCATGAAATAATTATATTTCTTATGCTCTTGGACATGTACACCTCTAAGCCTAAAAGCGGAGAAAGATGTTTTGGTTTTTTTTACGTGAGCTGGGGGAGGGAGAAGAAAAGTGGCAGCGACAGTGTAGCAAATGGGTGAAAGCAGCACAATGTGGCAAGAGGAGAGAACAGGATTCCGATTCCGTGGGGGCGTGGGAACACTGAGTTCCGCGCAGGGAGTTTCCCTGTTCAGAGCACCTTGTGCGCGAGTTGATAACTCTCGGAAAGGAAACAAAATTTGGCTTTCCTAAACTTTCTGTACGTCCAGAGAATCCCATGCCTTGTCTTGGCCTCCGCAGCGCCAGGCTGGGGTGACAGCACTCCTCCTCCACCGGCCCGGGCTTCTCCTCCGGACCGCGAGCCTGTGGCGCCTCCCCGCGCGCCCAGCGCACCGGGGTGTCCCCTTGGAGGAGCCTGCGGGGGCGGGGGAGGAGGGAAGGGCGCGACTCGTGGGTCGCGCTGGTTCCTTCACTGGATGGACGTCCGACGCTGCCTCCGGGGCGGAGACAGCTCCGGCCACCATGCGCCCGTTGCGGCGATTCCACCCACAGTTCGCTGGCTCTGGGGGTGGCGGGTCTTGGCGCGCGGTGCCTGCGCGAAGGGAGGGCAGCCATCGCCCCCGCGGTCACTGGGGCCCCGCGTTCCCCGCGGGCTCGGGCAGGTGCGCGGTGTGCCGGCCAGGTCCCCTTGTCCTCCTGCCCTGCGGCTTGGGCGCCGCGCCCGCCCCGCCCCCGCCCGCGGGCCGCCCTGGGCAGGGCCTGCCGCTGCGGCTGGAGAGCAGCGCACCGGCATGGGCAGGCGGCCGGCGGCGGAGGGCGGCTGAGGGCTGCTGAGGGTACGCGCAGCGGCCTCTCGTCGCCCTGCACGTGCCTCGCCAGGCAGTGCGCCTGCTCGCAGCGAGGACCTAGCCCTCTGGTTGCAGAGACCCGGTGCCGCAGCAGCGGCGGGTGGCTGTCGCTGCCCTGCCCTGCACGGGGCAGGGCGGAGCGGGCTGAGCAGCCCGGGCGCGATGCGTTGAGCGCTCGGAGGGCCAACCGCCGGTCCCCTTGGCGGCAACCGGCGGCACCCATGGAACCACTGGGCAACTGGAGGAGCCTGCGGGCGCCACTGCCTCCGATGCTGTTGCTGCTGCTCCTGCAGGTGGCGGGGCCCGTGGGCGCCCTGGCGGAGACCTTGCTGAACGCGCCGAGGGCCATGGGCACCAGTTCCAGCCCGCCTAGCCCTGCGAGCGTGGTGGCTCCCGGAACGACGCTGTTCGAGGAGAGCCGGCTGCCTGTGTTTACGCTGGATTACCCCCACGTGCAGATCCCCTTCGAGATCACCCTTTGGATCCTGCTGGCCTCCCTGGCCAAGATTGGTGAGCGAACTGGACTTGTGGGGAATGGGAGGGGGCGATCTCGGGGGGACACCTGGAGGGTGACCGGGTCAGCCAGCTGACCTCTAGATAGTGACCGCCTCATCTTGAATCAGGGCAGGGACGACAGATGGAGCAGCTTCTTCTGGTTGAAAAGGACCCTTGGAAGAGCAGTTTCGCGTTTTGGTTCTTAAGGGAACATTGGCCTTGAAATGGCCCCAAGTGTAAGTTCTACAAACTCAGCGATTGCTGCTTACTTCTGCCGCACGGAACGCCAAGTTTGTCAGCTCTCTGCTTAAGTTGAGTGAGATCTGTTTATTGAAGTGTACCAGTCTCACCTGCAGGGAGAGAGGTGCCGACGAACCCCGGAGCTATGCATAATGTGGTTAAAACCCTGGATGCTACAGGAGAGAGGCGCCTTGGCAGTGACACAGACCCTGCTGTGCGCCTGACTAATGAGGTGCATGGAAGGGGACCAGGGACACCTGAGTGCTTGCAGCTGCAATAGGAACGCCCTTTCTCCTCCCTCTATTGGGTTGAGGCTGTCACTCTCCAGGAAGCTTTTGCTTCGGGGTGGCTGAGGCCAGTGAGGTGAGATGCATATTTAAAAATAATTAACTCTGGGCCCAGGACAATGGCCCAGCCTGTAATCCCAGCACACTGGGAGGCCCAGACGTGAGGATCCCTTGAGGCCAGGAGTTCAAGATCATCATGGGCAACATAGCAAGACCAAACAGTACAAAAATAAAAAATTGGCCGGGCGAGGTGATTCACGCCTGTAATCCCAGCACTTTGGGAGGCTGAGGCAAGGTGGATCACGAGGATCACTGATCAACATGGTGAAACCTCGTCTCTACTAAAAATACAAAAAAATTAGCCGGGCGTGGTGGTGGGCGCCTGTAATCCCAGCTACTCGGGAGGCTGAGGGAGGGAATTGCTTGAACCCAGGAGGCGGAGGTTGCATTGAACCGAGATTGCCACTGCACTCCAGCCTGGGCAACAAAGCAAGACTCTGTCTCAAAAATTAATCAATCAATTAATTAATTAATTAGGTAGCCTGGTGTTGTGGTGCACATATGTATTCCCAGTTACTTGGAGGCTGAGGCGGGAGCCTGAGGGAGGAGGATCGCTTAAACTCAGGAGGTTGCGGTTGCAGTGAGCCATGAATGGCACCACTGCACTCCAGCCTGGGCCACAGAGAGATACCTTGTCTCAGGGAAAAAAAAAAAAAAAAAAAAATTACCCACTTTCATACTACCTTTAACTCTCATTTTGAAAGCAGAAACCTCAGAATATATTTTCTCATCTTCATTACCCACGCCCCAGAAACTTTCATGTTATGAGCATGGTGCTTTATATTATTTTTACTTTATATTTTAAAGACTTTAGAAAAATCCTGAAATATTAACTATTGTTATAATGATTCGATTAAGTTGTTAGGTCCAAAGAATGTATGCATTACATGTGTTTTACGTCTTTACCCTGTGAGATGAGGCAGATTTCCATAAAGAATGAAAAGACGCATTGTCTGCCATCCTCAGGGAGCTTACTGATGAGTGGAGAGACGTGTACACGCTGTGTGATTATTGCCCAGGACAGTGCTGAGTAGGGTGACAAACTCAGAAAAGATAGTATGCCATTGCAGGGAAGCAGAGAACACTTCCTCATGCAGAGCAAACATTTAAACTGGATTTTCCAGGATGACCAGGATCTGGTCAGTTAGAGAGAAAAGGGAGCAACATTCCAGAGAGGACTGAACAAAGACATAAATTGGGAGAGGAGTGCAAAGCAGGTAGAAGGGATGGTTTACAGGAGGGTGGAAGTTGTGGTAGGTAAACCGGAAGCAAATCTTCATGCCAGATAAGATTAATTAGAGTCTATTAGTGGTGACTAAGAGAGACACATATTATTTAACAACTCTGAAGTCTGTAATTGACTGGCTTTGACGTGGTGCTACTAGTTGAGTGTCTTAATTCCACTGAGAGATGGTATAAGGGAGATGGGCTTCCCCACCTATAAACCAGATACACACATGTTTGTAAATTGCCTCTAATAATAAACTCAGATGCCACAAGCCTGCCCTGTAGGGAGTGGCGGTATTAATACTCCCACTAGTTGAGGTGGAAACTCTGAGTGAATTTGCACCCAGAAGCACACAAAGTGGCGAGCCAAAATGAATGACCTGTTCCCTGTCACTCTCTCTGAGCCTCAAGGCTCCATCGCTGGAGGGCTGCTTCTGTGCCTGTTTCCATTACTGCTTCTCTGTTGCCATTTCTATTCCAACTATCTCCTTTGTTCATCATTCCTGATTGTTTTAATCAGATTAGTTACAATAATAACAGCCTCTAGGAGGCACTTAAGGGCATTATCTCTAATTTTTACAGTCACCATGCCGGGTAGGTGTTGTTTTCCTGGTTTCATATAGGAGAAAATGAAAAAATGGGGAGATTAACTTGGTGGTGGGTGGTGAGCCAGAATTCCAGCCAGGTCTGTCTCATTTCTCATCTTTGTGCGTTTCCAGAAGGCTTGTTCTTTTGGGAGGATTAAATGAGAATGAATGTGTAACATCTTTAGAATAAAGCTGGGCACACTGTAAGCACTCCATCACTCCATCCATACTATCATCATTAGTAGCAGTGAGGACAGTGGTATAGTCAAAGTAGTAGTAGTTAACTGTACAGTTTCTAGCACTACAGAACCTTTTCCACTGTTGACTGTCCTGGGCTGCCACCTGTCTCTCTTTACTTCCGCTTTGGCCTCAGCCTTCTACAAGTGTTCTTATTCTGTGGGCTGCCTTCCCGCACTTACTCTCTTGCTGTCCTGTTCCATTCATTTTATTGGACCATCTCACTTTCATTATGTGGTATTTTGTTAAAGGCATTCATGCTTGCTTGCATAACAGGTGTATTTGTCTCTCCACTAGCATCTTTTTAGCCCAGATATGTTTATATTTCCTGGGCCCCCTCTGTTCTAGTTGCCAGTTTCGGCTTTCCCCTGCATTGTGCTTGGCTATGGAAATCATCACATATTGCACCTCCTGTCCTCCCCCAAATTTGGAACGTCTCTGGCTACTACTTTACCTTTCCTTTCTGCATCTGAGTGTCACAGAGATGATAATTTCCATGCAGAGAGTGGTCTGAACAGCCAAATGGAGACTGCCATGGGTAGAGTGAAGGGTATATTTCTCAGGACAGAAAGTGGAGTTTTAGAGTCCAAAATGCTGGTGCCTGGGGTATTTTCTCCAGATTCGTCTGCATAGAGCCCAGCCTCGTCCTGCAGCTTCCCCTGTGTTCCTAGAGGAGCCAGGAAATGCCCAGAAATCCCCACCCCTCCTCTTGCTCCCAGGGTTCTGAACTTTCTGTTTGGTTTTAAGCAGGACCGTCCTGGTGCTGTGGGACACTTTCGTACCCCATTAAACAGTCATCTAGTCATTTCTCTTTCAACTTTTGTTCTGAAAAAGCTGTTTTGTGGTGGCTTATATGACTTAAGTTGCTCATATTTGGGAATGAAGAGGAATTGAGCTGTGCAGGTGGATATGATACTGTGGGGTAATGCAAATGCTAACCCCTGCAAAATGCCATGGTTTCTATTTGGGGCACTTTTGTGCCATTTGTGTAGTGTACCTGACCTTACCTGCCTCAGAGAACATGGAGAAACATTGCTAGTGATTAATCTAAACGTGGTTAAATTAACAGGCTGTCCAAAGTGGAGGATCCGAATAACATTTGTAGGGGGTTTAAATAATGCCTGATGGTGAATTCAGAATAGTTTTCTAATATAATATATATTACATTATATATTATCAGCTAATATAATCTTAGAAATATTACAATCAGAAGTGAGAAAATCCATTTTTGGCAAAGCATTGAATGATTCAGCTTAGCTCTTAATTGTTACACTTGATTATCAGGGAAAATCAACATCCTAATTACTTGGTCCAGAAAAAGTAGTTTTGTAATTATAACATTTACCAAAACAATGATGATAATGATGGTGATGATGGTAAAGATGATGATGAGTATGTGCTTATGAAGTAGGTCAAAATATTTTTTTAAAGCACAGCAAATTTAGTACACCTCGGAAAAGCTTTAAAAGTTTTGGCAAGAAATGTTTCCTCATTTGTTTCTTACTTAGGTCCTTGCACATGTGAATTCACATTATTCTTTCACTTTGAATATTTATATTTTGAGCAACCGTTGATTATTTTTATAGTTATAAGTACACACTTTGCTTGATAAATCTTGTATAGAGAGATGGGGTTCTACGACCTGGAATAATGGGTAGCCAAAGAATTGAGATAAAATTTTCTGATGTGTTTTAAGATTGCCTCCTCTGATTTCTTTGCCTGTGAAGTGGCCTACTGGGGTTTTTGCTAATTTGGGTGAACTTGGACATGGACTGTATTTCTTCTCAAGGTTTAAGGACAAAACACTGAGTACCTTGCTGTGTAAAGTAACAGAGCCTCCTTCTTTGTCCTGGGGTTCCCCTAACATACCTTCCCATATCTTGAGGTCTTGTGAGGCTGGCCTATTTCCATCTCCTTTCAAGTGTCACTGGTCACTCTGCTCTTTTGATTTTCTCTGCCCCTAAGTTGGAGTAAGATGCAGAATTTTCCACCTCCCTCCATCCTGCTGTCATGAAATTAAATAAATTATATTCTTATAATTTTAAGGGGAAAGATAGAAAGCAGTTTGCTTCATGAAGACGTCTCCCCTGGGATCCAGGCTATCCTGAAATTGAAATATGAAACCTAAGAGTTTCATATCTGTCTGAATTACAGAGACTTTGATCTCTGAAAAAAACTTATCCTTGCACTTAGTCTGTTTTTCTTTGTCCTCTGGTTTTCCTGAGGCATATTCATCAACTGGTTGGTCAATGGATGCAGCTCAGGGTCTTCACCTGCTATCTGAACCACATCTCACTTTGAATACACTTCTAAATTCAGGAGTTTCTGGTGGCAGGTATTGGTTCCTCGTAAAGTTAAAAGAAGAGCACTGATTCCTTTCCTTCTCAAAGCCTCCATCTTCTCCCAGTGGGCTGCTCACACATTTTCTGTTCTCTGTCTGAAGGATGACTTCAACAGCTTTTCCATCTTCTCTCTAAAAACCAATTTGGGTGTCTTCTAGAATTTTGCCACTACACTTTACTTCTGAAGTGTTTTTGTACCCTTTAAAATAATAGATTTTTTAAATTTTTTAAAATTATACTTAAGTTCTAGGGTACATGTGCACAACGTGCAGGTTTGTTACATATGTATACATGTGCCATGTTGGTGTGCTGCACCCATTAACTCATCATTTACATTAGGTATATCTCCTAATGCTATACCTCCCCCCTCCCCCCACCGCACAACAGGTCCCGGTGTGTGATGTTCCCCTTCCTGTTTCCAAGTGTTCTCATTGTTCAATTCCCACCTATGAGTGAGAACATGAGGTGTTTGGTTTTTTGTTCTTGCGATAGTTTGCTGAGAATGATGGTTTCCAGCTTCATCCATGTCCCTACAAAGGACATGAACTCATCATTTTTTACAGCTGCATAGTATTCCATGGTGTATATGTGCCACATTTTCTTAATCCAGTCTATCATTGTTGGACATTTGGGTTGGTTCCAAGTCTTTGCTATTGTGAGTAGTGCTGCAATAAACATACGTGTGCATGTATCTTTATAGCAGCATGATTTATATTCCTTTGGGTATATACCCAGTAATGGGATGGCTGGGTCAAATGATATTTCTAGTTCTAGATACCTGAGGAATTGCCACACTGTCTTCCACAATGGTTGAACTAGTTTACAGTCCCACCAACAGTGTAAAAGTGTTCCTATTTCTTCACATCCTCTCTAGCACCTGTTGTTTCCTGACTTTTTAATGATTGTCATTCTAACTGGTGTGAGATGATAGCTCATTGTGGTTTTGATTTGCATTTCTCTGATGGCTACTTTAAAGTTCATATGGAACCAAAAAAGAACCCACATTGCCAAGTCAATCCTAAACCAAAGGAACAAAGCTGGAGGCATCACGCTACCTGACTTCAAACTATACTGCAAGGCTACAGTAACCAAAACAGCATGGTACTGGTACCAAAACAGACATATAGACCAATGGAGCAGAACACAGCCCTCAGAAATAATACCACATATCTACAACTATCTGATCTTTGACAAACCTGACAAAAACAAGAAATGGGGAAAGGATTCCCTATTTAACAAATGGTGCTGGGAAAACTGGCTAGCCATATTTAGAAAGCCAAAGCTGGATCCCTTCCTTACACCTTATACAAAAATTAATTCAAGATGGATTAAAGACTTAAATGTTAGACCTAAAACCATAAAAACCCTAGAAGAAAACCTAGGCAATACCATTCAGGACATAGGCATGGGCAAGGACTTCATGTCTAAAACACCGAAAGCAATGGCAACAAAAGCCAAAATTGACAAATGGGATCTAATTAAACTAAAGAGCTTCTGCACAGCAAAATGAACTACCATCAGAGTGAACAGGCAACCTACAGAGTGGGAGAAAATTTTTGCAATCTGCTCATCTGAAAAAGGGCTAATATCCAGAATCTACAAAGAACTCAAACAAATTTACAAGAAAAAAACATACAACCCCATCAACAAGTGGGCGAAGGATATGAACAGACACTTCTCAAAAGAAGACATTTATGCAGACAACAGACACATGAAAAAATGCTCATCATCACTGGCCATCAGAGAAATAATAGATATTTTTATCACCAAATGAAAATGTTACATTATATCCACTTTAACAATGATAACAATACTCAGCTTTATTTCTTACAGAATTATTTCACCTAGATTGAATCCCTAAGAAGTATACAATGAACTGTTTGCATAAAACCATTTGTTCTGGCTGGGTATTGTAGCTCACAACTGTGATGTCAGCACTTTGTGGGGCTGAGGTGAGAGGATCACTTGAGGCCAGAAGTTTGAGACCAGCCTGGGCAACATAGTGAGGCCCAATCTCTTCAAAATGTTAACAACAACAACAACAACAACAATAACAACAACAAAAAGCCAGGTTTGGTGGCCTGTGCCTTTAGTCCCAGTGACTCAGGAGCTAGTCAGGAGGATCACTTGAGCTCAGGAGTTCAAAGTTACAGTGATCTGCGATGATGCCACTGCACTCCAGTGGGAGTGGGCAAAGACAGATGGAGACCTGCTCTCTTAGAAACAAAAAAAACAAACTGTTCCTTGGGTGATATAAAAACTCACCTGTAAAAGCAAGTGAATTGATGGTTTTGGTATATGGATAGATTTTAACCAGTGAGTCCGTGGCTTTAATGTTTATAGTTTTATTTGGTTTATCTGTGTCTTCTGGGGTCAATTTTGGTAATTTGTATTTTTTATAAAATTATTATTTTGAGTTTTTAAAAATTTATTGGAAGTTATTTTATGATTTAAAAGATCTCCACTTTATATGCATTTATGTTCTCCTTTCTGTTTCTAATATTGTTATGTTTTTCTTTTTTTCACCTTGATCAGGTATGCAGGAGTTTGTCTATTTGATACTTTATCAAAGAATTAGCTTTTGGTTAGCTTCTAAGTTATCTGCTTCTGCTCTTACATTTATGATTTACTTACTTCAGCTTTCTTTGGGTTTATTTATTTAATTAATCCTTGAATTAAAAACTTAACCCATTAATTGTTTGGTTTACTTATGTTCTGTTAATATTGTTAATTCCCGCCTTACAAGAGTAAGAAACACCAATATTTAAAAACATAATTAATATTATTTTCAATAGTTTCTCTGCTGGTATTTTTATGAATCCCTGAGCTCCAAAATTGACATGCACTTATGCTAAAGTGACATCAGTCTTATTAAAATGAACAAAATTACTTCAGTAGCTTACTTACTTATTGAAACTCCTAATAAGACAATTCCCCTTATCAATTTATCCCAAATATGGGTATTTGCTTGTTTTCATTAAATTCAAATCTATGATATACTGTACACTTAAGACTCTGTCACAAACTAAACGTATTCATAATACTCAAAGTTTATGTAAATTCATCTTTAATACAAATAATAATAACAATAAAGAGAATGGTAAAGACAAAAGATATAAGGAAAATTATGCAAATGACATATCAGTTTCTGAATAAATTGCATGATGTCTTTACTGCTGTTAAGTAGGAAACCATGGGTGTTCTGAAAGGATTTCTTAACACAACATACCAATGATAAAACTGGAATGATGACTGCTTTTGATGGATCTCATCTCAGGATGCTCAGAGTCCACAAAATCAGTTTGATCTTCATGGAGCCAAAGGAATGCTTCATGAACTAAAATAGGATTATTCAATGAAACTCTTCTCAAAGATGAATTCTCATGATCCAAATGGGTAAATTTTGGAAGAACGGCAATATATGTATTTAAGGCTAGAAATATACCCCTTTTTTCCTACTTTAATTGTATTGCATAGGTTTGATATGCGGGGTTTCCACTGTCACTCAGCTCTCGGTATTTTTAAACCCCCTTGTGATATTTTATTCTGACTCAATAATTAGTTAGAATTTTACTTCTCAGTTAATAAACTTATGGAGATTTGGGGTTTTTGTTGTCATTGTCAGTTTTAGAGATAGGTTCTCACTATGTTGCCTTGGCCGCTCTCAAACTCCTTAGCTCAAATGATTCTCCCGCCTAAGCCTCCCAAGTAGCTGTAACTATAGGCATGCACCACCATGCCCAGTTGTTTTTTATTTTATTGACATTTTAATGCATTTTGGCTAGATAGGTATAATGCTGATTTTTAGTGTTGATTGTGATATCCTTTATGGCTTATTTTATGGACATTTTAAAACTATATTTTCCATTTATACTTGAAAAAACAATGTGTATTCTCTATTTATTGTGTACAGGATTTTATATACTTAGATGTATACATATGCAGACACATAGAGACTAGGTCAAATTTCTAATTACGGTGTTAAAATCTTCAATAGCATTACCAGTTTTTTGGTTACTTTATCAGTTCCTGGGGTACATTAAAATCACTTCTAAAATTGTGATGTCAATTACCATTTGTAATTGTTTCAATTTTTGCTTTGTTTTGATGCTATGTTATTACATACTCATTCAATATTGTTACATCTCCAGAGTGAGTTCTTCCTTTAATTATTAAGTTTTTAACTTCCTTATTTCCAGTACTTGTGGCTCAAAGTGTATTTTTTCATATAAAACTATTACCATTTAAAAGAAAACTTGATTTTGCGCATGTACTTTTTTTCCATATCTGTTTTCTATATCTACATTTTCCAGATGTATATTTTTATACCTATACTATCAAATGAGTTATGTTATTTTCATTTGGCTAGGCCTCATTAAACCACATAGATCTGGATTTTGCATCTTTAATTTCACATTTTAAAACACCGTAGCTTAAAAAGAGAAATGTAATTACACTTATTGTGTATAATGATATATTTTGACTTATTTTGCTCTCTGTTTACCATGCTTTCACTTGGTATCCTAATCTTTCTTTCTTGCCATATTTTGGCTTGGTTGATTTCTCTTTCTTATTTGTTTTTCATACATAATTATATATTCTTTTGCTATTCTTTTTAAGGATACTATACAGTTTAATGTGATTATCTGATTTAACAGGAGTCAACCAGACTACCATGGCTGCTCACATCTCAGATACATTTTCCTACATATTTTGTGGTTGTGTGATTTTGAGTATATAACTTAAACTCGCAGGGCTCAGTAGTCCTAGTGGTAAAGTGGGGACAATCAATGTAGCAATGTCATAGGCTGTTGTGTAAAGTAAATTAGCTAATACATGTAAAGTGTTACAATAATTTCATGGAACATAATGGTATCAAATAAATTCCTAGAACATGAAAGTATTTGCTATTTTTATCATCTTCTTCCTAATACTTGAACTTAAAAAAATTCTAACTGCGTGTTTCAGAATTATAATATTTTGTCATAATTCATATTTGGACTGTATTTAACTTCCTCCAAATTAGTTTTTACTTTGTATAAGAAGTAGTTACATAGATCTGTAAACATATTTTCCAGTTTTTCTTCATTGTTACTTTTTATCTCTTTCTGCCTTCCGGATTCTTTTTTGTTTGTTTTTGTTTTTACTGATGTATATTCTTCAGTGGATACTTCAGGGAAGGCTTTAGTCTTGTATGGAAACATCTTTATTTTTATTATACTATTAAATGATAATGTAACTGAGTGTAGGGTTTGGTGTTGTTCATCACTCAGAATATATTACTTCAATACTTTTTGTCCTCTTTTGTTGGTAAGTGGAATTATGTTGTTACACTGACTTTTGATATTAATTTGACTTATGTCTCTGGTTTTATTTAAGTTTTTTAAATTGTTTTTGATATTCTGCTATTTTTTAACGTGTCTAAGTATAGATTTACTTTATTTTTCTTGCTCAGAACTTGTTATACTTCCATGCTTCTTAACAGCTCTTTCACGTTTTTCGTCTCTTCATTGCTGTGGTATTTCTTGGTGATTTTATCTTATCTTTTTTCCAGCTTACCATATTTTACTCTCAGTGCATTTCTAATCTGTGCTTAACCTACTCATTGGATTTTTAGTTTTAATTATATTTTCATTTAAGCTGTTTGGGCCCTTTTTCAAGTCTATTTGTGTTTTGTTCATGCTGTTGCATTACGTAATTATAGTAATTATTGGTTTTATTATTCTTTTATTCCTTTATTCCTTTAAACTATATTCATTTTATAGTCTCTTTTGGATTGTTCTGTTATTTGTAATACTTGGGGTGCTAATTCTTATATTTATCCATTTACTGACTTTCTCTTTTCAATATTTATTTCCTTATGTAGATTGTAGTTTTAATTATGAGCTTAACTTCAGCAGGTGATGTTTATTTGGTAAACGTCTGTTTTCTTTAAGTTGTAAAATGTTCTTACAAAATGGTTTGGAGTGTGCTTCTTGCTGGGACCTAGGGTTTTAATGATATGTTTTTACTATTCATTTCTTAGCTTGGCTTTACTATGTGATTCAAGTACTATAGATATAGACTTAATACCTGTATGTGGTATAGACCTGGAATTTTATACTTCATGGGCGAATTTCCCCTGGCTCAAAGCCATAAGGAGTTGACATATTTCTTTTCCTTCCTTTTTTTCTTGGCTAAAAGCATCTTTTCTTTTTTTTTTGTGCTAGTATTTATTTATTTAGGACAATGTAGCTGTTGGAAATTCAGGAATTTCTTCAGGAGCCCTTTCTTTAGTGGTCTGAAGTCAAATGTCTCATCCTCATGTAGGTGTTAAAATGCCAGATCCTAGCACATAGGTCACGCATCTGTGTCAGGAGTTCCCCTGGTTCACTGTGACTTCAAATCCTACTGACATATCTCATTTTGATTTCCTTATTTTTTGCCTCCTAGACCTTTTCCTTAATTTTGAACTCAGCTAGATATTAATATCTTATGTAGTAGTATGAGGAGACACCATTTGTGTCCATATTGTTGGATATCTCTGTGACATTTTACACAGCATGTTTTAAGGACATACTTTCTATAGAAGGCCTAATTCTCATGGTTATGTTATCATAATGGCTTCTCTTTAATGTAAGGTAAAAATAATGTATACTTTCCTAGTTTTCAATCTGAAGGATGTGGGGGTGTGACTGTACTGCTTCTGTTTTATTTTGCGTATTTTCATGCTTGTGTAGAAGAATAATAGCTTAGCAGTTGACAGAAGTGTTTGACCTAAGTTTTGGGAAAGATAGCCCTGGATTAGAAGCAGGAAGACCCTGTTGTAATTCCACATCTGCCATTAACTTGGTCTTATGACCATAACAAGTATTCATCTACTTGGTTCTTCCATTTAATTAATGAAAGTGGGGATATATATATATATATATATATATATATATATATATATATATACATACACACACACATATATATACACACACATATATATACACACATATATATACACATATATATACATATATATGTATATATACATATATACATATATATGTATATATACATATATACACATATATACACATATATATACATACATATATATATAAATGAAAGTGGGGATATAAATATATATATTTATTATATATATAATACATATATATATATATATTTGCCCTATCTGTTTAATATTTCCATAAGGATAATATAAGATTGCCTGCAGGGGAGTACATCATTTATAACAAAGCTGTTACTTTTACAGCAAAAGAGACTTAAGCCAAGAGAAGCATGTGTTTATTACATTAATATTATATTAAAGTGATGTGTAGACATGGGCGTATTGTCATTTTAATGATACATGCACAATTATAGGTTATTCTCTCACAATTACATCTTTTAAATGTATGAGTCATAATTGATGCGCTTCCTGCAACAGTCCTGTGCATTGTTTATCACTGCACATGGGCTTTCTCATCTTGATTTGTCAAATTCATCCCTTGTTTGAAGACGCCTTGTATTCCTCTTCCTCTCTAATAATTCTGGTGGGTAGGGCAGGGGAATTCCACCAAAAGATCTCTGTTATGACTGTGACACACATACTTTCCAGGTGAGTTTCATGTTATGGTTTGTGTTGGCATACAAAGGCTTACATGGGAAAGACAGAAAAGAAAAATCAAACTCACAATACATTTAGAAATTTCACCTAAAAATGAATCAGATTACACCTATCTGCTCTGTCTGGGAAACACTCTAAAGAAGGATAAAGGTTTTGCTATCCATGGAAAGTTGTTTAGAAAATCACAGGGCAGTGAAACAACTCCATAGCCATATTTCTGTGACTCTGCCTCTGGCTGCTTTTCCCAATTCCTGGGCCTGTTTCCTGGAGACCCACTGGCCAGGAAACCTGAGCAGGGTAATGCAACCAGTGGTGCATTTTCTTGTAGCACAGAAAGGTGGAGATGAGTGAGACTTGGTAATTCCTCTATCACAGTTTCTTTAATAAAATAATAATAGCTAACAAGGACAGAACATTATTCTCTGTCAGGTATTTGAGCCAAGCGCTTTACATTCATTGTCTTATTTAATTCTCATGGTAATTCTGGAAGGTAGGCACCATTATTATTCCTAGTTTTAAAAAATAGATGAGGATAAGAGTTTAGGGAGCTTAGGTAACTTGTCCAAGGTGTCAGCTATCAAGTGGCAGAGGTGGGGCCACAGCTAGTTCTTCATCACTTGGATGTGTCTCACCGGGCCCCCTGTTTCTCACGGGAAAGGATATTAAAATATCACACTTCCGGTGTGGTCTCCAGCACACTTTACCCACTCTTAACCTGGAGCCAGAGGCCTGCATTTGAGGCTCATGCTTGACCCGTAGGCCTCATTATGACAGTCTCAGATTGCCATTGTAAAATCACGCAATAATAATAGCACCCGGCTTCCTTCGTGTGATTCTGTGAGGACGAATCAAAGTAAACATGAAGAAAGTACACTGCAACCCAAAAGTTAGGATTAGTATGACCTCACAACAACTTCAAACTGGGTAGGACACAAAGAGCTAAGGAAAAGGTAAGGTAGCGGAACTCAGTAGTACCAGAGCCAGACCATGAGTCTAGAACTTCAGAATCTTGGCCTGGTCTTGTCCATCATCCATGATGCACAGAATACAGAATTGTAATGCTTCTGAGATATATATTTAACACGTTAAGTATTCATAGGTTAAGAGAAGGTTCAACCCATATAACTTAAGCTGTCATGTAGATTTTAATAAGTTCAACTACAACAGATTTACAGGAGAAAAGATGTTAAATATGTTTCATTGCACACACATACACACGTATTACACATGCAAACAGGCACATATAGAAACACATGTACATATAAATGACATTCATTAGAATGTGTGCTCAATGAGGGAAAGGATTTTGTGTTTGACTCATTGTCTGGAACAAGGCCTGGTACATAGTACAGACTCAATAAGTAATTACTGAGTAAATGAGTAACTCAATAAAATTTGGAGAAACTCTTTTTTTTCACCACACTTTAATGATGTAATTAAAGTTACCACACTCCTTGGTTGTCCATGATATTTCTGGTTTACATTTGTTACTAATGACCTGTCACATATATTATTATTGTGTCATTTCACTCTCAAATATCCTCATTTGGATGGTAATTGATTTGATCACTGTACTATAGTGTATATACTATTATTGGATATACTTTTAGTGGTAACTTAAGGTCTGTGTCCAAAATCCCAGCCCTGCTGCTTACTAGCTATGGATTTGGGTGAGTCAATTAACTTCTCTGACCTCTGTTATTTCATCAGTAAAATGAGCTCATAGTAGCAGCTTCTTCGTTAGGTTGTTGTGAGGATAGAGTTAACACATTTACAACAGTTGCTACTTTATAGACCTTGGAAATGTGGATAGCCTTGAAGGAGAACAGATTTCTTTCTTTCTTCTCCAATGTATAATAGTATCATACCATGAAAATCTGTTTTGTCCATTTGCTCCATAGCAAGTTGTTAGACGTCCTGATCTTCTGCCATTGCTGTTATGAATAAATAGGTTTCTTTCTAAATTATACATGTCAGCCTCTGAAATATGTTACGTAAGCTTAAAAAAATCATTTTTTTTCTGCTTTTGCTAAGTTGTTTGCAATGAAAAAGAAAGGCAATGCACATCTTTTTTTTTATTCCAGGTTCTTGTCTTGGAAAATGAAAGATGAGCAGCCAGGCATAATTGGTGGAGGGCTAGGTGAAAGACTAGGCCTGCAGGGTTCACAGTCAGCTGAGACTCCCTATAAGAGTAGGCTCTCTCATTGACCCTCCTCCGGACACTTCCTGGAAAGCCCAGAGCTTCTGGGTCTCCTCTGTGTTATCAGGGTCCACAGATGCATCAGCTCACACACTTGTGGTAAGCACGTTGTTCAGCAGTTGCTTTCCTAGGCCTTTTGTGCTTTTTGTACAAATAGTGTTTCTTTCAGAATCTAGATTGGAAAGAATCTTAAAGTAAAGTGCTGCCTAAAGTAATTATTGCTATTTTAGAAATGTCAACCCACGCTTTTCATCACCAGTATTCTAAGGCAGAAGCGTGCATCGGCTGACTGTACATTTTCTCTTACGGAACACTGGAATGGTGAGGAGAAATGATACTGAAAAATTGCGGCTTCTTCTTTTCTATCTGATTGAAAGTCTTGGTGTTCAGGGTTGGGAAGGATACATTGTTCGTGTTAACACGCCTGGTCTGCTTACTTAGGAAAATGGCAGCATTCTTTGTGTGTTCGCTCGTGAAGTTTCTGGATGAGTATGGAAGATGCTGACTCTGGCTCGAGGAGCTTTAAAGGGAAATAAGAATACATGCACGCCTGTGTGCAACAGCCCTGGCCCTAGTTTCTCTGTATCCTGTTGCCCAGGTTTGCTTTCTTCTGAGCTGTCTATCACTCTCTGACATCTGATTATTTATGTGTGAGTTGGCTGTTCACTCGCTGTCCATCCCTCCTCAAGAGAGGTTCCAAGGACATGGGTGTCTTTTTACAAATGTCACTTACAACGTATATAGTTAAAACCAAGTAACACTGTTTTATATTTTCAATCATTTCACAATGTAATTTGTAATCTGCTTTGAACCTCAGAAGAGTCTGTATCTTATTTTGTTTTGTTTTGTGTTACAACTGACATTCATTCATTCATGTGCTCACATTCTAAGCACCACACATGAGAGGTGATGGTTTTGCTAAAGGGATTTGGTTGATAAGATAGCTAATCTGTTTACTTAATGATTGGCTCCATCTGCATAATTTTTTCTTTTTTTTTTTTTGATCTTTTTCTTTTTATTTGGTCTTGTTTCAATTTTCTGTTTTGAAGCCACTAAAACCAGGGAGCTGTTACTGTTCCTAAATCTTGGAACAAATGAGTATAATTGGCAAGACTCTAGTCCTCTGTTTTCCCACTGAATGTGTTAGTAGGTTTGACCATTATTTTAATGGAACGTAATAATTATGATGACTGTAGAACTATATGGAACTGTAAGAATCTCCATGAATCTTTAAAATACACATCCCAATACATACTCATTGAAACCCCTTTGATTTTTGCAACCATAAGCAAATGGGAAGACAAAGACCACCAACTTGGTAACAGAAGTCAGGGAGGAGGGAAAGGGAATGAAAGGGATAGTATTCTAGCAAGCTTGGAAAATACAGTCTTTTACCAAATGGGATAGTTTCTTAGTTTAGCCTGAGCCAACAGTGTGCAAATATTTCCCTGCCATGTAAATAACTGGTGAATGCAGTTAAGTGTTAGCAACCACTTAATTGAAAAATGAAATCAGGTAGCAATTACTGGCAATTGTGGGTTCCTTCACTATACTTTGATCTACGTATTTTGAGCAAGTGGTAAATTTGCTTAGAAGGCAAGCTCTTGAAGGAAAAGAAACCAGAAAACAGAAAATATGGTTCCCACACAAGGCGGTTAGGTGGGTGGGGTAGAGTCCCTGGAAAGCTTTATATGGCTTAATGATAGCAGTGTGCAAACAGCAAAGCCAAAATTGGCATAAATCGTTTACTAACACATGAGTTGAGAGAACGATAAATCCTAAGATTTAACATCTAGCCTGGGGCAGTAGAATAAAAATTGCTTTCAACTGCTGGCTGGCATGGGAAGTTCTGACTCTAGGTTATAGTGTACCAGAGTCTTTATCAGCACTGGCACGCCCTAGTGGCCCTTCCCCCAGCTTAACTAAGCTGTGCAAAGGATCTGTTCAGAAATAGTCACTAGAACTTGTCAACCCCTTGGACTCTGTAACTCCTCCTAAACACTGTCTAGGCACTGGCAAGTTTTACCTTCAGAATGATCTCTTCAAATTGAGTCCTTCCTTGGTCAAACCCCTTCATCAGATTGTGTTTCTAAAATGGGAGGGTTGGAAGAAAGGAAGAAAAGAAAAAGAAAAAGTGGAGGGCTTAGAGCCTTGAGGAGATGAAAAAGTTAAAGATGGGTGGAATCACCGAAGATCCGTTGAATCTGTTTCATAGCTGTGAGACCTATACCTGCAGTCCTAACAGACTGAGAGCAAGCTCTGTGACTGCTTCACCTGCCGTTCCTCACAGGAAACTGGAGTCCCAGAGTTTTCTAAATAAGAATACTCCGCATGTCCAAGGGCAGCTCTCAGTATTTAATAGCGAGGATCCTGTTTCCCACCTGGCTGTATGAGAAATTCCCTTGCCATCTGTAGAGTCCTTTTCTCAGCTTGGGAGACACAAGTTTCACACCCAGATAGAATACATGCTGAAATACTTTGAAAACTGGCCAGTGCCATCGTTATTATTTCCTGGGGCACAGTTGCAGTGCCAGCACAACTAAGCCAGTGATCATTTCCGAGCTGTCCAGTGGGTGTGGTGTGGGTTACAGAAAGAATATAATGCAGGCAGTGAGGTGACCAGGGCATGAGTCAAATCCTGCGCCCAACCCTGGCTTGGGTATCAGAGTAGGATTCAGCTGCCTCCAGTGAAAAAGAGACTCCCAGGGCAGCAGAGCCACCTACCTGCAGAAGTGAACTTCACCAGCTCTGTGTGCTGTACTGGACCTGCCAGAGATCTCACCCCATTGATAAAAACCAACTGCAGTGCCCCAGCTGGGACAGGGAGGCACCCCTGGCCCGTGAGGAGATGGTCCCTCACTCATCTGCTTAAAGGATGGGAAATCTGTTACCTAATTCATGGAATCTCTGCCTAAGTTGTGTTCTCATTGCTGTGGTTGAGACTAGAAGGAAGGAGTCTAAAAAGATAGACATGTAGCTGTCAGTGTGGGCCCTGTTGGTGCCTCTTCATGCCCTGAGAGATGGGAGGGGTTACGGGGAGCAAGCTGGACAGCCAGCTCTTGCCCTGCCCAAGCTCCAGCTGATGGCCACTTTGCAGAAATTGGCATAAGATGGGTGACAAAAGCCCAGTTTTGCTGATTTTCCAAGATAACTTGGACAGAAGAATTTACATGTGGATCCTCTCAGTTTCTCAATATGAGCTCAATCTTTGAACCCACTAGATAGGCCCAACAAAATAGGCGTGAAGGCCATGGTGGCTCGTGGCCTGCAAGCTTGCAAACTCTGCTTCAGACTTTTCATGTTACATGAAATTTTGCTTCTTGTCTTTATACCTGGGTATATTTAAAAGGGCTGAGCTGATTATGTGGGACACTTAGGGACTCAGGATCAGTTGGAATATGTTTTATAGTCAAGTTAACACTGATCAAAATGAGTATTATTCTCAGAAATTGATCATGTTACAAAAAGACAAATAAATAGAAATGGTTGACATACTCTGACCATTGACAAATGTGGGAAGGACACTATGGAATATCTAAGGGAAAGGGGTTTATGCTTCCCACCTTGAATAAGAAGCACAAGCCAAAGGGAAGCTGAGCTGGGATTGCACTCAGGAGGCACTGTGTTAAGTCACACAATGAGTTCATCGTCTGTGAAAGGTAAACTCTGTGGGTACATCAGTTATGGTCCTGGCAATTATTGATGTCTTGAATGAAAGTGTTCCTTATGCTCACTAAAGAGAGGCACTTTCCACTGCTTCTCAGCCTTTTGATCAAGTGTGGAGATGCACTTTCTTTAAAAATGTGTCTGTGAGTCTGGGCGCAGTGGCTTATGCCTGTAATCCCAACATTTTGGGAGGCCAAGGCAGGAGAATTGCTTGAGGCCAGGAGTTTCAGAAAACATATCTGTGAGTAAAATCAAAGAATTTAACAGTCTTAAAACAAAATAAAAACTTTTAAAACCATTCTGTGCTCTTTTTTCACTGAACATTACTTCAAATAAATCCAGGAGTGATGGCTTATGCCCATAATCCCAACATTTTGGGAGGCTGAGTTGGGAGGATCCCTTGAGAGCAGGAGTTTGAGACCAGCATGGTCAACATAGTGAGACCTTGTCTATACAAAAAATTTAAAAATCAGCCAGATGTGCTGGTGTGCACCTGTAGTCCTAATTACTCAGGAGGCTGAGGTGAGAGGATTTCTTGAGCCTAGGAGCTGGAGGCTGCAGTGAGTTATGATTGCACTACTGCACTCCAGCCTGGGTGACAGAATGAAACCCTGTCTAAAAAAATAGAAACCTGCAGAAAAACTGACATAATAAACATGCATGCTGTGGTAGATTATTATATCATGTTAATAGGCTATCATTCACTCAACCATTTTCCTATTCTTTGACATTTTGCTATGAGTGTTTTTGTGAAAAATTACTTGTTTTACCTTTTGAGCTGCCAAAAACTTCTGTTGTTTTGCTTCTTATTTTTGAACAGCCCAGGCTTTGCACGTTTTATATCAACATTTGTCGAGTTGCCTTTTGAAGGACTAGTTCAGACTCTGTATCAGGGGATCAATCAGAATTTCAGAACACTGCATGGTGACCATGCCTACCAGCAGAGATCCATTTAGCAGCATTATCCTTTCTCCGAGTTGGTTTAGCAGTGCTTATGCAGTCACAGCAATATTTGTAAGTGAACAATTCAGTGGCATTGAGTACATTATCAGTGTTTTGCAACTACTACCTCCATCAATCTTCACGACATTTTCATCTTCACAAACTGAAAATTTGTGTCCATTAAACACTTACTCCCTGTCACCTCCTCCCTTGAGCCCCTGGTAAACTCTATTCTGCTTTCTGTCTCTATGAATTTGTCCATTCTAGGTACCTTATGTAAGCAGAATCATACAGTATTTGTTCTTCTATGTCTGGCAAAAGTGAACATTTTAAGGAGGAACAATATAGCTCTTACAACTTTAATGAAATTGAGACAAACATAGAAATGACCGGTAGTAATAAAAGCATAAACCTCCAGTGCAATCAAATATAGACCAGTGGCTGTTCATTTTCTTGGGAAATAAAATAATTAAAGATCAGAGAAAACAGAAAGGTTGGTACTAGGATTGCGAGGCGTGTGAGACAAAAAGTGAGATACAAACTCTGTAACTTTCTGGCATTGGAGTCTCCAGTTAAAACATGCACATCTGCTGCATTTTCACTGCATCTGTCTCCTGAGGCTTGGTGTACAATACCTAAGGAAACGAGCCAGCTCAGAGGGCAGGTTAAGAGCCTTTTTCTTTGTTACCATACTAGGAAGAAACTTGTGTTTCTCTGCTGTCTCTCAGCACTTCTCACACAAAATGTGTTGGTTTTTCCCTGACACCAACAACCAATTCTCCAACTCTCCAGACAGCAGCCTGGTATCCTAAAATTCAATTCTATTCTCACCCTAACCACCTGGAGTCGGGAGAGAATCCACAGTTAAGGGCTCGGTCCCACAAAACTGCCCATGATTCAGATGACCATCAAAAGTCCTGGGCCTTCCCATACTTTTGACCAGCTGGCTACAAACTGGGAGTCCCCTGACCTGCTCAGGTTCGATCATTTGCTATAATAGCTCACAGAACTGAGGGCAACACTAGTTTACTGGTTGTTATAAAGGGATACAGATGAGCATCCAGGTGAAGAGGTGCACAGGGCAGGCATAGGGAGGGTGCCAAGCTTCTATTTCCTCTCAGCATGCAGCACCCTCCCAGCTCCACCACGTACCCACCAACAAAGAAGCTCCCAACCTCATCATTTAGGGTCTTCATGGAGGGCCCATTAGATAGGTGATGGAACTCAACCTCCTGCCCTTCTCCACTCCCCAGAATTTGGGTGATGGAGTTGGAAGTCCCAAGCCTCTAATCCTGCCTTGGTCTTTCTGGCAACCAGCACCCATCTTGAAGCTATCTAGGGACTCCCAGCCACCAGTCATCTCATTAGCATACAAAAGACACTTATCACTCCAGGGATTCTGAAAGTCTTGTAAGCTCTTATGTCTCTAGAACCAGACACGAAGACTGAATATTATAACAGATGCTCCTATTGCCCTTATTGCTCAGGACATTACAAGGGTTTTAGGGGCTCTGTGCCAGGAACTAGGAGCAGAGACCAAATATATACTTCTTGCTGACACAACTTACTACATACTGTATGAGGTAATAGGAGCGTCACAGTGAATAAAACTTGCGCCAGCCCTGT